>NC_000008.11:18951011-19254041 GCF_000001405.40 Homo sapiens | reverse complement strand
ACCTGGCAGCTGGCTTCCCCCAGAATGAGGACCCAAGAGAGTGTACCTAAGTCAGAGCTACAGTCGATTTATAACTAATTCAGAAGTGATTCCCCATACTCAAGGGGAGGGGATTACATAAAGATGTGAATACCAGAAGGTAAAGACTTTCCTCCCCTAAATTACTGAGACCCCTCCCACCCCTTTAGAAAGAGCTGTAACTTTCCCTGACTATTCATGAATATGGCTTATTGCTAAGCCTGTTGATGTCAAGTTTATGAGGTTCTCTTGGGCACTGGGAAAGTGAAGAGGTTAAAGACATGAATATCTTTGTTCTAGAAGCTACACGCAAATAAACTGTCCCTTAAATTTGGCCAGCCAGAACTTTCGGTCTCCTATGCAAGAAGACTAGATCTGACTGATGCCATAGGAAGCCACTAAAGAACAATGTGACCAGATTTGCTTTTAATGAAAACAATTGCTTTAGTAAAGATACGGCGAGTGATTTGCAGGAGAGGTAGAGGATTTGGTTATGGATCATTGACAATAATGCGGGCAAGAGATGACATGGGCTGAATTAGAGAAGTGGCATTTGAAGTGAGTAGATTTGATTCTTAGAAGAAAGCATTTACTAAATTTGATTCTGGATATTGCGAGGGAGAGAAAAATATAACTCCCAATCCTGCGGCTTTAGCAGTTATAGGTGTTTAAAGAGCCATTCAATAAAATTAGGAAATATAATTAAGGGAACTTATTTTTTGTTATAGGCTGTGGGAAATGATAAATTCAGTTTTTTAAATGCTTTGCTTTAGGTGCCTGTGGGACATCCAAATGGAACTCTTCAATAGGAAGTTGTATTACAGAGAACTCCATCTCAGTAAAGAGACGGGGCTGATGTTGGAAATCATTAGAGTCATATTCACGGTGGAAATCAGGAAGTAGCCATTAAGGTAGACAAGAATAATGCTAAGGAGGAAAGCTGTTTGAAAAGAGTTACAAAAGGAAGGGAGGAAAGTCACAAGAATATAATTGTCAATAGTATCAAAAACTGAAGGTGTTCAGTGAAATCAAATTGGGAAAGTATCTATCTGACTTGGGTTGGTGAAGGCTATTGGTGATGTGTCAGGGAAGTGGTACAGGGGCAAGACAGACTGTAGTAAGCTGAGGAAGTGGATGTTGGGGAAGGACAGACATAGTTATGCTGCTATGGTTTCAATACTTGTGTCCCTTTTCAAATTCATGTTGAAACTTAATCCCCAGCACAGTAGTATTAAGAGGAGGGGCCCCCTAGAAAGTGATTAGGCCATGAGGGCTTCACCCTCATGGGTTGGGTTAGTACTGTTATAAAAGGGCCTGAGTTTGGCCCCCTTTTTTTGTCTTCCATCCCTGCCACCACTTGAGAACACAATGTTTGTCCCCTCCAGAGGACACAACAACAAGGCACCTTCTTGGAAGTAAAAATCAGGCCCTCATTGGATGTCAAACCTGCCAGTGCCTTAATCTTGGACTTACCAGCCTCCAGATTCTGTTGTTTATAAATTACTCAGTTTGTGGTATTTTGTTATAGCAGCATTAATACACCAATACAGATGATTAGCAGGGAAGATGGGTGTGAACTCCAGGTATCTGAGACAAGTCTCAGTCAATTTTGAAGGTTTATTTTGCCGAAGGTTTATTTTGCCAAGGTTAAGGACATGCCTGTGGAGGCATCAGGAGGTCCTGATGACATGGGTTCAAGGTGGTCAGGGCACAGCTTGGTTTTATACATTTTAGGGAAACATGAAACATTAATGTTTGTAAAATGCACGTTGGTTCAACCTGGAAAGGCGGGACAATTTGAAGTGGAGCGTGGGCTTCCAGGTCATAGGTAGACAAAATACATTCTTTTGAGTTTCTGATTAGCGTTTTCACTGAATACACAATTTACAGGAATAGTCACTTATGCCTTCGTCTGGCTTAGTCAAGCAATAGGGCAAAGGAAGCAATCAGATATGCATTTGTCTCATGTGAGGAGAGGGATGACTTCGAGTTCTGTCTTTGGTCCAGAAGGAACTTCCTTGTGGGTGAATTGTGAGGGAGGTATGTAGCTTTTCTTTTTTTCTTTTTTTTAATCTGTGTAGCTGTCTTATTCAGGAACAGAATGGGAGGCAGGTTTGCCCAATGCGGTTCCCATCTTGACTTTTCCCCTGGGCTTGGTGATTTTGGAGTCCGGAGATTTACTTTCCTTTCACAGGGGGATGGAGGGAGAGGGAAGGCAGAGGAGGATCCTAAGAATTTGCTTAAGCTGGGACAGCAGTTGGTGTTATTATCATTATTACTATTCCTACTACTGACACTTACTGAACACTTATGTGCCAGGCATTTGTGTTAAGCATTATTATTATTATATAACAAATGGCAATGTCAGTAGAAGAGTTTGAAGATACGGGAATGAGAAGGGCTGCTTCATGAGTTCAACTCTTAGGAAGGCCAGTAAGGGATATGCAGTGTAAATACGATAAGGTTTTGTCTGTTGAGCATATTTTTGCTCAAGAAATGCTACTTTCCCACCTGGTAAGGCTGTCGCTCACATGTCCCCACTTCCCTCTCCACTCTCTGAGTCCTGGGATGAGCACTTGACCCACGGTGGCTGACCATTTTCTTGGTGATGAGGTGGATGTGTGACTCAGGTTTGGCAATCAGAGTCCTTCTTGGTACTTTTGTTTCAGTTACCAAGAAAATGAAATTTTATTTCATGTGGTGTCATTATTTGTAAAGACAACAAAAGTTAGAATTGCTGGTGGCAATCTTTACCACCCACCTGGAGGTGACCTTCCTTGTGCTGAGGGATGGAGGAAAGAAAAGCTCAGAGGGGACAAGAAAAAGGCAAAGTCCTGAAAACCGAATTTGAACTCTTGGAACTAGTTGTGGTTAAAGCCAGCCCTATCCTTGGGGTTCATTTGCCTACGTTAGTTTGAATTAGGTGTTTATCACAAACAAAACCATCAGGGACAATATAGGGGAGGCAAAACATTCAAGGAGGAAATTAAAATAGAATGGGACTCGAGCTGTCACTTCTATTGAAGCAGAAAGGAAACAAGGAAGGAGAGTAAAGTTGATGGAGGGGAACGACAATTTATAAAGGTTCTCCTCTGATTACTTCTGTCTTCTCTATCATAAATAAGGCTATGTTACCTTCAAATTGTGATGGCAGAAGTGGCAAAACCTTCAGAAATGTGATGAAAATGTAATCACTCAGGAAGAATTGGAGTAGAAACTCACTAAGAATGCACACCAAGGATGGCTGGGCATTGACAAACCATGGATGTGTGTGGCAGCATTCATATATTTTTTCTTTCTTCTCCTTGCTTCGCCCTACAGCACAGGTGTAAGAATAGAAAAGGCAGATCACTTGGCTCATCTTGAATTCTGTAGAATGTGCACAACGAATGGACAATAGGTTAAGGAAATTAAAGTTAAGACATTACAGAGAAAATGACTGAAGTAATGAACTATGGAATCTAAGCAACACATAAAGAGAAATAAAGCCTGAATGAGACCCAATAGCCCAAGAGAAATGAAGATGACAAGGTCATTGTGACATTAAATAGATACATGGTATATTGGTACCAAGTGGATGAAAACTTGAATGATAAAAGACTGTGGTTAGAGAGTGGGATATTGGAGTTTAAATTTCATAGGTAGAATAGATGTAGGGAACTCAAGATATGAGTTTAGGAAATGAGTGACTGAAGTAAAGAAGACATTGAGCCCTCCTTCATAATACCTCAATTGTTTTTTATTTATTTATTTATTTATTTATTTATTTATTTATTTATTTTCATTTATTTTTGAGATGGAGTCTCACTGTCACCCAGGCTGGAGTGCAGTGGTATGATCTCCACTCACTGCAACCTCTGCCTCCCAGGTTCAAGTGATTCTCCTGCCTCAGCCCCATGAGTAGCTGGGATTAGAGGCATTCACCACTGTGCCCAGCTAATTTTTTGTAATTTTAGTAGAGATGGGGTTTCACCATGTTGGCCAGGCTGCTCTCGAACTCCTGACCTCAAGTAATCCATACGGTGGCCTCCCAAAGGACTGGGATTACAAGCATGAGCCACTGCGCCCAGCCCCTTCAATTGTTTTTTTATTTAAATCCACAAATATCAAATGAGCATGCAACACTCTTGGGTAATCCTCCTTTGCTGTAGTACATTTGCCTTTTTACTCTTTAAGATGATTACTTGACATCTCCTTAAATTTCTCTCATCTCCTCTTTCCATCATTCAATTTCTATAGAATTCTCTGTTCTGTTCTCTCTCCCTTCCTAAGGACCACGCTTCTAAAGGTATATAATTTTTCTATTACGTCATCAGTTTCCACTCACTGGGTCATTGCTATCTATATATACACATAGCTTAATATCACCCATCATTGGAAAAGATCCTCCATGATCTCGTGTCCCTTCAGCTGCCACCGTATGTCTCTATTTCTTTTCACAGCAGACCTACCTAAAAGACTTGTATTCCCGGCTGTCTCCGCTTCTTCACCTCTTATTTTTCACTCCTCCCACACCAATTGGGCTTTTCTTCCTACCACTTCTCTAAAATACTAGCCAAGATCACCAATGACTTAAATTTCTCCAAAGCCAGTGGTCAATGCTCGCTTCCTATTTTACTCACCCTCTCAGCAGTATTTTTGCGTGATTGACCATTCCTTTCTTCTTGAAAGACTTTCTTCCCCAGACTCTGTGACAGTGTTTTTACATTTATCACACCAATAAATCTGGAAGCCCTCTGTCTTATCTGGTATTCCTCCTGTTAACATGGCTTCTCTTTCTTAGTCTATTTGTGACCTGCTCTTCTGCCCAACTTCCAAATAATCTTTCCAGTCTCAAGGCTTTTGTATGTATGCTCTGAATCTTGGAAAAAGAGGAAACAGGGAAAATATTTATTTATTGTACTTTTTTGCCCAGATGAATGAACGGACTCAGGGTTTTAAAGAGAATCTTTGTCTGCAAAGATAAAAGAAAACAGAGGTACATTTGAAAATGTTATTAGCATATTTTAAAAATATATTCTCTGTATTTATTTAAAATCTTTTAGATTCCCCTTAATTTTCAGTTTATTCTTGCCTTCTCAGCTGAGCTCCTGACTTCTATCGCCACTGCCACTTGGATGTCCAGTAGTCATTTCAAACTTAACTTGGTCAAAACAGAACTACTTATTTCCCTACTCCCCCATTTCCATGTCTTGTTTAAGTTTAAATGTGCCTATTTTAAAAAAAGGTGGCCTGGCGTGGTGGCTCACGCCTGTAATCCCAGCACTTTGGGAGGCCGAGGCGGGCTGATCACCACCAGGTCAGGAGATCGAGACCATCCTGGCTAACACGGTGAAACCCCGTCTCCACTAAAAATACAAAAGATTAGCCGGGCGTGGTGGTGGGCGCCTGTAGTCCCAGCCACTCGGGAGGCTGAGGCAGGAGAATGGCGTGAACCCGGGAGGCAGAGCTTGCAGTGAGCCGAGATAGCGCCACCGCACTCCGGCCTGGGCAAAAGAGCGACACTCCGTCTCAAAAAAAAAAAAAAAAAAAGAAAGAAAGAAAGAAAAGAAAAGGCACATCATTCACCTACTTGCTTCGGCAACACGACTATGCATCATCCTTGATTAAATCTCTATCATCTACTCTTTTCATCATTACTAGGTGATAGTCTTGCCTTCTGCATTACGTTAAAAATAGACACAAATGATAACTAATCAATTTCCTTATCACCAAACCCAATAACATACTTGTAACTTGATCCACGTACTCTTCTTTCTTTCCTGATACAAAAATCTCTCATTCATACCCCACATTTGTTTTATTTCCAAAATATGTACAACCCTAGTCCAAGCTGCCATCATGTCCCCTGGACTCTCTAAGTAGCCTCCCAACTGGCATTTCTGCCACCATTTTTCTCTCTCAATATCCATCTGCTCCATCTTCCACATCTCAGCCAAAGTGAGCTTTTAAAAATTTACGTGGTGGCTCATGCCAGCACTTTGGGAGGCTGAGGCGGGTGGATCACCTGAGGTCAGGAGTTTGAGACCAGCCTGGCCAACATGGTGAAATCCCGTCTCTACTTAAAATACAAAAAAAAATTAGCTGGGTGTGGTGGCGGGCATCTGTAAACCCAGTTACTTGGGAGGCTGAGGCAGGAGAATCACTTGAACCCAGGAGTTGAAGGTTGCAGTGAACCGAGATTGCACCACTGCACTCCAGCCTGGGTGACAGAGCGAGACTCTGTCTCAAAAAAAAAAAAAAAAAAAAAAAATGTAAATCACATTGTCAGCTTCCTGCTTAAAATCCTCCACTGGCTTTCATTATTCTCAAAAGAAAATCCATCTTGTTTTCTGTCTTTAAAATTTGCTACGTTTTCTGTCTGAAAAAGCGCTTCAGCCGGTACTTATAATGCTGTCTCCTGAAGGTCCCAGCTTAAGCAGTCCTCCACCCCAGGTACTTTACTTTACCCTGTTTTCTTTATCATAATGATCAGCACTCATGTGAGATTACTTACTTATTTGTTCCCAACTTTATTATTCTAGTTTCCACCCCTTCACTAGACCTACACACTAGAATGTAATCTCTTTGAGGGTAGGGACTTTGTCCTAGTCATTCTCATATACCAGAAGCTTGCACAGGACCTGACACAGAGGAGGCACTCAATAAAGGTTTGTTCACCGACCGACTTTCTCTCCATTCCTCCCTCCACACACATAGGTACCAGGGAAATCACACTAAACTGGACATCATATTGTTTTTCCTCCTTGCATGACTTCACCCTGCTTCTAAACCTAGAAAAATCCTCATTTTTCTAAACTTAGCTCCAAATCCTACCACCAGAAAATTCTGAATTCAGACAGTAGTATCCTTAATGGAATCATCTTTGCTAAATTACATTAATGCTATATCCTTGGCTTTTATCAACAAATGTTTTAAGAAACTGCCATATAAATTTTTCTATTATTTTGTTACAGGAGCATCGTAGGGGACATGGTTTCTACTACAGTTCTCAGTAATCCCTCTTGAAAATTTTATTTTAGAACATACTTCTAAGGAAGGCTTGTTTTCTCCTGTGATAAACTGGCTTGCTTTTTCCTTTATGACAGTAAACATGCAATTGAGCTTGACTTGCTTTTCTCTTTGACTACCAGAAACTTCATAGCAAAATTAGATGCTAAAGCATGGTGTAACTAAGCTATTCTTTTTTTTTGCCCAGGCTGGAGTGCAATGGCGTGATCTCAACTCCCTGCAACCTCTGCCTCCTGGGTTCATGCAGTTCTCTGCCTCAGCCTCCCGAGTAGCTGGGATTACAGGCGCCCGCCACTACACCCAGGTAATTTTTGTATTTTTAGTAGAGAGGGGGATTTCACCATCTTGTCCAAGCTGATCTTGAACTCCTGACCTTATGATCCACCCACTTCAGCCTCCCAAAATGCTGGGATTACAGACATAAGCCACCGCGCCTGGCCAACTAAGCTATGCCTTTAAGAAGAAATTTACTTTTCCTCTGGCCTTGATTTTCTTACAATATTTACATTGTCCCTGGTTCTGACTCCTTATTTCTAAATTTTATCATTACTTTAATGCATACCTTTCCCAGTGTGAGCTGTCCTGATTCCTTTCCAGGAGGTAGGGGTATACATAAATAAGGAATAGAGCAAGATTGTCTCTGTGACACCATTTCCCATATCCCCAAGCTGAATGAATTGCATCCTTTCTGTTCCTGTAGCCTTTGTTCCATTTCCAGTACAGCTCTCTTCACAATATCTATATAATAATAGTAGTTAAGGAAGTAGGTTCTGTAGCCAGATTGTCTGGATTCAGTTACTCATTTATTAACTGTGTGATCTTGGAAAACAACCTCTCTGAGGTTCAGCTATAAAATGAGGATACTGATGATACCACCTCATAGGTTTGTTGTGAGGATTAAAGACATTGATATGAAATGCTTAGAACGGTGCCTGGACTATACGAATGGGCTCAATAAAGTTAATGATTGTTATTATTATGATTATATTATAGCTACATTCGTGTTAATTCTCCTGATATGTCCTGAACTCCTATAGGGCAGGGACTTTATCTTATTTATTCCTAGTACATAGCACAGTGTCTGGGATTAACTAGGTGCTCAATGAATATTTATGGAAATGATTCCAATTGAAATGAGAATTTACTCAGGATTATGGAGCTTTAGGGAGTGAATTCAGAAAGGCATGGTGGAGCTGGATTTTGAAAGGCTTTAAAAGCCAAGTCACAGTTACATTTAATGTCATAGCAAATATGATCCACTGATAGTTTTTGGAAAACAGGTAGGGAAAACCACTTACGAAGGACAATTGTTCTAATAATAGAGAACATAAAATAAATGAGGTGGGACAAGGTCACTAAGCTAGTTATATCCCATTTGTCAAAAAACCCACTAGTACTCTCCTTGATGTTTCTGGAGTTCACTTTTTTGTTGCCTTAACCCTATTGGCAAAGACTTGGCTATAGAGTACTAATTGTGATGCAAGCAAGTTCTTTTGCCAATGGCAACCAGCAGAGCTTCCCCTGAAGATTGGAGGGGATGAGTCAGGGGCAAGGAAGGATTAACAGATTCTGCCTCAAGTCCTGGTGAACCAACTCCTCTCCCCAAGACAGACACATACTAGTGAAATAAATTGGATTTAAATCATCACCTGAGGCAATCCTGAAAGAGAAAAGCAGTCCTAGAAAAGAGTGGAGGAAAAGAGGACAGCCCCATTCTCTTTGTGACCACGAAGACTGCCGCCATGTGGTTGGGAGCCACGTAACTTCTTTTAGTGCCAGCTGAGATTCTTCTGCCCTGGAACTAGTTCCTCCGAGTTATTGCCAGGCCTGGAGATTGAATTCCTGCAGCTGGAAGGTGGGGAAAGGTACGGACAAATGAGCTATGAATTTAACAGGCTAACATCCCAGCTCCACAGGGCTGTGGCCAGAGAGGAATTCTCCCCTTTCAAAGCTGACTCCGGATTGCTTAGAGAAAGAAGCGAATAATAATTGAGTCAGAATGAGAAGTCCTTCCTTCCTTCTCAGGAGGATGTCCTGTTAGCAACTTCTTTGGACACAAGGAGGAAATTAAGAAGCATCATTACTGTTAATATCATTTTCTTTTTCAGAATGTTAACAGCCTTGATATTATACAAAGGTTGATAAAAATGTATTTCATAAGTCAATTATTGCATCATAATTCAAAAAAATAGTAGCAAACATTGTTGTTTAGAAATCAGAAATAAGTAACGATCACTCTTGGATATAACTTCCCCATAAACTAAAGCATATCCCACTGTGTGATATCTGAGAGTTAACAATTCTCCAAAACTTTCAAATAGAAGCTCAATTACAGCATGGTTTTTTTTTAATCACTGATTATTTTAACTGTATTAATCAAAGAAAGCAGCAAATGATTTTTTTTAATCCATTGATTCTTTTAGCAGGCATTCAAATAATTCAGAAAAGACGTGTTTCTAACTTTTATGTTAGAATTAAAGTAAGCATTTTCTTAAGAATCTTCGGGTTTGGGCTCGTCAGATTACTAGACATATTTAGATGGTTCTTGTCATTATGTCCTCATAAATACAAATTGCAACTGTGGTAATGAGAAGCGATTCCCTCCTTGTTAGAAAATAGCAATATCCATTAGTAAAAGTCTGAGGCTTGTTGTGACTGATAAAAAAAAACAAAAGAAAGCAAAATCATAAGTGAGTAAGAAGCTTTTTAAACTTTGGGAAGCCTGAATTCTCATGGGGTTCTCTAGTGCATATGAAGTTACGAACCGTAAATTTGGTAGTTAGTGGGTTCTCCAGTAAGCAAAAAGCGTCTATTTAAGTATATTCTTGCTTTATAAAGTTTATTGTTCAAAAATTTGCTCTAAGAGAGAGAGCATATCTCTGTTCTCCCTAACGCTCTAAAATACTTAGAACAGTGCTGTTGACACTGGAGCTTTCAAACAAATGCCTGATTTATTGAAAGAATCTATACAGACAAGGAGGTAAACAAACTACAGGGCCAAATTCCCTGGCTCTGTATGTGTAGTAGACCTTATATTTTAAAATCATTTCATCGTAAGTTTGTTATGCAGAACAATCAAACAGAAACACGGAAAGGGGTAGAGTCTATTGTTCCCCATAATGGATAATTAAGAGCAAAATTTCTGGAGTTTGGTGACAAATCCAAACGTGAAATCTTCCAAATGTAACCTTAAAGCTAAATCTTTAAGGCAAAAGTGTCCAAATATAAGATGACTCACATTCCAATTATTAAATTTGCCACACAAGACCAGGTGCAGTGGCTCATGCCTGTAATGCCAGCACTTTGGGAGGCCGAGGCAGGTGGATGACCTGAGGCCAGGAGTTCAAGACCAGCCTGGCCAACATGGTGAAACCCCATCTCTACTTAAAAAAAAAAAAAAATTGGCTGGGCATGGTGATGCACCCCTGTAATCCCAGGTACTCGGGAGGCTGAGGCATGAGAATCACTTGAACCCGGGAAGCCAAGGTTGCAGTGAGCCAAGATCACGCTAATGCACTCTGGACTGGGCAACAGAGTGAGACTCTGCTTCAAAAAAGAAAAAAAATTGTCACAAAAGCAAAAAGTCCATTGTTTACCTTACTTTTCCCTGGTCCCGTGCTTCATTTTCCCTATGGAGACCTTGTTATGTTTCAGATGAACTGCAAGGACCCAGTTACAATGGTAGCTTGGCCAGATAACAAATAGACAAAACACGGTTCAGATTTTTTCTCCTTTTCTTTTCAGTAATCACGAAGGGTATCTGCACTTAAAGAACAATTTAATTCAAAAGCCGTTACATTGGAACATAGCTGCCTATATTTTTTAGAAAGCACCTAACTTGCCTGTGTTTTTATAATAACATGTATCCTTTATCTATAGTATATAATAACAATAGTTTCAATAAATTACTTGGCCTTTTAAACATGTCTTTGTCTCATATAATGTAGATAGTTGATTTTTATTAATAGCAAATATTAATATATTAACTTATTCATAATTTTGTTCTTGGACTTCTGCTAAAAGATGAAAGGAAATACAACAGTTAGAATATTTTTTTCTTGTCCATGCTTTAGTTATATGGAATTCTCACGTTACCCTTCTGTCTAAAATACAGCTCTCTGTGTATCCTTCACTTCCAAAAAACAGCTTTTAAAAGTAAAAGTGATGACAACTCCATTCATTTATTATAAAAGCAAAATCTAAGATTTTAGGAAAAGGATAAAATGAAGTTGTTTTGGGGGTATTAGGATATTTTAAGTATTTAAGATAAAATGTGTATAAATTTGGAAAGGGTTCCTTTCCTTATACTGGGTGACCTGACAGAGTGCATGAATGGAAGAAATACATCCCCTCCCTCCCTCACTCCCTCCCTCCTTTCCTTTCTTCCTTCCTTCCCTCCCTCCCTCCTTCCCTTCTTTCTTTCTTTCTTTCTGTCTTTCTTTCTTTCTTTTTCTTTCTTTCTTTTTCTTTCTTTCCTTTTCCTTCCTTTCTTTTCTTTCTCTTTCTTTCTTTCCCTCCCTCCCTCCCTCCCTCCCTCTCTCTCTCTCTCTTTCTTTCTTTCTTTCTTGACAGAGTCTCGCTGTGTCTTCCAGGCTGGAGTGCAGTGACATGATCTCACCTCACTGCAACCTCTGCCTCCCGAGTTCAAGCAATTCTCCTGCCTTGGCCTCCAGAGTAGCTGGGACTACAGGTGTGAGCCACCATGCCCGGCCATGCTTCTATCTTTCTAACTGGATCTCTGATTCTACCTCAGCACAGCACCCAAAATGGATCTTTGCTTTGCATTTTTAATTCTGACTCTGACGTATATTTAGTAAATTAAGTAAATAACTTACTAAATCATTCCCCCAGTGAAAGTCTTATGATGGGCTCCACACAATTATTGGGAACTATAGTTAAGAGCTGAGGCCGGGCGCAGTGGCTCACGCCTGTAGTCCCAGCTACACGGGAGGCTGAGGCAGGAGAATGGCGTGAACCCGGGAGGCGGAGCTTGCAGTGAGTCGAGATCGCGCCACTGCACTCCAGCCTGGGCGACACAGCGAAACTCCGTCTCAAAAAAAAAAAAAAAAAAAAAAAAAAGAGCTGAACCCCCAGTAAAACTCCTTGGAAAATGCACCATGGTCATATGTCTGGACTAAGATTTGTACAGTGGAACACCTATCTCCAGTATTGCACCATACCACATGATATAGCAAATGTTCACCTGACCGTTAGACAAAAGATATTACCGAAAAGTCTTTCAAATATGTTTGTTTTGCAATGAAGCTTCCTGGCATTCATTTCATTAAAAAGTTGGCCAGGTGCGGTGGCTCATGCCTGTAATCCCAGCACTTTGGGAGGCCGAGGCAGGTGGATCACCTGAGGTCAGGAGTTCGAGACCAGCCTGCCCAATATGGTGAAACCCCATCTCTACTAAAAATACAAAAAATTAGCTGGGCATGGTGGTGGGCACCTGTAATCCCAGCTACTCGGGAGGCTGAGGCAGGAGAATCGCTTGAACCCAGAAGGCAAGGTTGCAGTAAGCCAAGATCGTGCCACTGCACTCCAGTCTGGGTAACAAAGAATGAAACTCCATATATATATATACATATATACATATATACATATACATATATATACACATATATACATATACATATATATACACATATATACATATACATATATACATATACATATATACACATATATACATATACATATATACATATATACATATACATATATACATATATATGTTGCATCCAACAGAAGTACTAAATTATAAATATATCATTATAAACATATCATTACAAAATAGGTAGAAGGAGAGAAGGAAGAGCATGTAGGATGGTGTTTCTTCCACTTTCAAAATTAAAAAAGGAGTTTATAGCAAACATAAGACTAAAAGTAACTATACACTGTATATAAAATTGTTATACACCAATTTTATAAATGGACAGGAAAGATTTTTTTCCACCATAAGATTTACAAAGCAGAAGTGATGCCATAGTCTTTTCAGTTGCCAGAGCGAAGGAAGTAAAAGCATCCACTATGAGATTCACCAGAGGGGTTTGACCAGCTTTAGAAGGAGAATCCTGGACAACAACACATGCAGCTGTGAAGGCGACAAGTGTGACACTGACAGCCAACTGAAATGGAAGGAATGTGAAGATGCTGTCATAAACATTTCTACCGCATGTGACAGCTTTAACAATACTTGCAAGGTCGTCATCGGTAAGAACGATATAGGAAACTTCTTTAGCTATCTTTGTTTCTGTTAATCCCGTTGCAGATCCAACATCTGCTCTCTTTAACACTGGGCCATCACGAGGACCATCACCAGTAACTGTTACAATTTGCCTCTGTCTTGAAACATTATTCATTACACATTTTAACTAAGTAATAGTATATTTAACAGCAAGGCTGGGGTATCAGCCAGGGTTCTCTAGAGAAATAGAAGCAACAAGTTATATAGGAGAAGATTCATGATAGGAATTGACTAACATGATTATGGAGGGTGCTAAGTCCCACAATTAGCCTTCTGTGTGTTGGAGAACCACGAGAGCTGGTGGTGTAATTCAGTCGGAGTCTGAAGGTCTGAGAACCAGGAGAGCCGCTGCTATAATTCCTAGTCCAAGAAGGCCCGAGAAGTGCTGATGTCCCAGGGAATTAGAATACAGATGTCCCAGATCAAACAGGGAGAATGAATTCACCCTTCCTCTGCCCTTTAGTTCTATTTGGCCCTCAAAAGATTAAGTGAGGGCAATCTTTAGTATACTGATTTAAATGCTAACAGCCCCTTCAGAAACAGCCCCAAAGACACACCCAGAAACAATGTTTCTAGCAGTTAGCTAGGCATCCCTCAACCCAGTCAAATGAACACAGAAAATTAACTATCACCAGCTGGATCTTGCAAGTACATGAAATTTTGACCAACGCTTGTTTTTGAGCCCTTTTTCTTTTTCAATTTCTCCATTGTCATTTTTACGCATTAGTTTCTTGAAATCTGTACCCTCTAAACATGGGTAACCTTCAGGGACCTTTACAATGCTATATTTCAGGGCAACGGCCCTTACAATGTGGAGATTGTCACTAGAATCACACACGCAGTGAATCTAGTATGCTGGCATTATGAAACTGCATTTGGCACCTCAGGTGTTGACGGTTGAAATATGTCTCCCAAAAAGATGTATTCAAGTCCGAACTCTGGTTCCTGTGAACATGACCTTATTTGGAATAAGGTCTTTGTAAATGTAATCAAGATGAAGTCACATTAGACTGCGGAGGGCCCTAATCCAGTAAAGTGCTGGCCTGAAAAAAAGATAGAAATTTGGACACAGAAATACAGAAGACAGAAGGCCATATGAAGCTAGAAGCTCCAAGTCAAGGAATGCCAAAGTTTGCCAGCAACCACCAGAATCTGTGAGAAAAGCAAGGAAGAATTTTTCCCTGGAGCCTTCAGAAGGAACATGGCCTCTGAGACCTCTGGGCTCTAGAACTGGATAAAAATACATTCCTGTTGTTTCAAGCTACTCAGGTTGCAGAGCTTTGTTGAAGCAGCCACAGGAAACTTACACCTTGGCTCTCATAGCATCTTCAATGCCTACAAAAGCAATTCATGCAAGATCTGTAGTAATATCTTATGCATTGCTCAGCCAGGTTTGTTGTCAGTATCTGCAGAATTTCTGAATATCAGGCACAGTATTTTTAGCCCTGCACAAGCCATTGGTTTCATGACACTTTGGAAAACACAGGGATTCCCTCTTCATTCAGGATTTGACACCCCTGTTAAGTGATAGTTCTGAGACTCCCTCTTTGAACAACCAAAAACTCTCGTCGGGCAGTTTGAAGACAGTAGTCATAGATTTTCTGAGTTGAAGATATATGCTAATATTTGCTATAAACTCTTATGTGGTATGCTTTTTTTTTTTTTTAATTGAGATGGAGTCTCACTCTGTCACCCAGGCCGGAGTGCAATGGCATGATCTTTGTTCCCTGCAAACTCCACCTCCCGGGTTCAAGTGATCCTCATGCCTCAACCTCCCAAGTAGCTGGAATTACAGGTGACCGCTAACATACCCGGCTAATTTTTGTATTTTTAGTAGAGACGGAGTTTCACTATATTGGCCAGGCTGGTCACGAACTCCTGACCTCAAGTGATCTGCCTGCCTCAGCCTCCCAAACTGCTGGGGTTACAGGCATGAGCCTGTGGTATGCTCTTTCTTTTCCTTCTCTCTCTTTCCCTCCCTCCCTCCCTCCTTCTCTCCCTCCCTCCCTCCCTTACTTTCTTTTTTCTTTTCTTTCTCAACATCTATTCTGAAATGATGAAGAAATCCCAAAAAGACACATTCTATTATATTGCCAATCTGTTTGGGTGGACCCTCAACAACTAAAAAATTGTTATAAGAACAATGAACAGCAATACCTGTCAAAAACGTATTTCTAAATGGATATGGGACTTACACAATGAGCTTTACCAATGGAAGCCTGGACTCCTGGAATAGTAATGTGCTTGCTTTATCAGAACAGAAGACTGTTGCATTTCCCATAGTTTTACAAGCACCCAAATGTCTCACAGAGTGATTAGCTTTCATTTTCTTTACAGAATAAACCAAGGAAAGGGGAACTGCAAAAGAAAAGCTTTCAGGAACAGTCACCACCAAGATTGTTATTCTCATAATGAAAAACTCAATAATATATTCTGTATAAACTGCAATGCAATCTAAAATTCTTTGGTTGTCTCAAGTCCCAAAAGTCTGTATTGCCAAATTTGTCATTAAGGAGACAATGAGGAAAATAGCCATGAGCCAACCACACTTGCCAATCATTATGGATAATTTTATAAGTTTGTCTTGCAAAATTATTATTATATGTTTTTTGGTGTATGTTTGAATCAGCCGCATTTTGCCTTCACCCTCTCAGGCTGTTGTGTCCCAGCTGGTCCCATGAGAATCTGTTTTTGTTTTGTTTTAACTCCCTTTGTTCTTAGTTTCAAAAAAACCAGCAGAAAAACAATGAGGCCTGCTTGTGAGTTATAACCAGAGCCCTCCCTGGCCTAGGACGCTGACAGCAGGCGGGAATCTGGGTTCAGCGCCTTCCTCCTCTTCTGTGACCCTCCCTGAAGATGCTGTGGTAGCAGGCAGCATGGTACCCTAGGGGACCTGCGCCACATCGCCACCACGAGGTTCACCAGCCGGACTTCCTCCCCTTGGCCGCCCGGCAGCTCGCAGATGTCCTCTGGTCCTGGCTGATGCGCTTCTCCAGGCCGCAGCACTATTTCTCCCTGCTCCAGTCTTGACCTTGGTGTCCTGCACCCGCTGGCAGGTCTGGCTCCCGGGCAGTCCTTGGGCACGTATCACAGGACCAGTAGGGTGACGGCGGCCACCTCCGTCGAGCAGGCCACCACCGGCTCCGCACAGCGCCCTCCCGCGGTTCGGCTCCCGGGGTCCAGCCGCGGCCAGCGCCCGGGCGGTCTCCAGACGTGCACGGCCCGGCTGCCCCACAGTCACCGCCACCTCAGCAGCCGGGCCGGGGAAGGACGAGCCGCGCACATCCCTTGTTCCCGCGCCCGGCGCAGGGGACCGCTGCAGGGAGGATTTCTTTGCCTCCTTCCTCCTTTCTCCAGCTACCTCCACCTCCTGGCCTGAGGCGTCACCCTGGCTATCTACCTGCACCCAACTCCTCCCACCGAACTGGAACGTGACCCTTCCAATTCCAGTTCCACCTCTCTAACCCCACCAAGGGAGAGGCGCCTTCCATCACAGTAGGCAAGCTCCCGGTGTGCTCCAGACGCCCAGGTGGAAATCCACCAGGGCCACGGTAGTGGGAGGCAGTTTATTCAGAGCTTGCTGTGGCAAGACTCAGAGGCAGGCCGGGGAGTGGGGACCCTTCATCGTGGAGAAGGGAAGGCTTTAAGTTGTGCCCCGATTGGAGGCTGCTGGCGTCGGGGACCTGGAGGCAGGTATCCCATGCAATTAGCTTGGGAAACATATTTGGCTTTCTCGGGTTGGTCCTGAGTTGGAAGGGGGAAAGGAAGGGCAAACCTTAGGGAAGCTTGTGGTTATTGATCAAGTCTTGACGCTCTGGGTCAGGTTGCTGCAGGGGTCACGGGTCAGAGTTCTATTTTTATATATGGTCTGGCCATGATGGGTGTGTATATTGTCGCTGGCCAGTCCTCCTCTCCTGTTTCCTCTGGCCACATACACCTTTCCAGGAGAGAGCTGCCAATGGGAGTTCTCAATCAGATCTAACCTTCCAAGGTGCTGGGTTTTAACATTATGTCTGCGAGAAATGCTTCAGATGGGAGGCATCTGCTCCAGGCAGCCTGAGCCCAAGGCTGTGCCTTTTGGGCCCTCAGCTCTGTAATGAAGACCGGCAGCTGAGCTCTTGGATTTTAAAATTGTGAAGCCAGCTTCCTCAACCTCGTCTTAGTTCCGCACAGTGTGGACAGCCGGTAGTTACAGAAAACCATATAGAGTTGGCCCTTGAATGCCTAGGAGGTTAGAGACAGCCCCTCCTACCCCCACATCCTCCCACCCTTCTTGAAGTCAAAAACCTGAGTATAACTTTTGACTCCCCCAAAACTTAACTACTAATAGCCTACTGTTGACTGAAAGCCTTACTGATAACATAAACAATTAACACATATTTTGTATTTTATGTGTATTGTACACATAAAATATTCTTATAGTAATGTAAGCTAGAGAAAAACTATTAAGAAAATCATGAGAAGAGAAAATATATTTACTATTTATTAAGTGGAAGTGGATCATCACAAAGGCCTTCATTCTGTTTGTCTTCATGTTGAGTAGGGCGAGGAGGAGGAAGATAAGGGGTTGGTCTTGGTGTTGTTGCAGAGGTGGCAAAGGCAGAAGAAAATCCAGGGTAAATCCATGTCTCGTCTATGCATTCACCACATATTCTCATGAAGAGTAACTTAAAAACTGAGCATATACCTCATGCAAGACTGTATGTTACACAAGGGATGAAGTAGGGTGTGTTAGACATTCTGTGGCCACATATTTGGTATTTATCTGGTGTCTGTATTCACACAGCCCCCCAAATTCATTTTTGCTATGGCCTTTTTCTGTTCCTGAATTTCCACTACAGTGTAGGCAAATAGGCATCGCCCTGATACCCAGGGCTTTCAAGCATCTTTGCAAAATCTTCCCGTCAATGGGGAATGATGGTTTGGCCCCATCTTCTCTCTCCCTGAATCTAGTGAGCAGCGATTGAACGGTCCCCTGGTGAGTCACTGGATGCTGTTTAGTTCATTCTGTCAGCTGTTTATTAATCTGTAACTTCCTGTTAAGATGCAGGGTGTACTTTTTTAAGAAGCCTTACACAGCATAAGTTTTATTTTGGGACCGGACACACTATTATATAAAGAGGATCTGTGAGTGTTACTTGGTCTTGTAAGCTATTTTTCTTTTTTTCAGCAAAATGTTGTGAGCACCTACCATATGCCAGGCACTGTTCAGTGAACTGGTTGTACAGGAGTGAATGAGATCATCTTGATTTTGAGAAGTTTATAATCTACTCAAGGGAAACACGTGTAATCAACTATGGTAAGCGCAACCATAGATGTACAAGGTATGGGAGGGTGCAAAGAAGGAAGTGGAAAATTCCAGGCCAACAGAGGAATGAGAAAGTTTTCATGAAAGAGACTCTAGAACAGAACCTAGCAAAGATTTTCAACTGGTGGGTAGTAGAGCAAAGATGGCACATTCTGGTGACAGTGTGGGGAGGACAGATTGGACAAGGAAGAACTTGGAGGTAGGAAAGTTATTTCAAGGTTATTTGAGAGGCTGTTGCAAATGGTTTAGGCAAGAAATAATAGAAATAAAGAGAGGGGCAGAAAGAAGGTTTGAGGTAATTTTCACAACAGGATGGGACAGGGGGAGGTGAGGAAAAATGAGTTGATGAAAAGTTTCTGGTTTAGAGCACTTGGTAAATGGTGCTGCCATTAAATCAAATGGAAGAACAGAAGGAGAAGCAGGTGTGTTGGGCGAGGGCTGTGGAGACCATGTTTGGACCTGTTGAAGTTCAGGTGCTATGTGAGGACATCATTCAGTCACTAGACACTTAAAGTTGTTGGAGAGTGAGGTCTAGCTGAAAGTATCTATTTGAGTGACGTCTAATGATTTGGAAACCTTATTAAACAGATTGTGTTTTGGTTTATGGTGCTTGACAAGTGACTGGTACTTCAAAAGTATGTGTATATATATGTATATTAATATGTATATTACATAAGTATATTAATATATGTAATATACATATATTACATATATCATATATATCACATATATAATATATGTAATATCACATATATAATATATGTAATATCACATATAATATATGTATAATATATAATATTATATGTAATATTACATATAATATATAATATTATATGTAATATTACATATAATATATGTAATATGTAATATGTAATATTATATGTAATATAATATTACATATAATTACATGTTACAATAATTAGTTGTATGTAATATTATTACATATAATATTACATATATACATATATTACATATAATACATATGTAATACGTGTTACATATGTAAATTAATATGTATATTACATATATAATATGTAATATATGTATATTACATATATAATATGTAATATATGTATATTACATATATAATATGTAATATATGTATATTACATATATAATAGGCAATAATATCTGTATATTACATATATAATAGGCAATAATATCTGTATATTACATATATAATAGGCAATAATGTCTGTATATTACATATATAATAGGCAATAATGTCTGTATATTACATATATAATAGGCAATAATGTCTGTATATTACATATATAATAGGCAATAATGTCTGTATATTACATATATAATAGGCAATAATGTCTGTATATTACATATATAATAGGCAATAATGTCTGTATATTACATATATAATAGGCAATAATGTCTGTATATTACATATATAATAGGCAATAATGTCTGTATATTACATATATAATAGGCAATAATGTCTGTATATTACATATATAATAGGCAATAATGTCTGTATATTACATATATAATAGGCAATAATGTCTGTATATTACATATATAATAGGCAATAATGTCTGTATATTATATATATATAAATGTTTTCAGATAAAATGTAAGTGCATTTCAGATCATGGCATTTTACTTTAATGGTATCAGCTTTTATGTTGGTGGCTGAGAATGTCAGGGGAAGAAGGTAGTATAAATTGAATACCCTTGACAAATTGACCTCTCGGGTGTTAACATTGACATTAAAGGTGTTACTTGCCTTTTCAGTACTAGAGATTTAAAAATACTCTGATCAACTATGGAAAACTTTATAGTTGTTTTTAATCGTGGAATACTATAAAATAGGCATTCTACTACAATAGTATTTTTGCTAGTTCCAAGGAAATGGGTAAAAATGTGGAAGATGTTTTCTTTTATCATATGAAGTAACATTTGCAAGAATATCTTTTGTAAAACTGTCCTTTGTATCCTAGAATCTAACTTAATCCTAACCTTAACATCACCCTAACCTGTAGCCTTAAGGGTAGAGTTAACACAAACACTAACCCTAGCATAAATGCTAACCCTAAGCCTGAACCTAAATCTCACCATCATCCTAAACTGAACCCTAATCCAACACTAACCATAAACCTAATCATAACCTTAACTCTGAACCTAAAGGTAGTGCTAACCCTAACTCTAGCCTTATCTCTATCTCTTGTCATTAGTCCTAATCTTTACCTTAGAACTGTCTTTTTTCAGGGTAGACCTGTTAGGAAAAAATATTATTTAGGACTCTAGAAACTAGAAAATTAAAACTGAGAAGTAAATTTCAGATTAAATGAATAATCTATAAGCAGATCATCAGGAGGCCATGTTTAACAACATATCATGATTGGGTAGCCTGACCCTTCTGACTGGGGTAACCAAAGGCTGGGTTAGGTGTCTGAAGGACATTCTTGCTTCTGCTTTCCAACAATAAGCATGCCTAATATGGGTTGCTATAAGAATTCAGTAAATATATCCAAGAAACAAAATCTAAATTGAGAGTACATAGACTTCACAAGGTGTATGCTAACCTTAATCCCAGTCTTCCTGGACTCCTGAAGTGTAACACTTTTTTTCTCCAGAAAAATTCTGGAACACCGATGCCTCACTGACTCATCCACTTATGTCTAAATCCCATTATGACCCCATCCAGACCTTACCAGCTAGGACTTATCTAGATTAGACTGGTAGTCATTACAGCAATGCCCAGGTTAGAGAGGTAATATTAGATACTGTATTACATTGAGAGACTTCACAACCAAGCTGAGGAAAAATGATTAGCATCCATAAGACAATGAGAGAATTTGATGGGATGAAACATAACTCAGTGTTGTGTTATATGTTGTACAGACTTGGATACTGAAATGGTTTAAAGTGACAGCTATGAGTGGACACAGTGGAGAATATTTTCCCTCATTTGTATACCAGTTAACAGCTCACCAAAACTTTATAACACATATCCAATCCTTCCTAGGATCTTGGGAGGTTGAAAGGGCAGGTATTAGTGAAATTATTCTTATTTTGCATATGCAGAAATAGGCTCAGCAGAGTTAATTATTTGCCCCCACATTTTCCAGTGAAAGTGGTTCATTTCAGACTACAACTCAAATGGAACAATTTCAGATACAATAGGAAGTTCATTCTATTTCATGGAATATATGAGACTCACACTGGTCCTTAGAGGACTGCATGAAGTTAAAGAGATTAGGAGGAACAAAGGAGTATTCTGACTGGTTAAGAAATATAAGGAGAAGGCTGGGTGCAGTGGCTCACACCTGTAATTCCAGCACTTTGGGAGGCCAAGGCGGGCAGATCTCTTGAGGTCAGGAATTCAAGACCAGCATGGCCAACATGCTGAAACCCCGTCTCTACTAAAAATACAAAAATTAGCTGGGAGTGGTGGCATGCACCTGTAATCCCAGCTCCTTGGGAGGCTGAGGCAGGACGATCGCTTGAACCCGGGAGGTGGAGGTTGCAGTGAGCTAAGACTGTGCCAGTGAGCCAAGACTGTACCACTGCACTCCAGCCTGGGCAACAGAGTGAGACTTTATCTCAAAAAAAAAAAAAAAGAAAGAAAGAAAGAAAAGAAAAAGAAAGAAATATAAGAAGAAGGCAGGAAGCTGGGAATGTGATAGGGAACAGCAGACAAGTGGGAGTGGATGAGGAAAGATTGAAGGGAAAAGTGGAGCTTTGAGAGTCAGGCAAGTTGTTTATATTTCATGCAGGGTTTCACTAAGAAGTCAATGAAGTTTTTGAGCCTGATAGTGATATAAGGAGGATCATCGGAATCACCTGATAGTGGTTTTCCGGGCAAATGGGAAGAGGGAAGCCCTAAGGACCAGGCAGGTGGCTTTTGGGTGGGGCTGCAAGGAAAGGATGGGAATGCAGTGGCAGGAGTTGTTATAAAATGGAATGAAACTGGTTTAAAAAAAGGCAATTAAAAAGCCTAGGGTTCGATCATGATAGATAAAGAAACTGAAAATATCAAAGAATTCCGCATTTCCAATAAGTAGTTATATGGCCTCAGGCAAGTCATAGAGTCTCTCTTGGCCCCTCATCTCCCCTAGGTCACTGAAATTATGTGCATAGAATTATTGGAATAATCTATTTCTCTTAATGAAGAAGGATAACTTAAAGATGGCAAGAAAGATGCTCTCAATAACATTATTTAAAATAGTAACTGGAAAATATCTAAATGCTCTATAATGGGGGAAGAATGAAACAAATTATAAGTATTATGTAGAAATTAAAATCACATTTAAGAATATGGGGACCACCGGTTGCGGTGGCACATGCCTGTAATCCCAGCACTTTGGGAGGCTGAGGCAGGCGGATCATGAGGTCAGGAGATTGAGACCATCTTGGCTAACACGGTGAAACGCTATCTCTACTAAAAATACAAAAAATTAGCTGGGCATGGTGGCAGGCGCCTGTAGTCCCAGCACTTTGGGAGGCTGAGGCAGGAGAATGGCATGAACCCGGGAGGCGGAGTTTGCAGTGAGCGGAGATCACGCCACTGCACTCCAGCCTGGGTGACAGAGCGAGACTCCGTCTCAAAAAAAAAAAAAAAAAGAAGAATATGGGGACATAAATGCTCATAATATAATGGTAGGTGGAACAGGACACAATGCTATCCAAATATTACTAAAAATAAATATGTGAATAGGAAAAAAAGAATTGGTTGAGAGAGATTATCTCTGGCTGATGGTAATGTGTCTGATCTGCACTACCATTTTTATACTTTGTACATTTCTGGAATTTCCAAATTTTGTACAATAAGCCTTTATTACTTTTATCATGAAAAAAATTTAGGAAAAAAGAAAAAAGGCATGAGATTATCTACTACTACTTAAAATCTTTAGATGTGTCCCTTATAACTGTTTCAAAATAAAATATCAGAATGAATAGAGAGGTAGCATCCTTCTCTATCTGACTTAGAAAATATGAGAGAAGTGGAATAGATTCTGACACATGGCTAAGAGAGAGAGGTGACCTTCATAGAAGAGAGAGAGCAGAAAAGAGAAGAGGATCAAATACTGCAGTAACAAAGCTGAGATAGCTGCTTTAACTGAACGGAAATCAGAGTCCTTGTCAGTGAAGTAGGCTGAGTTTTGGGAGCTGTTTATAGCTCCAATAAATACAAAATCAACTCAGGAAGTAGATAAGAATGAATTTATGTCACAAATGAAAACAATGTTTTATTGCACAAAATATTTCATTAGGTTTGCTAACTTCAAGGAGACCTTTGCTAGGATTCCTCTTGGTTTTCCATTAGGACTGCACAATGTTTTCAATGAATGTGTATTGAGGCATAAAGGAAAATCCACCATCCAGTGACATTATGAAACATCCATGTGTTGAGAATTTTTCATGAAGTTATATAAAACCACATAAAATATGTCTAGGAAATGAGACCACAAATGTATGCTTGAGGAGAATAATAATAGAAACTCAACAGAATAATTATCTTAATATCTTGATATTGATTCATGGTAATTCAGTTTTGTGCTTAGAGAGCAGATAATATAAGACAACAGGGCTGCTCATTTGAGGGAATATGGAATAGCAAAACTGCCCGTGACTCAGTTTCTTGCTAAATGTATTTTTCACGATTTTTCACTATTACTTAAAATGAAAACCATGGAAACTATCTTTAACAGGTAAGTTTCTGGTAAATAGAGCCTTCCACTTTAATTATCTTTGATTTTATTTTACTTTTACTTGTGTGTTATTGTTGTTATTCCACCAAATATTTGCTATTCAAAGTTCAGGAAACTCCCCCCAGATGTTTTTTTTTCCTCCCTGCAATTTGCACTGGCCTTGCCCAAGTTCACCATCACTGTCTGTTCTGGGTGTTACCCCACCTTATCACTAGATGAAGCACACTAGAGGTCTCTGCAAACCCAATAAATACCAAATCTGGAAAGAATCAGGGTGATAGAGGCAGAAAGCAGAGAAATCCTAGGTAGACAGGGGTGGTCAGGTCCCCAGTGAAACCCCACCTTCAAGTCAAAAATGACTTAAAGCCTGAAGGCCAAGCTACAAGCCAAATCCACAGACCGGATTGAGAAACTGTCTTCCATTTGGCATGCTTTCCTTTGAGTGAGCCCCAAACTTCAACGATTTTACATATACCTACCCTTCCCTAATTGTTTTTACGCTGTGCCCACCTTTTACTGGTGCCTTTGTTTTAACCTTTTTTTTCCATACTCACACACCAATCAGCATGCACACCCCTAGCCCCAGATTCAGCCACATCAAGAAGAGATGACCTGACTTTGGCAAAGACAACCTGACCTTCCCAACCCTCTCCAGTTCCCCTCTCTGCTGAGAGCTGATTTGTGACTCATTAAAATTCTCTGCTCTCATCACCTTTCAATAGTCAGCATGACCTCATTCTTCTTGGACGCTGGACAAGAGCTCAGGACCCACCAAGCAGGGGTACCCAGTAGGGCTGTAACACTTGCCCTTTGCCCTTGCTGGTGGAGGGCAGCCACCCCACACAACAGAAGCAGTGGCAGAGCTAAGACAGTCCCAGAGCCGTGGGCCAGAACAAGTCAAGGGGCCAACTGAGCTTGCTAATACACCGCAGTCTATTGAGCTGCGGATGGCAGAACTAAAAGAGCTAATTAGCAAACTAACACCTCCTCTGGGGCTTTGGAATCACGGGCACCCCTGCCTGGGAGCTGCTGCATTCCCCTCAGGGTGACATGCCTGGTCTGGCCGCAGGCCCTGCATGGAGTTTGCTCCTGTGTCAGCACTCAAAGCAGCCCACTGGACCCTGCACTTGCTTACTCACATGCTCCCTCCCACCAGGGGCTGAGCACGTGGGCCAAGTAGATGAGGCTCCCCCTGCTGCAAGTCCGACAAAGGGCCAAGAAAAATTCTGTATCAAGGGCTCAGTCTTTCTGTCTGGTTTTTTTGAGGATCAGCTTGTCATTAGTCTTTGGGTATACCCAGAGAAATACCGTTTATTTTCTTTTCTGCCATTTTTACAAATATGAGTACAGCCGAGGAAATTAGCACATGTGGGTATACCCAAAAGTCAGGGGAGCTGGGAGGGATAGCGTTAGGAGATATACCTAATGTAAATGACGAGTTAACAGGTGCAGCACACCAACATGGGACATGTATATCTCTGTAACAAACCTGCATGTTGTGCACATGTACCCTAGAACTTAAAATAAGAAAAAAAAGAAAAAGAAAAAAAAAGAAAATAAATGAACATAGTGCTTAGAGGAAGAACTTGACTTTCTCACTACCCAGTGTCTGTAATTCTAGCCTATATTGTATGTGACCAGTGGGCAAAACTGCTCTCTACAGAGCAGGAGGATTTTTCCCAGTTGTAAGATATTTGCTCAATACTGATTATCAAAATAAACACTGTAAGATTGTTTGCTTATATCAACATAGAGGGAGCCAGAAAACAAAAGTTTCCATTTTGATACAAAATTTTTAAAGATGAACCTTGTTAGAATATGTTTGCACCTTTAAAATAGGAGGTGGAAAATAAACAGTGCTGGGAAGGAAGGACAGAAGATAATAATAAAATGAGACCTTTTGACCTTGTTTATATAAATGAAATAATTAGGCCCAAGATGGCTTTTCTGTTGCAAACTTCTCATCTCATGTTTTAACTTGAATGACTGTCAAAATAAACTGCAAGTTTCTGTACCATGTGTAATTGGTGTGACATCTGGGGCTCCATCAGAGGCCACTGTTTCTCTAACTTTAGCTAACCAGTGTGCTTCCTGTAGCGTGCTTTGGATCAACTGTCAGAGCCAGAGTCCAATTACCCTCTGGCACCTTTTCGAATCCTCTCCTCTTCTCTCTCTCTGTTTGACTTGCAGAAGTGTCCCTTCCTGCCCTTATATCATTCCTGTGCTGAAAAAGCTTATTCTCTTACCAAATATATATAAGCAGAGAGCTAACAGGGTTAGCTATATCTATTTGAAGAATTTTAAATCATTTTTCAACTGTCAATTCCTCATTTGCTTGATTACATGTACATTTTACACCTTTTCCTTAGCAAGTGAGCCAAGATCGTGTGTTTTTTCATCCATGGCTTGGAGTCTAGGAGAGAAGGAGGATGAGGAAGAAAATAATTTGAAGATTTTACAGGGAGAAGGGATTGAAATTTTCACTGGAATGGAATGACTGGAATAAACAAAGTCGATCATGCCAGGCAGCTTAACTGAAAGCATTTTATATTTTAAGTTTCAGACATAACCCCTCAAAACCAAAGCAGAACCTCTTCAAGGAGCTGAGAGATGCAAGCCTGGTAAGTCACTGCTTAGGATTTGAACTTTCATCTGAAGCGGAATACTAGCAAGAATATATTTTAGGAGAAAGTGTTTGGGTCCTTCAAAATTCCGTCTTTGTTTTATCCATAACTGCAAAGATAGGAATTCTTGCATAATAGCAGAGGTAATTTGGGGTATTTTGCTAGGCGGCTTTGGGGCATGTTTTCCTTTGGAGGCAGGAGAATCAGGAAAATATTTGTTTCACCATCTAAACCTACTCAAGCATAAAATCAAATGACCAGTGGCACAGTATTTGAGGATTTAGGCAGCTTAATGACCTGTGAATTATGCTTTTCTTTCAATATATTCTGAAATATTGGCTGGTTGGATACACAGTCTTCATGAACATACACTGAGGGATAATTTTTTTTTTAAATAGAAAACTCAAGTTTATCTTGATTCAGAAGATCTAGTTCTGTTTTAATAAAATGGAATTGAAACTTTGCTCTTTGCCCTTCATTTAATATCTCATGGTTACAGAGATGGAGTCATGGCGAAAGCATTGAGTTGATGACAAATGCATTTCAAAGAAAACTGTGACCGGTAAAAGTATTAAGATGCCATGTGTTTCCAAAGAAAGGCTGGACAATGAAACTTCGAAAGACAGAGTTAGAAAAAAAGAACTTTTACTTTCCTCTTATCCATAAAAAAAATCTTTGTTTTTGTAATCAAATCCCCTAACTTAGCTTCTATACAGCCCTTTGCCCTCAAGTAAACAGGGAACTACCTGAATGTGAAATCATTGCAGCTTATTAAATGTCAAAGAGAGGCTTGTTAACCAGACATATTAGATAACCAATTCCATGCAGAGCAATTGCTAACAGAAAATGTCAGTGTTTCCTTTGAAGACAACTGATGACCACACAGAATGTGAACGTTTATAAATAATTAGAAAAAAAAGATTAGAAAGCATGCAACCTCATGTCATGCTATACATTCTTAAGGAGAATAAATGTTACAATTAATGTCATTAATAACAATGACCAAGTATCAGTGTGTTAGAGATTGTGTGGAATGTAGACACTGTTTCAGCCTAATTCCATAATCACAATTCTGTTAATGGGCAGGATATAAGCTAGGAGTGAGATTTTAAAAATGAGTGTGAGCTGGCAAGGTTGGAGGTGATGAGGTGGTAGGACTGTCTGGGGAATATTTGATGTACTTTTGTAGATATGAAAAGATAAGCTTCTCAGAATAACTCCTTCAGTCATGAGGATAGGATTTTTTTGGGGGGGAGGGGTAGGTGGGGTGTGGAATAGAGAATTTTATTTTTTTCCTTACTCAAAACAGGATATGCTAAGCCTAATAGTTTCCGTTTTGCCAACGATCAAGATGTGATTTCCCCCCTGATCTCTGCCCTTGGAATTTCATTTTCCTGAGATGGGGAAAGGAATGGAGCCTCTCCACCCTCTTTTGGGTGCTCATCTTCTCTCCAAAAAGGAGAACATGAAATCCCCATGAAGAAATTCTGGCCCAATCAGAGAAACTGTAAGATGTCTCTGGGATTTTAAAGGATCCATCTTTGGATGGGTCTGAGAAAGCCTGTGAACTTCCGGCAATATTATGCAGACTTGCTAGCTGAGGAACCACTCCTTGCATCAGCAGGCTGTTGGAAGGAAAAGCACTGGCTCAAGAGAAGGAGAGAAAAGTCTTTGAACTAAGCCTGCCTTTGAGACCAGGGCTGCTTCTGCTGCAGGGCTTACACCCTGTCTCTCAGGATATTCATGAACAGAATCTCCCTGCTTGTGCTTTGTAAAGGGTGTCTGTGTTTGGAGAAAGAGAGACTTCCTTCCCTTTGTAAACAAATACAGGTCAGCCAGGGAGATTTAAGAATGCGGTAACTGGGTTAGCCTTGCCCAAGCTGGGCTAGGGAGTGTCTTGGCTGTGGAGGAACTGAGGTTTTCTGGGGTGAATCTGAGTTGGATCCAACAAGGTTGAGATGAAGACTCAAGTGGGGTATCAGAACCCTGGAGCATTACAATCATAGCAGGGAAGACAGATGTGTGCAGAAAACCCAACGATCAAGGCAAGGAGAGAAGTTGGAAGCCAGAAGTAAAGTTGGTAATAAAAGAGTCAGAAGCAAAATGAGGCAAGTTGAAAGGAAGGAACGGCCCTGAATGACTCTGACTTGGCTTTGCTAACAGAAAGTATGTGCATTACATACTGGGCGGGCTAAGCATAGCCATGGTGGCCTAATAGTGCTACACCAGATTGAGCAAGTCATTCTCCCAATACCGTGGCTGTGCAAACTCTGCCTAAAGTATTTTTTTTTTTTAGGAACCCTCCCTCTATCCGCCAGGCTGGAGTGCAGTGGCACAATCTCGGCTCACTGCAAACTCTGCTTCCTGGGTTCAAACAATTATCATGCCTCAGCCTCCCAAGTAGCTGGGATTACAGGCGAGTGCCATCATGCCCAGCTAATTTTTGTATTTTTAGTAGAGACTAGGTTTTACCATGTTGGCCAGGCTGGTCTCGAACTCCTGACCTCAGGTGATCCACCTGCCTCAGCCTCCCAAAGTGCTGGGATTACAGGTGTGAGCCACTGAGCCAGACCTAAAATCTTATATTATGGGCTAAAAGGTATCTATGAAATCTTCTATTCCAACTCCCTCATTTCACACACAGAGAGAGTGAAGCCCAAGTATTAATTCAAGATTTAATAAATAATAAGGGACAGAGCCGACCACACTCTGTCTCTTTCTCCCTATCCATTAAATAGTCAGCTTTGTCATCAGTATTCACCTTGAAACCTTTATGCCCAACCTCACTGGATCTTTCATCCTTATTTGTGTCTGTCATCATGGGAAGCCCCAGACCCCTGGGTCACCAGTTATCTCCTGTAACTGCTCACCATATAGTTTTGCACATCTCTCTCTCCCCTCATCTTTCATTCTCCCAAACTCCTAAAATCCTTCTACTATGTGCCCCTGGAACTCACAATTCATCATCAGCTGACTTCTCCATATGCTCACAGTGTTCTTCTGAATGCTCCTTTCACTGCTTAACTGAAATCTGCATCTCCTTCGAGGGCTCTGCTTCTCCTGCACCTCTCTCACTTTGTGGGTGGGGAAGGTGTCCTCTGTTGCCCTCATTACTTGTTGCACACTTTCTCTTTTACCCTAAGATCTCCCACTTTTGAAGTCCATGCCGTCATACTGCTTTGAATCCCATACCATCAGACTATGTCACCCACTACCTCTCGTTGCTGAAGTCATCAACCTGGGTCAAGTATATTGTAAGGTAAAATTTCAAGTGCTACCTTGACGTCTCTGAATCTCACAGGGCCCCAAAGGCCTGACCATGAATGACCCTGCTTTCACCAGATATACCCCTCCCACAGTGGGAAAGCTTCCCCATCTCTCTAGTTCCCTTACCAGCCAAACAGCTCCACTCCACCTGTTCAACCTCACAAGTTTCATTTTCCTGATAGCCTGTGAGTGATTCAAATAAGCCAGTTACGTCCTCCCATGAGAACAAAGGGGCACCTCATCCTTCTGTTACTACAAAGCCTGCCTCCCACAGTCTCTACTGGTTCACTCAATTCCTGAGTTGGACCCCTGTGTGGCCCTGTTCTGGAAGGCATGCAGTGTCCAGGGCTGTGAGTATACGTGACTAATAAAGTGCTGCCAATCCCATCTGTCCAATGCTAGGTATCTGGTGTTCAGGTACCTCATACTATTTAAGGCAGGAGAGCCCTCTTTCATCAGTGGAGTGAATGGGAGCTTATCAGAACAGTCAAGCTCCCCAGTTTTTGGATCACTTTTAGCTCCTGAATCACTATCACTCTTTTCAGCACTTTCCCCACATTACTTCTTTTTGATGTCAATATATGCATATGTGATTCTTGCAATATCCTGGTTTGTCAGTACCTTTAGTTACTGATCTTGTCCTCAGCCCTATCTCAGCTGTTCACTTCCATATTGTTACCAACAAATCCAGACCTCCGTGCATCTCACACATCCCATTCTCCAACCTCTACCTCCTATGTTTCCAGTTCAGTCCGTCTAGCACCTTCATTCCAAAATGAAGACCCCCCAGTGAGACCTCCATTCCATTGATTTTATCACCTGTTCTTTTCTTTATTCATTCCCATCTAGTCGTTCCCCCCATTTACCCAATTAAAATTCTATGGCTAGTTGTTACAATCACTCCTTTGCATAAAGCCTCCTCCTCACTTGCATATTCTTCTCTTTATTCGCCTTATTTGTGAAAATCATAAGTCTGGCTGAACACTCGCATTGCTCTGCTCTGCTCCTGCATCTGTGCCGCTGAGCCTGACTCACACATACTCATACTACATGGTCTCACTTTAAATTCATGACCACAATCCTCAAGCAGGCCTTTAATACTGCCGGTCATTATACTATATTTCCCTACTTCACATATTCTCCTACTCTCCTAGGGAACTATTTTGCGCCTTTGCTTCTCTCTTAAAACCTACATTTTTTCCCCTAAGCTGTCTCTCAGTTGATGGCTTTGTTTTCTATCTTACTGGAAAACTGAGGCCATTAGCAGAGACCTTCTGAAATCCTTCTACTCATCTAACCAGTAAGATGTGAACCCACACTCCTTGCTCCAGGAGGTCCCCGTGCTTCTATCTAAGCCTAACACCTGTGCACGTGAAGTAGATCCCATCACCTATCACCACTTAAAGATATTTCCCCAGAAATTATCCTCCTCCTCTCCAATTTCACCACTATTACACTTCTTTACTGAATCCTTCCCAAGAGGAAACAGGCTTTATTTCTCTTGTTTTAAAAAGACAACTCTGAATTGACCTCATTTTTTCCTCACCAGTTCTCTGATTTTCTTTACAAATTTCTCAAAAGAATGATCTTCTCCAATCCTCATCCTATCTCTTCTTGAAGTCTACTGCAATCAGACTTTTATTCATACCACTTCAGCAAACCGCTCTTGAAAATATCAATAATAACCTTGGTATTACTAAACGTAATGATCAGTTCTCAGTCTTACTCAACAATTGGCAGCATTTGGCCCAAGTGATCACTGCATCCTCCTTGATACACTTTCTTCCCTTTACATTTTCTGTACTCTTCTGTTTTCCTTCTACCTCATTGGCTGTTCTTTCTCAGTCTCTTTAGCTGTTTCTTCCCTGACTTCTTTACTACAGGTGCTCCAGGGCGTGGTTCTTATACCTCTTCTTCCTTCCACTTATATTGCTCTCTCTTTGGGTGACACAATCCAGCCTCATATCCTTAAATACCAGTTATATGTTGATAACTCTCAATTTTATACATCCAGCTGGAAACTTTCCCTTGAACTTGAGACTCTTATATCTAGCTACCTACCTGACATCTCACTTGGATGTAGTATTGCTTAGGGTTCAATCAGAAGATCAGAACCACTATGAGTGGTAGGAAATGAGGGAACTATTGCAAGGATTAGAACCTATCTAGGTGTCGGGGGTGCTGGAGAAGTTTATGAAAAGCTATTGGCTTGGCATCTGGTGGTGGACCTGAAGTTGTTGTAGGTCACCTGGACAGGTAGTTGAGAAGGACTGGACCTGAAGTGGAAGAAAGCAGGATAAACTGGAACCCACAACGATAAATGATAAATTGGAACAACATCTGTCTCCCTCTGCATCAATCTTCAACAACATGGATGACCTGTCAAACTCACTGGGGACATTCTAACCTCAGAGCTTTCATAAGGCTGTTCTATCTGCCTGGATCTCATTGCCTCAGCTGCTAACAAAACTTTGTCCTTCACCTAATTCAGGTCTTTGCTTAAATAGCACCTCAGTAAAACCTACTCTGACTACTCCATTTAAAATTAAAATTTCCCTATTCCCCCTGCCCCAGCTAGCCCTATTTCCATTCTTTCTGTAGCGATTACTACATTTTAAGATAGCTTTACCTATTATTAAGTTTATGTCTGCTTCCTCCAACTAGAAATGTAAGCCCAACAAGGGCAGGGGTTTTGAAGATTTTGTTTCACTGATGTGTTTCAGGTGCCAGACCCTGGCAGAGTAGATGCTCAATAAATACTTGTATGAACTGAGCGTTATCGGTCTATGCCTCCCCATTAAGTTGGAGAAGGGAGATATTGAAAAAGTTAAGTTGTACATTTCTTTATTTATTGGAAGCAACTCTTACTTCATCATTCCAGGGAATTTCTGTAAGGAAGATAACCCTCTCCATTGTTTAAAGCCTTTGGTCATAGCATGTCTTCTTTTTACCTAACTAAATTTTAGCTGCAAATTTTTCATTCTTTTTAGTCAACCTGGGGGCAGATATGTATTGTAAATCTGAAGAGATTTGTTGGACCACTTTCTCAGCCCTTGAAGTGCTGTGTTCTGGATTTGTTTAACCTAATTTACGGTTTCTAGAGTTTCTAGCCCTTGAGAAAGGTTGTAAAGAAGGGAAAGGAAGTCACTTGCAGGAGAAATATGACACTGTTTTCTGTGTCTGTAACAGAGAGGTTGGAGGGAAGAGAACAACTGCAATTTATTGGAACAAGAGCTTCCTAGAAAATGAGACCAGCAAGTGCTAATGATCCCTAGCAATAGTTGCAAATCTCAGAGACAGTATCTGATATGGTTCGGCTCTGTGTCCCCACCCATATCTCCTCTCAAATTGTAATCCCCATAATCTCCATGTGTCAACCTGGTGGGAGGTGATTGGATCATGGGGGTGGTTTCCTCCATACTGTTCTTGTGATAGTGAGTTCTCATGAGATCTGATGATTTTATAAGTGTTTAACAGTTCCTCCTTCACATGCTGTCTTGCCTGCCACCATGTAAGTTGTGCCTGCTTCCCTTCCACTATGATTGTAAGTTTCCTGAGGTCTCCTCAGTTATGCGGAACTGTGAGTCACTTAAACCTCTTTTCTTTATAAATTACCCAGTCTCTAGTAGTATCTTTATAGCAATTTGAAAACGGAGTAATATAGTATCCTTTGTCAGTGGAAGGCAGAAAGAGGTCAGGCTTATTCAGGAGAGTTTGTAGCTGAAATCAAATGTTATTAAAGCCACTTAAATATATCATATGACTATCACATGGCATGTTGCATCACATTATACTCTAGTGACTTATGTTACTGTTCCTTTCACTAGACCAAACACTGCTCCAAAGCTGGATGAGATGTTTTTCCTCTTACCGTCCCCAAGCCTGGCCAAGTACAGGCACCTGGAGGCAACTCAGCAAGGACCTATTGGGTGAACAGCAAATAAATAAAGTATCTCCTTGATTAGCATTAGGCAAGAATTATTCATTATCATGCAATATGAGTCATTCAACTGGGGCAAGGAAAGATGCTGGAAAGGGAAAGTAGTATTTTTTTAGGGTCTATTGTGTTATTCATGTAAAATAGCTTGCATGGTACCTTTTGCATGCCTGGAACTCTTTACATGGTGGCTGTTTTTATGTTCTTATTAATTTTTGCTAACTTCAGGAGGTGGATATCATATCACCTTTTTGACAAGTAAGGAAACTAGGGCTCAGAGAAAGGATGTATCCTTTAGGGCCACTTAACCAGGGAGCATCAGAGACAGAATTCAACCCCAAGGTCACATAATTTCCCCAATCCTATTGTTCATCTGTGGTCTCCTGGAGGGACCATGCAGAGCACATGGCAGATGTGTATGTGGATACGTGAAATATATATTATACATACATGTAGGCAATATCCACTATAGACACGGAAAGGAAATGCAAAAACTCATCTCTGGTACCTTTTCACTTCTTATGACCCAACTGCTGGGTCCTTTGCCTTACTTCTGGACACCTGGTGTCTCATCCTTTTCTGAGGTCCTGACCCTCAGCAATCATTCCATTATTCAACTTCTCTGAGCTTCAATTTTCTCATCTGGAAAATGGAAATTATTATATTCCCTCACAGATTCATTGCAAAGACTAAGTAAGAATAAAAAGCTAACATTTATTGACTGCTAGTTATATTCCAGATGCTATTCCAAGCATTTATAAGGACTAATGTATGTAATTTTCACAACCCTGTGAGTAGCTATAATTACTGTCATCATAGTCACTTAATGAGTGAGGAAGCTGAATGCCAGAGGTTAAGTGACTCTCCAAGGCCACTTAGCCAACAGAGCAAAGATTTGAACCTGGGCAATCTGGCCCCATGGGTCATCATACCATTTCATCTTTGCCATATTAATTAAAAACATATTCTGTCTCTTAAAGATAACCTCTAAGATAATAATAAAAATAGCTACCATTTACTAAATGTCAATTTATGCCAAACACGGTGCTCGCTACCCGACACTGGTCTCCCAGTAGGTCTCCAGCTTCTCACAGCATTATTATAAGTGTTAAATGACATGAAAAGTACCCACATATAATAGGAGATTAATATATACTAGGTCTAATTTCCACCCAGAGATAACCAGTATTAATATATTTATATAGAAACTTCTATAAGTTTTTCTATACCTATTTACAAATAAGTGAAAACAGATTATTTTGTGTGTTCTAGTTTTTTTTACTTCCCAAAATATCATGAATGTTTTTCCATGTCAATATTCATCAACAACATGCATTCTCAATGGGTTTCATATCATCCCCAAGTTGGAAAAAATGGGTTCTTTGGGGTGAAAAAACTTAGATATTACAATGATCTGTGACTCCTCCAAAGGGCCATAGTACGTAACAGATATATATTTGTGGTCTTAAAATTTCATGGGGAAGAAGGGGTTGGTGGGTGACAATTAGGGAAAAAAAGAGTCTGAAAAGGCTCGGATGTGGTTTGGCTGTGTCCTCACCCAAATTTATCTTGAATTGTAGCTCCCATAATTCCCATATGTTATGGGAGGGGCCTGGTAGGAGGTAATTGAATCATAGGGGTGGGTCTTTCCTGTCCTGACTCCTGACAGTGAGTAAGTCTCACAAGGTCTGATGGTTTTATAAAGGGGAGTTGCCCTGCACAAGCTGTCTTTGCTTGCTGCCTTGTAAGATGTGACTTTGCTCCTCATTTGTCTTCCACCATGATTGTGAGGCCTCCCCAGCCATGTGGAACTGTGAGTCCATTAAACCTCTTACCTTTATAAATTACCCAGTCTCTGGTATGTCTTTATTAGCAGCGTGAGAACAGACTAAACCAGGCTCTTTAGAGAGACAATAATTTAAAAATTTTGAAAAACACTGATCAACAACATCATTTTACATAACAGGACAGCATTCCTTTGGGATGAATGCACCATGATTTATTTATCTGACATTCTGTTATTGAAAATTGAGGATGATTCCAATTTATAGCACTATAAACAATACTTCAATAAACATCCTTACAGTAAATATTTTTTTGCATCTTTTCAATTATTTTGTTAAGAGCAATTGCCAGAAAAGGAACTGAAGGTTGACGGATATTTCAAGGCTTTCAATATGTAGTCAGGCCTCTAATTCAGGCATTTTTCAGAGAAATTTTCAATTCTAGTTATACCTATAACTAGAGAAAAGAGAAGACATTTTTTCATACTACCAAGGTTAATAAATTCACTACTAGTGTGAGATTGTACTTTAAAACGTCACTACAAACAACTGTTTCTCAAAATGCTTTTCTCTGGAATGTTCTGAAATATATCATTACTTAAAATATTACATTGTCAGTAAGAACTTCCTTTCTCACATAACCTGATGGTGATATATTTGTGCATTTTTGTTATGTAACCAGAGCCTTCAATAAACTGACTCAAAATGATTCAAGCTGAAAACAACTTGATTCTTTCCACCCACTGTATCCTTCAAACTTACTGTTTCTTCCCAGAAACTTGCAGACTCAGACGGGTACTGTAGCTTTTCCAGGCCCTCTTATTTTTCAAGAACAAAAAGTCTTCTAAAAATACTAGTTTCCAGGAGAGTCTCATGTCAGTAATTCATTGTCCAATCTAGTGAGACAATCAAATCTGAAGCCTCATTCAAAGGGGAAGCTTCACCAAGATTGTGCCACTGCACTCCAGCCTGGGTGACAGAGCAAGACTCTGACTCAAAAAAAAGGGGGTGTCTGGGAGTTGGGAGAAAAGTTTCTTATTCTCCTGAGCCTGCTTCATCTGGAAAGCCTACAATGGGGTGGCTTCCTGTTAGTAGGGTACCAGGATTTTGATTTACTCGGGTATGATAAGATGTGCAGATGCAGAAATGACTGTCAGGCAAGAGGAACTGTTTACTCACAGTTCCCCCAAAGCAGGAGACAGGGCAGGCCATGCCAGGAAGTACCAGGGTTGGTCTGAAGGCAGAGGGAGCGAAGGGAAAATGTGAGCAAGCACCTTTGTTCTAGTTTCTGTGGAAATGGGCAAGGCAGGGTGGGCAGGCTTGGGCTGACTGGTTTGAGCAATTTCTGAAGGCTCTGGGGTGATGAGAGCTGTCTCTAGTTTTCTGGGCCCAGGAGCTGGCGCGATTAGGGCAACGGGCTAGTGGCTCAGAGTGTGAAAGTCTGATAGAGGAGGTGATAGGCTGAGGGCTTTGGATTGGTTGGTTTGCACATGAAAGGCACGTTCCCAGGTGAGTCATTTGCTATCTTTTGTTTGTTTGTTTGTTTATTTGTTTTTGAGACATAGTCTGGCTCTGTCACCTAGGCGGGAGTGCAGTGGAGAGATCATGGCTCACTGCAGCCTTGACCTCCTGGGCTGAAGTGATCCTCCCATCTCAGCTTCTCGGGTAGCTGGGAATACAGGCTTGTGTCGCCATGCCCAGCTAATTTTTGTATTTTTTGTAGAGATGGGGTTTCATCATGTTGCCCAGGCTGGTCTCAAACCCCTTGGCCTCCCACAGTGCTGTGATGACAGATGACAGGCATGAGCCACCGCACCCAGCCTCATTTACTATTTTTAGGAATTGGCTAACCCTGGAAGGGGCAGTCAGCAAGACCCCTGGTGTCAAAGCGTCAGAAATCTAGATGAATGCAGTTCTGTTCTCTGTTCCCATATTGCTCTCCTGCTTGATCCCTGCCCAGACCCCTGACTCCCCCCAACCCTAGATAACTCATCCCTTTGGCCCCAGGAAGGGGAGCTGAGGCACAGCACAGCTCCTGGTGGCTCAGCCCCAGGCTCATCTATGCGAGCGCTCTCTGAGTGTGGTGGATCCCCACAACCCACTCCTTTTCTGGGAGATAAGGAGGCTTTTATGAGTTCGTAAGGAATCCCCTCTGGGTACCTCTGGCTGAATTCCTGCCAAATGAGGTAGATCTTGACTTTCCTGGCTGGCCAGTTTCAACCTCTTTTAACCTTGAGTCCCTTTGACTAAGGAATACCTCCAGTCCTTTCTGTGGGGGGCAGTTAGGCTTGCCCTGGATGAAGGCCTTTGAAAACCATCCTCCTTTGTAAATGACCACGTCCAGCTGTGGGCTGCCCCCTTGGCCCAATGGAAGAATGTGCTCCTGAGCCTGCCACTGGTGGAACGTGCTGTACACCAAGCACCACATCAGGCTGACCTGGCCTCGCCGTTGCGGCCCACCCCTTATGCTTGTGCCAAGCTCTCCACCTGGTTCTGATGCAGGGCAGGAGAGCCCCAAACTTGGGGCTTAGCTTGGGAGGGTTCACCCAGGAAAGAATTCAAGGGTGAGCCAGTGGTGTTAGACAGCAAATTTTATTGAAGCGGCAGTGTGCAGCAGCAGCAGAGGTCCTGCTCCTTGCAAAGCAGGGCTGCCCCATGGGCAGTTTCTCCAGGGTAGCAGCTCAGAGGCGGTTCTGCAGTTATACTTATACCCACTTTCAATTATATGTAAATTAAGGGGTGGATTATGCAGAAATTTCTCCAAAAAGGGTAGTAACTTCCAGGTCATCAGGTTGTTGCCATGGAAAGGGATCCTAACTTCCAGGTGTTGCCATGGCAATGGTAAACTGACATGGCATACTGGTAGGAGTGTCATGGAAAGTACTTCTGTCCCCTCTCTGTTTTAGCTAGTCCTCAATTTGGTCCGGTGTCTGAGCCCCACCTCCGGAGTCAAATCCCACCTCCGGAGTCAAATCCCACCTCCTGCCTCAGCTCTACTGCAGCCTCCTTCCCACGGTGGTGGGGGTGAACCTCCCCTCCCCTCTCCCGCATGTGGGACAAAGGTGGGAGGGGAAGACCCCGCACATCACAACATGGTCCAAAGAAATCCTCACTCTCTCTTCCTCTTTGCATTCAGTCCTTTTACGGCTCCGGTTGGCTGAAGGGTTAAGCTTTGTAAAATCTGCTTCTGGCTCTTACATGCCTTGTGTAGGTGCTCTTTGGAATTTAACAGTGCCTGGAACCCCTTATTTCTCAGTCTTTGAGGCAATACTGAAACAAAACAGGTCACATCCTGATACCCTGTGAAAATTAAAAATAAAAACCACTAAAGAGAAAGGGAAACAGCCATTAAATATGATGAAATGTGCTGAGACTCCACACGCTTTCAGAGGAAAACCACATTTACCATCTAAAAGGCGAGTCAAACACTAATTTTTCAATAATCAAATTACAGCAGCAGTTATGCCTCATTGGCTCAGTAATTCAATGCCACACCTACGTTCACAAGTCAGCTTAGAGAGCTCTTCTTTATAAAAAGTATATAACTCAATATTTTTATTATTGGTTACTACTTCAATCAAGGAGAGAGTTTGGTGTTATTTTTAACATGATGGAATAAAATAATCGGAAATTATATCCAATGGTGATGCTTTGGGCCTTGGCAATATTAAATATCAAATGATAAAATTCGGGTTTTCAAAATGTCTTTCAAGTCCCAATTTTCTTTAGATAAATTTAATTGGTCAGTTGTTCTTAAAAGGAACACTGTTTTGACCCACAGAATAATTTCTGTCCAATGACTTCTTTGACATTTCCACTCAGAGCCAAGCTACAACAACTGATGGAGAACTGAGAATCATAGTTCCATTTTTATTCCCAGAGTGTGTTTGCTTTTGATAGTATGGTTTTTTTAATTATTGATTATCTTCACTTGTAGCGACTAGATTTTTTAAAACCTAGAACAATTAAAATCTCGTAGTTAAGTAATTGTTGGCTATAAATGCAGGCACTGTGTCTCGTTGCAAATTAGAGTGTGAGGAGGCAGCCAGGTAACTTGAAATTACAAATGATTTGTATTAAATTAAACATCTCTTGAGTTCCAGAATTAATTTCCAAAACTTAAACTGTTTTTTATCTGCGATTCCTGAGTTTCTTTTTGAGTTACATTCAGTAGGAAATCGGATTTTTTTTAACTTCATGAGCAAGGATCGAAATCAGTCCCAGTTATCTATTGTTGCGTAATGACCCCCAAGTGGTATTTCAAAGCCATGACTATCATGCAGTATTCCTCTTGGTTTTTGTGAGCAGGACTTTGGAAATGGCTCAATGGAGTATTTCTGCCTCACCTCCGCTCTCGAGGTTGCAGTGTGATGGTGGCTGCCGTGGGATCAGCGGTGTGCTGATGCATGCAGGCATGGGTGAGGCATCTCTCTCTTGGTGTGGTCTCTCTTCCTGATTAGTTTCTGTTTCCTCACAAGCAGGGCAACCTCAGCTTCTTACACAGTGGTTCAGAGCTCCAGAGGCTACTTCTTCTCAATCTAAAGACTTGCGAGCTAAAGATACAATTTATCTGCTCTCCACATGCAACCTACGATAGGGAGGACAGCATAGGATAGCTGCTATGGATGCCGCCATTCCAAAAGGCAGTCAGCCAGGTGTGGTGGTTCACGTCTGTAATCCAAGCACTTTGGAAGGCAGGAGGATCGCTTGAGGCAAGGAGTTTGAGACCAGCCTGGGCAACATAGTGAGACCACATCTCTACAGAAAATTTAAAAATTAGCCAGATGTGGTGGCATGTTTAGGTAGTCCTAGCGACATGGGAGGATGAGGTCTGCAGAAGTCTCTGGGCCCAAAGGTCTCATTTTATTTTATAATGTTTCCATCCTTTTCTGTCCCAGTTGATGTTTCTGCTAGCACAAGTTGCCTAAAAACTAATAAGCCGTACTGGGATATTCAGTATGGAAATGCATAAAAGTCCTGACATATATGAAAAGGAGCTTACCTTTGCTCGAAGTAAGCGAAAGACACATTACAGTTTACTAAGAGAGTCTGTGGGAGGTTCTAGACATCTGATAATTTTCTGTTTCTTCATCAGTGTGCTGGTTACCAGGTGTGTTTGGTTTGTGAAGTTTCCATCTGTATATATATGTACACTTTTCTATATGGATATTATGTCAGTAAGAAGTTAAAAAAGCAAACTACACTGAGATACCATATCTCTGCTTATCAGAGAGTCAGACGTTCCAAAGTTAGATAACATATCCTCTAAAGGAGGCAGTGGGAAAACAGGAACTCAAATATCCAATTTGCACATCCCCATACAGTGGTATTTTGCAGTATCTAGCAAAATTATATGTACATTCACACTTTGGCCCAGCAGCCCCACTTCTAGAAATCTCTCCCAGACACATGGGCAAAATTATGAAATGACCACATGGCCAATGTTAGTCATTGCTGTACTATTTGAAATAGCAAAGGACTGTAAACAACCCAAATGTCTATCAATAACAGTCTGATGACTATAACTTTCACAAAAAGGATTATTATGTAGCTGTAAGAGGAAAGAGAAAGGTCCCTGTACACTGCCATAGAGTTATCTCTCCTGTATATTGCGAAGTTTAAAAATGTGAGCTGTGGAATCGTGTTAAAAGAGAAAGCAAGTGAAACTCAGATGAGTTAATTCACAGTTTCAAAAATAAACAAATGAAGAATAAATAAAACCAATAAAAAATGGTTACCAAAGGGAGGGGAGGGAACAGGATAGAGAGGACAAAGGTGAATCTTGGTTTATAATCTTCAGAAGTATGAAAACAGTGACCGTAACGTTTGTCATCCTAACTGGGACACTTCTGAGTGTGAAAGGAGTGATGTTAATAATTATTCCAGGACAGCAGGTGTCAACTGGACGGGCCTGGGCCAGCCAGGACCTGTGACTACCCTAGGTTGGATGTTATTAAGGAATTACTCATAATTTTGTTGGACGTAGTAGTATCAGTTATAGAGGCATAATGGAGTTTTCACAGATGACATGACATAATATATGGAATTTGCTTTCAAACTTTGCTTCTCAAATTTGTGCATGCATCAGAATCACTTGGAGAGCCCATTAAAACACAGAATACCAAGTCACACACCCAGAGGTTCCGATTCAGGAGGTCTGTAGTGGAAATGAGGGTTTGCATTTCCAAAGGGTTCCTGCTGCTGCTGATGTTGCTGGGTTTCAGACTGACCTTGAGTAGCACTATTTGAAAACACTGCACTTCAGCTCTATGTGTGTATGCCCCCATATAAAACTACACATATGTATATATGTACACAGACATACATGGACACATATGGTCGGCTCTCTGCCTCCATCTGTGTGTGTGTGTGTGTGCACACGCGTGTGCACGTGTATTTAAACAAGGGAATAGCTACAATGAAATTGGCAAGGCATTGATCAACTTTGAATTTGAGTGGTGAGTACAGTCAGCCCTCTGTTGCTGCAGGTTCCACATCTGCAGATTCAACCAACAGCAGATGGGAAATATTCAGAAAAATTAAAAAATAACAATATAACAACAAAAATAATACAAATAAAAATACAGTGTAAGAACTATTTACATTATATTGGTGTTACAAGTAATCTGGGAGATGATTTAAAGTATACAGGCATTCACAAGTTACATGCTAATACTATGCTATTTCTTTTTTTTTTTTTTTTTTTTTCTTTTTTTCTTTTTTTGAGACGGAGTCTCGCTCTGTCGCCCAGGCCGGACTGCGGACTGCAGTGGCGCAATCTCGGCTCACTGCAAGCTCCGCTTCCCGGGTTCACGCCATTCTCCTGCCTCAGCCTCCCGAGTAGCTGGGACTACAGGCGCCCGCCACCACGCCCGGCTAATTTTTTGTATTTTTAGTAGAGACGGGGTTTCACCTTGTTAGCCAGGATGGTCTCGATCTCCTGACCTCATGATCCACCCGCCTCGGCCTCCCAAAGTGCTGGGATTACAACTATGCTATTTCTTATGAGGGACTTGAGCATTCCTGGATTTTGGTGTCCATGGTCTGTCCTGGAGCCGCTCCTCCCCCTAACACTGGGGAGCAGCTGTACATGAAATTATTTTACTATTCTCTTCACATTTATGTTTATTTGTAATTTTCCTTAATAATAAGTTTGTTTTGCTTTATTTTTTCAATTCAGGAGGTTGAGGTCCAACTCAAATGAGACCTCATATATTCCCTTAATCCCTTTGGTTAGAACAAACAGAGTAAGTTTTCTTTATTTCCATAAGAATCATATTTATACTTCCACTGCAGTGAAAGCCAATAAAAATGAAACATAAAAAATTACCCTAAATATTATTATCCATGATCCAAATTTAATGATTATACATACACCATTATGACCCAATGCGATGAAAAATCTACAGAATGTGATCAGAGAGTGAATCTATACTTTAAAATAGATGTTGAAATTTGAAAATTAATATGCAAAAACTTTTCACCTCCAATTTCTTATTTAATGTAGAAGGAGCTCTTTTAATTGTTCCCTGGGTACCACTATGCCTCTGTTATGACTTTCCTGAAGTTACATTCTCTTCCCTATTCTGGGAAGTATTTCTCTTTGTAGACCTCTTCTTCCCTCCTCTTCTTCCTCACAATTTTTTTTTTTTAATTTTTAGAGACAGACTCTCACTCTGTTGCCCAGGCTGGAGCTCAGTGGTGCAATCATGGCTCACTGCAGCTTCAACCTCCTGGGCTCAAGGGATCCTCCTGCCTCAGCTTCCCAAGTAGCTATGACCACAGGTGCATACCACCACACCTGGCTAATTGAAAGAAAACTTTTTTTAGAGACAGGGTCTCGCTGTGTTGCCTACGCTGGTCTCAAACACCTAGCCTCAAGAAATCCTCCTGCCCTAGTCTCCACAGTGCCTGGGTTTACAAGCATGCACCACTACAACCAGCTTATTTTTATTTTTATTTTGTAGAAAGAGTATTGTTATGTTCCCCAAGGTAGAAATGGCCTCAAGCGATCCTCCCACCTTGGCCTCCCAAGGTGCTGGGATTATAGGTGTCAGCCCCATGCCAAGCCTCCTTCTCTTTTATTGATTCATCCCCTTTGTAGGTGCTTTATCTTTTACACCATCTTCTCTGCCTTTCTAAATATATATTTTATTACATTTGTGAGTCAGGTTTTACATCATCTGTTCTTAGTTTATGAAGTGATTGGACTATTTTATATTTCTTCTCTTGAAATTAATTTGAATTTATGTAAAGCTTTTAGATGGTCTTTTTAAATACTGGGGTATGATCAGTAGATTTTTACACAAAAAAATATCCCCACCATCAACATGACAGACCGCATATTTGGGCTTCTGTACAGTTTCTTGTTTCTTACATGTAGTCCTGGTGATAGCTTGTCCTTTGCTAGAAACATCAACTTGTTTGCTAAACCATGCAATTCCCACTTACAATCAGTTGCATTCCTCGTTCCCCACATCCTGAAGACTGTATAACTCAGCACGGTATGGTAAAATGTGGCACTACTTTACAATTGTTACAGAAATTTGTATTTTGTGACAGTTACAAAAGAGTGGACCATGACTCACAGTTTTTACTGGAGCCTTACGTCAGGGAAATTTATGAATAATAGGAACGAAGCAACATTTTGACAGATGAAACCTCAACAGAAGCTTCTCAAGTTCAAGAGATCTATGTAGGAAATGAAAGCAAACATAAAGTTCCTCTACAGTTTCCGTCTCATGTTCAGCTTTGCAGTTTGTTCTTTTCCAATATACATTCATATGTCTGAAGTTTTAATGTGAAATTTTTGGTTAATAGTAATCCCTATGCACATTTAAACAAGGAGTTTAATATATTTACAATATTGACTTTCACATGACTTCTCTGAAAAAGAAAGCCACATCCCACAGGTTTCTTAGGCAGAAAATACAGGCCAACTATTAGAGTAATCAATCATTATCTGCTTAATCACTCCTAAAATGATAATAGCAGCAGCTAACATTTCTATACTACTTGCTTTCTCATAGACACTTTCCTAAGTGTTTTATATTACATGTAATTTAATTGACATTAATCATGTAACTTTCACAACTATCTTTGAGGCAGAGACTCTAAATAATGATCAGAGATAAAAATTAAATAAATTTGGAGACAAATAAACTTGCCTTAATATGCTCATGTGTAAAATGGGTATTTCAGCCAATTTGATGGTGAGACAATAATGGAAGGCATAACAAAATATCTTAAATTTTTTTTGTAAAGAATTTTTTTTTTCAATATCGTTATTTTTATTTTTTGAATGAGGAAACTAAAGCTTGCTATGGTTATATAACTCACCGTAAAGCTCCAAGTGGCAGAGATAGGTGCTTGGATTCTGATTCATTAATTATTTGGCCACCGCCATATTTATGAATCTACATGTGCTTTTTTAACAGCACATGTCATCAAAAGCTAAGATCACAAGATTTCCTGCCCATTAAAATTTCAGGGTGGATGTATTTCCTAAACTGGTTTTTCTTAACCTTCTGTTTGTTCTCTCTTTTTCTCTCTCTCTGTCTTTCTCTCTTTCCTTCTCTCTTTCTTTCTTTTCTTTCCTTCTTTCTTTCTTTCTTTCTCTCTCTCTCTTTCTCTCTTTCTTTCTTTCTTTTCTTTCCTTCTTCCTTTCTTTCTTTCTTTCCTTCTTTCTTTCCTTCTTTTCTTTCTCTCTTCTCTTCTCTTCTCTTCTCTTCTCTTCTCTTCTCTTCTCTTCTCTTCTCTTCTCTTCTCTTCTCTTCTCTTCTCTTCTCTTCTCTTTTCTTTTCTTTTCTTTTCTTTTCTGACCGAGTCTAGCTCTGTAGCCCAGGCTGGAATGTAGTAGCGCGATCTCTGCTCACTGTAAGCTCCGCCTTCTGGGTTCACGCCATTCTCCTGCCTCAGCCTGCCGAGTAGCTGGGACTACAGGCACCCACCACCATGCCTGGCTAATTTTTTGTATTTTTAGTAGAGACGGGGTTTCACTGTGTTTCTTTTCTTTTTTATTTTAAGTTCCGGGGTACACGCGCAGAACACGTGGGTTTGCATAGACAGGTAAGCGTGTTACATGGGTAAACGTGTGCCATGGTGGTTTGCTGCACCTATCAACCCACCACCTAAGTATTAAGCGTAGCATGCATTAGCTATTTTTCCTGATGCTCTCCCTCCCCCTACGATAGGCCCCAGTGTGTGTTGTTCCCCTTCTCATATCCATGCGTTCTCGTTGTTCAGCTCCCACTTATGAGTGAGAACATGCGGTGTTTGGTTTTCCATTCCTGCGTTATCTAAACAGATATTTTAAGAAACTACGGTATTGCTTGGCTAAAAACACATTTTGGGTGTGACACGATTTCAAAATATTCAGGAATAAATGGTTTCACCCATTTAAGAAGTCTCTTAGGGCTAAAAGTTACGAAGATAAGCAAACAAGTTATTTGATGCAATATAAAAATTGAAGTTAGAGAAAGCATTCAAAGGAAGTAACTGAATTGCAACTCTTTCATGGTAGAACAAAAGGAAGACATGGGAAAATATAGTGCGTGCCACGGTTTTTATCCTTTTTCTTTTTTTCTGCTAGCCATAAGGAAGAGAGCACTTAAAGTCTTGGAGCACAGAGGAAGAAAAGCAGCTTTCTCCTAGAGCAGAAGATTCAGGGAATTCAAATTCCTGGGTTAATTAGAAGATAGAGAAAGAGGAAGTCCTAGTAATTAGAGTAAGGAGGTAATTAAAGGTCAGACAGCGAAAGCAAGCCAGGTTATTTTGTATATATGATGTATATATGTATAATGTTTCCTGTCAAGTCAGATTGTTTTGTATATATAATGTATATGTCTGAGATAATTTCTGATCTTTAGGCTTAGTGAGTCTTTTCTTAAAAGTCAGAAATATTAAACATGAATTCCACCAAAATATAACCTGGGTATTTGAGTTTCTTCAAAGCTTGCTCTATATCAGATTATTGGTTATGATTTCATATAACAATGCTTTCTTTTTTAAAAAATAATTACAAACTTTCTTTTAGATTCAGGGGGTACATGTGCTTTGTACCATGTACCCCCGGTAACAAACCTGGGTATATCGCGTGATACTGAGGTTTGGAGTACAACTAATACTGTCGGCTAGGTACTAAGCATATTATCCAATAATTAGTTATTCAGTCATTGCCATGCTCCTCCCCTCCCCTATCTAGTAGTTCCCAGTGTCTATTGTTGTCATCTTTATGTCCGTGAGTACCATTGTTTAGTTCCCACTTATAAGTGAGAACATGCAGTACTTGGTTTTGTGTTCCTGCATTAATTTGCTTAGGATAATCAGCTGCATCCATGTTGCTACAAAGGACATGATTTCGTTCCTTTTTATGGCTACATAGTATTCCATGGTGTATACATACCACATCTTCTATATCCAATCCACCACTGATGGGGGTGTAAGTTGATTCCAAGTCTTTGCTGCTGTGAATAGTGCTCCAATGAACATATGAGTGTATGTGTCTTTTTGGTAGAATGATTTATTTTCTTTTGGATATATCTATAACATCCAGTAATAAGATTGTGGGGTCTAATGGCAGTTCTGTTTTAAGTTCTTTGAGACACCTACAAACTGCTTTCCACAGTGGTTAAACTAATTTACACCCACCATGAGTGCATAAACATTCCCTTTTCTCTGTAGCCTCACTAGCATCTGTTGTTTTTTGACTTTTTAATGCTAGCCATTCTGACTGGTATGAGATGGTATCTCATTGTGGTTTTGATTTGCATTTCTCTGATGATTAGTGATGTTGAGCATTTTTTCATATGTTTGTTGGCTGCTTGTATGTCTTCTTTTGAGAAATGTCTGTTCATATGTTTTGCCCGTTTTTTAATGTTATATGTTTTTCACTTGTTCAATTTACTGATAGATTCTGAATATTAGACCTCTGCCAGATCCATAATCTGTGAATATTTTCTTTCATTCTGTAGGTTGTTTACTTTGTTTATAGTTTATGTTGCTGTGCAGAGGCTCTTTAGTGTAATTAGGTCTGATTTGTCAATTTTTGTTTTTGTTGCAATTGCTTTTGAGGACTTAGTAATAAATTCTTTCCCAAGGCTGATGTTCAGAATGGTTTTTCTTAGATTTCTAGATTTTCTTCTATAGTTCTTACAGTTTTAGGTCTAAAATTTAAATCTTTAATCCATCTTGAGTTAATTTTTGTGTGTGGTGAAACTTAGGGGTCCAGTTTCAGTCTTCTGCATCTGGCTAGCCAGCTATCCCAGCACCATTTATTGAATAGTGAGACCTTTTCCCATTGCTTATTTTTGTTGACTTCATAGGAGTTCAGATGGCTATAGGTGTGTGGCTTTATTTCTGGGTTCTCTATTGTGTTCCATTGGTCTATGTGTTTGATTTTGTACTAGTGCCATGCCATGCTGTTTTAGTCAATGTAGCTTAATAGGATAAAGTTGGACAGTGTGGTGCCTCCAGCCTTGTTCTTTTTGCTTAGGATGGCTTTGGCAGTTCAGGCTCTGTTTTGGTTGTGTGTGAATTTTAGAATAGTTTTTTCTTAGTTCTGTGAAAAATGATATTGTTAGCTTGATAGGAATAGCATTGAATCTGTAGATTGCTTTGGGTACTATGACCATTTTAACAATACTGATTCTTCCTATCCATGAGCATGGAATATTTTTCCATTTGTTTGTGTCATCTATAATTTCTTTCGGCAGTGTTCTGTAGTTCCTTGTAGAGATCTTTCACTTTATTGATTTGATGTATTCCTAGGTATTTTATTTTATTTTCTTGCAGCTATTGTAAATGGGACTCCATTCTTGGCTCTCAGATTGAACATTATTAATGTATAGAAATGCTAAGATTTTTGTACATTGATTTTGTGTTCTGAAATATTACTGAAGCCATTTATCAGTTTCAGGAGCCTTTTGGCAGAGTCTTTTGGGTTTTCTAGGTATAGAATCATGTTATCAGCAAAGAGAGTTTGACTTCTTTTCCTGTTTGGATACATTTTCTTTCTTTCTCTTGCCTGATTCCTTTGGCGATGACTTCCAGTATTACGTTGAATGAGAGTAGTGAGAGTGGGCATCCTTGTCTTGTCAAAGTTCTCAAGGAGAATGCTTCCAGTTTTTACTCATTCAGCATGATGTCCGCTATGGGCTTGTCATAGTGGCTCTTATTATATTGAGGTATGTTCCTTTGATGCCAAGTTTCCTGAAAAAAACCTTATCATGAAGGGATGTTGAATTTTTATCAAAAGCTTTTTCCTCACCTATGGAGAGGATCATATAGTTTTTGTTTTTAATTCTGTTTATGTGTTGAATCACATTTATTGATTTTGAACCAAAGTTGCATCTGAGGAATAAAGCCTGACTCTTTGATGTGCTGCTGGATTTGGTTTAGTAGCATTTTGTTGAGGACTTGCATCTTTGTTCATCAGAGATAGTAACACGCAGTTTTCTTTTTTGTGTCTTTGCCAGGTTTTGGCATCAGAGTGATGCTGGCTTCATAGAATGAGATGGAAGTTTTCAACTGTTTGCTTTGTAGTTCCTATTGCATGGTTGCTTTATAGGATCTGTGGGCTACGTACTTAAGGGTGTTTTTGTGGTAACAGGTATCATTCTTTCATTTCTATGTTTAGACCTCCCTTAAGGATGTCTTGTAAGGTTGGTCTAGTGGTAACAAATTTCCTTAGCGCTTGCTTCAGTGGAAAAAATTATTTGTCCTTTGCTTATGAAGCTTGGTTTGGTGGGATGTGAGACTCTTGCTTGGAATTTCTTTTCTTTATGAATGCTGAAAATAGTCTCCCAGTCTCTCCTGGCTTGTAAGGTTTCTGCTGAGAAGTCCACTAGTAGCCTGGTAGGCCCTTGTATGTGATCAGACCTTTTTCTGTAGGTGTCTTTACAATTTTTTTCTTTAGTGTTGACCTTGGACAGTCTGACGAGTGTATGCTGTGGTAATGTTCATTTTGTATAATATCTTGTAGGTGTTCTCTAGATTTCTTGTATCTGGATGTCTACCTGTCTAGCAAGATTAGGGAAATTTTCTTGAATTATCCCCTCAAGTATGTTTTCTAGGTTGTTCTCTTTGCCTCCATCTCTCTCAGGAATGCCAATAATCCATTCATTTGGTCGCTTTATATACTCCCATTAAAATTTTTTTTCCTTTTCTTTTTTTTTCTTTTTTAGATGTTTATCTCTTCCTTCATTTCCTGGATTGCTTTAGAAGTTTCTTTGTGTTGATTTTCAACCTTCTCTTGGATCTTGTTAAACTTCCTTGCAGTCCGCTCTGAATTCTTTATCTGTCATTTCTGAGTTTCCATTTTGGTTACAGACCATTACTGGGGAGCTAGTGCCATCCTTTGGTGGTGGTGCCACATTCAGATTTTTCATGGTGCCAGAATTCTTGCACTGGTTCCTTCTCATCTGGAGATGCTGGCATTTCTAGTCTTTGCAATTATTTTCATGCAAGTACCATTTTTTTGTTTTTTTATTTCCCTGTATATATTTTCTTCTTTTCCTTTCTTTTACCTCCCTGTGTAGGGAATGTGACTGTAGTGAATGCTGGACAGGGTCTTCTGGTTTTGCTTCTGTAGTCCTATGCACTTCTGTTGACAGGATTTATATTTAGCCAATGCTTTCATATAATCATAATTTCATGGTTATGATTTTCTTGAGTTAATATATCGTTAGTAAAGAATAATTGGCTAAATTTTGATTAGGTGTTTGACTCCTTAGCTGGAGAGTATACATAGTTCACTTGTGTATCCAATCTTCAAAGCATCACTCTTTTGGAAACATAAACTGTTTTGGATTAATATTTGTTTATTTAAACATTTTGGAGTATCACCCATTTTTGGCCAACAATTTTATGAAGAATTGTTACACATGTTGGGTCAGTGTAAGCTAAATATTTTTCCTTTTCTAATAAAACTCTAGTTTCTTAGAACTTACTGTTTTCTAAACTTGGGAAGCAACCAGGAAGCAGTCTGTGTTACCTGGTGCTCTGCTGAGACTTGTTTATTTTCTTCAGCTCCCTATTTCATTTGGCATTGTTTTTCTCTTGCCTTGACAGGTGCTGACAACTAGAGCTGAGGAAGCGATATAAATGCAGCATTTGGGGTAACACTCTGCTTCCCCCTTTTGTGCCAAACAGGCAAGTCAGGGACACCTGAGGTTATGAAGGCATCTCTCCACAGTTCTGCCTGAGAATCCAAGAATGAAAGTAATAGTTACCTTGTCTTGGGCTGCTGCTACCTTTCTGCTTTATGAGTGCAATTGACATGCTCCGCGTTCAGATCTCAGATACCAGTCAGCTGCACTTTCTCTTTCAGACAAAAGTGTTGCCAATGTTTCTACTACTGCCCGAGTGTCACTCCTTATTTCCTTATTTTAAAGTGTTATTTTTCCTGGAAGTGTAATGGTTAAAGAAGTGACAGTAAATAAATAGGAGTTATTATTCCCTTTTCTAAGCTTCTGTCCTTAGAGACCAATTTTCATAACATCTCTTGAGCTCTCCATGTAAAATCAGTCCAGTCTAATTCACATCTCCATTAGTTATATCTGCTTTTGGCAGACAGCCTGGCTTCCCAGTTTTTCAGAAAAAAAAAAATCTATGAAATATCTTAATGCCTCCATTTCCCTCTTGTCCACTTTCAGAGTTACCATATATTCATCCATCCTTTTCTCCCTCCTATCTGAGGCAGAAGGAATCTTTACTTTCTTCAAAAATCAATTTTTTTTCAACTTTGCTAATGATCTTCCTTCTTTTCCACTTTCTCTGGGGATTTATTTCATTATTTTTTCTACCGTATTTCTCTCTTCTCTTTATTCCTTTCTTCCTTCCTATAATCATGCACAAATATTACTATTGTATAGAAACCTTCTCTAGTGTCACACTCTCCACCAAGTTACTTCCCTTTTCTTCTCCTCTGTTTCATTGCCAAGCTTCCTGGAAGAAATATCTCATCTCTCACTTACTTCTCAATCCTGGGAAACCTGATTTTAGCCCTCACCAGTTGGCTGAAATCGGATAGAATAGGTCATCCATGTCCTAACTGCCAAATCCATTATATTTGGGTGGTCATCTCACAGAACCTCACTGGGGTTCCTCCCTTGGGTTTGTGAGACAGCCCTCTTCTTATTGTCCTCTCACTCTTCCTAGTCTCACCCTCATCTTTTTAAATGTAACCCATCTTTCCCGGGGTTGATGTTAGGCAGGGCTGGGGAGGTGGAGTTGGCAGTGGCTCCTATTGTGTTCTCTCTGGTGACACGTATAGACATGGGTCATCACTTGGTTTCCATTTTCCCCTCTTCCCGAGAGCATTAGAGAAATTAAAATGCTTCAAAATATCTGAAATCCAAGTCCAGAAATTGCCATTTTTGTTTCCTGTCTTAGTCCATTTTGTGTTGCTATAAAAACACCTAAAGCTGGGTAGTTTGTAAAGATAAGAAGTTTATTTGGCTCATGGCCCTGCAGGCTGTACAAGAAGCATAGCACCAGCGTCTGCTTCTGGTGAGGTGTCAGGAAGCTTCCACTCATGGCAGAAGGCGAGAGGAGCAGACATCACATGGTGAGAAAGGGAGGAAGAGAGAGGTAGGGGTGTCTTGCTACTTAAAACAACCAGCACTCGCATGAACTAATAGAGCAAGAACTCACTAATTACCAATGGGATGACACCAAGCCATTCATGAGGGATCCTCCTCCATGCCCCCGATACCTCTCACCAGGCCCCATCTCCAACATTCGGGATCACATTTCAACGTGAGACTTGGAGGAGACAAATATCCAAACTATATCATTTCTCTTTTTGCCTTGTCCTAATAAAGGAAGGAAGTTACTTGTGGTGATAAAGGCCTTGGTTTTCACTTTGTTGTCTGCTGCCTGTTGAAATGGGTCAGAATATAAAAGGGTTTTTCTGAGGAAAAGTAAATGCTTGGAAAAGTTCTTGTTACTGGGCCTATTATATTAGTTCCCAATAAGAATTTGAGCTACACTGTGCTAATAGAGTCCATGAGCCCGCTGGTGTCCCATCTCTCAGTAGAGGACAGGGCAGCATATTCCACTCCAGTAGTCGTTGTATAAAATATATTTGAAGCACAACTCTCATTACAAGGTACGCAATACATTTTTAGTGTGTCATTGAGAAACATCCAGGAAATCACTCAGAGAAGCTTTCCTGTATTCTCTGAGCATATTCCCTTTAAAGGCTTCTCAAAGTCAGATGACTCATTTATGCTACAGATTTGTGTGTGAGGACCATAGTTACTTGCCTACGTCTCATTTCAGCCACGTCTTTCTTCCTTCCTCCTCCTCCCCTTCTTCTTCTCCTCCTACTTCTACTTCTTCTTTCCTTTTCCTTTCTTCCTTCCTGCTCATGTGGCTATTTATGGGAAACCATTAATAACTCTTGAAAATTTTCACGTTCAACTTTCTTCTAAAGAAGAAAAGGCAGTGGTACAAATACTGGACTGAAAAGGAAAAACTTCTTGAAAAGCCGCATAAAATGCCTGAGCTGGAAGTAAGACTATGTGCATCTCCAGACCCTGAAGGAGAAGAAACGCAGAAAATGGATCAGAGAAGCCCTAGTAGCTCCCAAGTCCTTTCCAGTCCCGATGTTATCTGTAAAGAAAGAAACCTAGCAACCCCAGATAGGTAGCTGAGAGTTTTAAAATTAATTTAATGTGCTGATCACATGTCTTAGTAAAGTTTATTTCCAGTACTTATTAAAAGCCCAGTTTACTGGTTTCCTTTTTTTTTAGCAGAAGTAAATATTTGAATTATATAAGGCTTAATGCTCTTTGGTTTTCCTTTTCGTAGACTTAATTTTTAGAAAAATGTGAACCCTTGATAACTTTCCAAGGAGCATTTACTTAGTCATGCTTTTAGGTTTTAAGAGATTGATCTGAAGACTCTTCCCTTGCTTTGCCTTATTTTCTACTTTGTGTATTGGAGGTGATTTCAAGGGTTTACAGTAGAATAAAACACAGCTCTAATTTAAAATGGAAGTGCCTTGGGTGGGAAGGGGTGGGTCATGTTAATGCTATTGTATATTGTTTATTCTTTCCATCAGTCTCCCAAATATTTCTACCCATTTATATCCAAACAAAAAGTTGTTGTTTATTTCTTTGTGTTTAGTTTTGTTTCACATTCCTTTTTTTGGTCAGAGCAGTCACTAATTGCTGTGGGAATTTAACTTGCCCAGTCTAATCAAATGCCATTGAGAGTCTGAAGCCACATAACATCCATCCTTTAGAATAATTCACAATGTCAACAACACGGACACAATGTCTTTTTTCTAGAATCAAACGTTTCTTCAGAAATTCAGTAGCAGACAGCAGAGAATTTATCCTTTCTGAGTTCTGTTTTCAGTGGAATTAATTTAAGATTTATGTTTTAAATACCTGTGGACATAGCAATTTCAAAATCAGTTATCTTGCTGAACAGCAGATCTGAGAACAGACAAAACATGTAAACTTTGGTGGTTTTCATTTGCTTAATTTATAATGAAGTTACTGTAATCAATCATAAATAATGACAGTGTTTTTCTTAAACTTGGCCTTGTATCAGCATTGCCTGGAAGGCTTGTTAAAACACAGATTGCTAGGCCTCGCCAGAGCTTCTTAGTGGTTCTAGAGAAGCCTGATAATTTGCATTTCTAACATGTTCCCAGGTGGTGCTGATGCTGTGAGTACAGAGATTGCATTTTGAGAACCACTATTCTAATTACAGTGTTACAGTATGATAATTATACAAGGTGCTTTAAATCAGTTTATATTTTCATTCTCTACTTCTGCAAGAGAAACTGAAAGATTAATGTGGAAATTTACAATTTTGATAAAGAATATGTACTGAGAAAAATTATATTTTTAAAAACCTAGTATCTCCTATGACTTCAGCATATCCAATACATCTGAGGCTAAGAAGCCAAATCATCTTTTGCTCACTGGCATGCTGCTAGGGGATATATTTCTGGTTTCACCTTTGCGAATGGACCAAGAGATGGCTCTCGCTGAGGCTGGAGGTGTTGGTATACACTCAGGAGTCCAGCTGCATCTTCAGTCTGGTGGGTCTATTTAACCTCACCATATTTAATGAACCATCATCTACCCGGACGAAAGGATTGCATCAGTGCATTCTGCTGCAGCCAAAGTACAGGACCCTATGTGTCTTTCTCTGAACATGTTACCTTTGGAATTCAAACACAACTAGGATCCCCTGTGTCACTATTTAAAGGAGTAGGGCAAGAGTGACCCAGAGTGTGTTCTTGGTTTGTTTGTTTGTTTGACTTCACTTTTTAAAAAAATGTTAGGTATTTATGGCTTTTGAAGTACCTTAAGGATGCCAGTCTTCTCTTTGTTTGGAGAATGTTAACTCCAAACAATGTTTCAGCTTCTTCTTAAAAGAGATTAGAGATTTAGGAGCTGTCCCAATTGCAAGCTCAAACATAATAAAAAGAGAAAGCAAATAGTGCCGCAATAAACATACGTGTGTATGTGTCTTTATAGTAGCATGATTTATGATCCTCTGGGTATATACCCAGTAATGGGATTGCTGGGTCAAATGGTATTTCTAGTTCTAGATCCTTGAGAACCAACCCACATGTCCATCAATGATAGACTGGATTAAGAAAATGTGGCATATAGACGCTGTGGAATACTATGCAGCTGTAAAAAAAGGATGAGTTCATGTCCTATGCAGGGATATGGATGAAGCTGGAAACCATCATTCTGAGCAAACTATCACAAGGACAGAAAACCAAATACTGCATGTTCTCACTCACAGGTGGGAACTGAACAATGAGAACACTTGGACACAGGGCGGGGAAAATCACATACCGGAGCCCGTCATGGGGTCGGGGGAGCGGGGAGGGATAGCATTAGGAGGAATACATAATGTAAAGACGAGTTAATGGGTGCAGCACACCAACATGGCACATGCATACATATGTAACAAACCTGCACGTTGTGCACATGTACCCTAGAACTTAAAGTATAATAATAATTAAAAAAAAAGAGAGAGAGAAAGCAAAGACAGCATCAGTGTAATTGAGCCAAAGGGTGTGGCTTTGGATTGCCCATCGATCAGTCTGGTAGCAGCGTGCAACAGCAGGAAGCTGTGCCGCATCTGTCGCATGTTGATTAAGCAACTTAAGGAACTACAGTATCACTTCTGGCACTTGCCATACTGGGCTGATGGACAACAATGGAGCTGGTTTGAATATGAAATGCACCCAGCAGCCGATGTGCTTAAATATAGTTTTTTTCTGATCATTTTCTGTCATATAATCTATAACAAGAGTTTAAAAGAGCTGCGTAGTTCCTATTGCTTAGACCTGGGTCTATGGAAGCAAAGTAACCTGAGGTAAAACTTGGAGAAACAATGAGACGTTATTACATTGGGTTATGACTGTCAAGCATTTTTCTTCTTTGACCTGCCCCATCTGGATGGCTTTCTTTCATTTTTCAAGTAGGAATTGAGTGCAAAGGTAACAACTGTCGTCAAGAAGAAACAAACAACGCAAAGGAAGTCATCTTAACATTATTCTCTTTTCTTCACCTTTTAAATCTCTTTTGCTCTGCCTTCTAACTCTTCCTTTCACCACCCAATTCCTCTTGTAACATGTAAAATGACTACAAAGTCATACACTGTTCAAACCACAAATAAGAAACAATCCTTTTCTTTTATAGCTATCAATAGAATGGATGTATTCTCAATTATATTTTCCAGGCTTAGTCTCTCCCTTTTTTCTTTCTCTTCTGTTTCACACTGGACTGTTATCCAGTTTTCCAACAAATTCCCAGGTTACTTTCTTTGTTACACAACTGTGTATGCTCAAATAATGTCTCTTACAACTAGCCTCTCCAAAACATAACTTAAAAGTTAAATTATCTGCAAACATTGCAAACAAAAGCCAATAAGTGTGTATGATTTTCTTGTCTTTTTTCTTAGAGACAGAGATTTTGCTCTGTCACCAGGTTGGAGTACAGTGGCACAATCATAGCTCACTGCAGTCTCCAACTCTGTGCTCAAGTGATCCTCCTGCCCTAGCCTCCTGAGTAGCTGAGACTACAGGCATGCGCCGCCATGCCCAGTTTTTTGTTTTTTTTTAATGTTTTTTTAGAGATGCGTTCTCACTATGTTGCCCAGGCTGGTCTCAAGCTCTTGGCCTTAAGCAATCGTCCTGCCTCAGCCTCCCAAAGTTCTGAGATTACAAGTGGGAGCCACCACACCCGGCCCCCCTTCTAGTTTAATGTAAAAACTGAAAGATTGTGAATGTATTTTAACATTTGTTCTTAACCCAATGGTTTATTTAGTAAACCACATTGTAACAATATTTATTGAACTTGACAAAAGGGTAAATTATTTTCCCTTACAAATTCTAAGGCTACAGTTTTACAGTTATTTTAAAACAACATCCTTTGAGTGTGCTAAGACTAAAAACTAGTGAACAAAGCCAGCTGAAAACTGAAATAACATGGATTCGATTTATTAATAAGCTATTAACAAATAGAAAATAGCCACCAGCTCATACATATGTGCTTGAAGTAGGAAAGACAAGGCAAGAAATTCTCTTTCTTTTGTAATCATTTATATGTGGAATTACATAAACATCCCATAACAAATTCAGCTTATCTCCACATAATCTACAGTTTTGTTCCAGCTTGATGTCAGACCTAAACAGAAAATTTGTAGGAGTAATTACTCAGGAAGGAGACCAGCCGTGGTGTTCTATCCTGTTCTGAAAATCACTCTGAACAATCACTGTTGGGCAGATGCTTCTCCCAGGACGCACTGCGGGAGGTGCAGGTGGTGCCGTCCTCCATGGCCAGTTAGACTCATGTCACACCCTCCCATGTGGTAAGGGCATCCTTCCCATGTTTGTGGAAAAGGGGCTCCTGAGAGCTCTGAAAGGTGATGGAGGGCAATGTAGGAATAGGTTGGAATTTTATAGAAAATATATTTTAAGGAAACAGGCTCTCTCTCTATATGTGTGTGTGTGTGCGCGCGTGTGTGTATATATACACACACACACAGCTATATATACACCTATCAACTATATATATGTACACACATACACACACACACACTTAGGTATATATATGCCTATGTATACCTATCAGCTATATATAAACCTATATACACCTATCAGCTATATATATATACACACACACTCTCAGGTATATATATATACAGATACATACACACACACACTCACACATACTCAAGTGCATATACAGGGCTCGGGTTGAGCTCTTTTGATCAAGGCTTTTTCCGATCCTGCTGGCTTGACTTAGAAGACATTGCTTGTCCTGCCAGCCTTTCGGGACAGTGGCTTGGGGTCTTCATAACTTTGTATATAACTTGTCAGAAAGAGATATCATGGTGGTATATATCAAACATGGGTTTTTCAATACAAAGAAAAATGAGAGTTTTTTTTCAGGGTGTGGGGAGGCACTTAACAGTTACTCAACAACTACATATTGATTGATTTAAATGTACCTTTTAATTAAAAAAAAACCTGAGGCTGGCCTGGTGGCTCATGTCTGTAATCCTAGCACTTTGGGAGGCCTCCTAGTGCAAGAGGATTGCCTGAGTTGTGGGTTTGAGACTGGCCTGTGCAACCTAGTGAGATCCCATCTCTACAAAATAAACAAACAAAATTAGCCAGGCATGGTGGTGCATGCTTGTAGTCCCAGCTACTCAGGAGGCTGAGGATGGAGGATCACTTGAGCCCAGGAGTTTGAGGCTGCAATAAGCCATGATTGTACCACTGTACTCCAGCCATAAGCCATGATTGTACCACTGTACTCCAGCCTGAATGACAGAGCAAGACCCTATCTCTATAAAAGAACAAACAAAAAAAATTAGCCAGGCATGGTGGTGCATGCCTGTAGTTCCAGCTACTCAGAAGGCTAGGAGGCAGTAGGATTGCTTGAGCCCAAGAGTTTAAAGCTGCAGTGAGCTATGACTGCCCCACTGCAATCCAGCCTAGGCAACAATGTGAGACCCTGTCTCTATAAAAAACTTTTTAAAAATCTGGCATTCACTGGTTTTACGGCTGCTTCAAAAAGAAAAAATTAGAAAACCTGTTGTTTTTTCCTGTGGACTTAAGGATTGGAAGAGCCTTTGTGGCAGGCTGGTGGTAAGGAACATGGAAGGGAGCAGGTAACTGAAGAACCCCAAATCCTTAAGAACATTTCCATTCTATTTACCTATAATGCAGATTTTTGATACTGAGACATACTGAGTGTGGAAAGAAAAGAGCAGATATTACACACTCACCATGTGAGAATGTCACAGACCCAGAAGCTGTGATACCTGCTATTTCACAGGCAAGGAGCAGTTGTAGACTCCAGGGGGGAGGCGAGTGAGGTACTCACCATTGGTGCCAACTTCCAAGAGATACCAATAAGTTCAGTCATCCAGATAAATAATATTTTAATAGATGTGAAATTTATTTAAGAGGGTGATGAAAACCCTCGTCATTCTTCTTCTTTATCTTGATGACTAAAACTTTTGGCATGCCCTTAAATTTTGTGTCCAAGGCAGATGACTCCTTTGCCTCTTCCTGGTCCCATGGAGGGACTCTCTACATGGATTGGACTCATGAGAAGAAGAGAATTAATCTACTGTGAAGAGGGTTATAGAAAGCAGCATTCTCAGGCTGGGCACAGTGGCTCACACCTGTAATCCCAGCACAAGAGCCCGAGGTGGGCAGATTGCTTGAGCCCACGAGTTCGGGACCAGCCTGGACAACACAGCGAAACTCTGTCTCTACAAAAAAATACAAAAATTAGCCAGGTGCAGCGGTGCGTACCTGTGGTCCCAGCTACTCTGGAGGCTGAGGTGGGACAATCTCTTGAGCTTGGGAGGTGGAGGCTGCAGTGAGCCGAGATTGCACCGCTGCAGTCCAGCCTGGGCAATAGAGCAAGGCCTTGTCTCAATAAAAATAAAATAAAATAAAAGCAGAGTTCTCAGAGAAGGGCCAGGGAGGCTGTCCTGAACTGGTTTTTAATTTGTACTGGGGACGTCTGAGGTGTAATTATGTCAAGTATAAATGACTCACAGGATGTTTGAAAATGTAAAACAGAAATTTTATATATTCGAAAATATGGCTAGGAAACGTAAGCTTGACTTTAACTTGGGTAGTGGGTTCAAGGGTGTCCTCCAAAAAGATAAGTCCATGTCCTAATTACTGAAACCTGTGAATGTGATGATATTTTTTAAAAAATGCTCTTTGCTGATGTGATTGAGCTAAGGATCTTGAGATGAGGAGATCATACTCTAGGGCAGTGGTCTCCAACCTTTTTGGCACCAGAGACTGGTTTCCCGGAAGACAATTTTCCTTGGACAGGGGAAGGAGATGAGGGGATGGTTTGAGATGAAACTGTTCCACCTCAGATCAGGCATTAGAGTCTCATAAAGAACACATAACCTAGATCCCTCGCATGGACAGTTCACAATAGGTTTCACGCTCTTAGGAGAATCTAATGTCACTGCTGATCTGACAGGCAGTGGAGCTCAGGTGATCATGCTCGCTCGCCTGCTGCTCTCACCTCCTGCTGTGCAGCCTGGTTCCTAACAGGCCATGGACTAGTACAAGTCCTCAGCCCAGGAGTTGGAGACCCCTACTGTAGCATCTGGGTGGGACCTAAATACAGTGACAAGTGTCCTTATAAGGCTGAGGCAAAGGGAAGTTACACAGACAGAAGATGAGGTGGCAATGTGACCTAGAGCATGGAGATTGAGACCAGGCTCCGGCAAGCCAAGGAATCCCAGTGGCCACCAGAAAAGGAGACGCATAGATTCTCCCCCAGAGCCTCTACAGGGAGGCCATGCCTTGATTTTAGACTTCTGCCTTCTAGAACTGTGAGCAAATATTAATAAATGTTGGCTGTGTTAAGCCGGCAAGTTTGTGATAATCTGTTATGGAACCCACGGGAAACTAACAAAATATGGCAGTGAATTAGCAAATGATAGCATGGATGTTGTAACTTTCATGTTAGTGTTGGTACTGCTGCAGAAGTATTGTCATCTACTTATTCCAAAAGTCCTGAAATGAGACTGAGGCTGGGCCTTATGTAGGGTTACCATATATTTTATTGACCAAATCAGCACACTTTTGAGAAAAGAAGCAGGGACTACCAATGAATACAACTGGACCCCAGGCACAAACCATGCCTCTCCTGGGCCAGCTTCCCTGTGTGATTAATATCAAAAGCCATAAATTTTCGGCAAATTAGTCATCACTGGGATTTTGTATTGGAGCCACAATCTCAGCTTATTAATTACAGATGTTCAAGGAGTTTGAGTGTATGCTGCAGACATTTTGGGGTGTTTTTGTTAAAAGAACCAATTAGAAAATTGAATACTGAGTGGCCTTTGAAGCAAGGATTTTGTGTTACACTCATCACCATGCTGAGATATTAATAACAGCAGTGAATCTGACTGTTGGGGAAAGAGAGCTATGGAAACCTGAAGGAGCAGCAGTGTCTGTTTTGGAATATTGGCCGTCACTGTGGATAATCAGGAAGCCAACTCGCCAGTTTCTTCAGAGATGGCATAACTAACACACATGTCCACATTTATCATTAGCTGCACTATTTGCCATTCACTCGAAGTCTCATGTTGCTTTAATTATTAAACAGGCTGAAGAGCCTTAGCATTTGGGTAAGAAAAGTAGAACAAAAATACGTTTTTCTAATATTGAGGTGTACATAAGATCTTTAACTGAATGAAGTAGGAAAGAATTATAACTTCATAATCTTACAGTACTCTATATTTTGACTATGACATTCCTAAATAGAGCAGCTAGCTTTATGTTTTGGTATAGAAGTCTGAGTTCATCACAACAGTGCAAAAACGCTGGAAACTTCGATAATATGTCTGGTATTTCTCTGGCTTAAACTGTGCTAAACATGTAGCAATGAAAAAAAGTTTTCTTTATTTCTAAGGGATATCAATGAGCAACATCTAAGATTCAGTAATTCAATTAAAAATATTTCTGTGCAGCAATGATGTGCTTGGCACTCTGTTACACACTGGGAATGCAAAGATGTGGGCACATTCTCTGTCTGTCCAATTTTCTGCCTCTCCCTGCTCTGCACGCAAGGGGGATGATGCCACTGACGACTCCCTTGCCTTCTGGCTTCTAGTCAGGATGGGCCAGCAGACAGGAGCTCCTCACTGGGGATCTCGTGGCCTGGCTTCACCCTCTAGACAGGCCAAAGTAACTCCATCTTGGATGTTAATCCACCATGTTCATTTCTGGTTAACCCCAGTTCTGGGAATCTTCTGAGATTTCCAGTTTATCTGTTCCTTGTGTAAGAGCAGGTACTTACTGTAAATCCTGCCCTTAGGTCAAACAACCTTGATGTTATTGTACTTCAATTGTCCCATGCATCCCTTCTGAATCACTCTTTCCCCATGGTATATAAGCCCTGGGTCTGAAGGTTGATAGCACAGGAATCCACCATCTCGTCTCACTGCCACCTGACACACAAACATGGCTTCTGTCTGTAAGTTCCTAGTAAATATTACTAAGAATGATTTGTCAGCCTTTTTCTTTGGCCTCTTAGCTTCCTTAGACTGTAGGAATAGATTTGCGTAGACCTGTTCACTGTGGAACATCAGGGCTCATCTCCTGTCAGTTGGCAGAGCCCCATCCATCCTGCTTTCTGTGATTGTGGAAGGGTTCCAGTAACTGCCCAGGTCTTAGGGTTGGTAAGTAGGTGGGGGTCAGTGATGGTGAGGGGGGGTGAGAGAGGGGAAGGGGGAACACTCTATGATTGCTTTTATTTTCCAAATCCCAGCTCACATCTTTGTAAATAGTCCCTTTCTTAAACTCTCTCCAAATTACTAATGTGTGGGTGCCAGGACACTGACAGATGAAGAAGACACAGAGACGATATGAACTCAGCATCAAGGAAATCAATTTCTAGCTGAAAGAGAGAGACATACAAAGAACCAACTGTAATACAAAGTGAAAACTTTACAGTAAAGGCCTGTGCAAAAAGATGTCAGAGCAAAAAGGAAAGAATAATGAAGATGTCCTTGGAAAGGTAGCGGTGACAAGGGACAGAGTACTCTCCACCTAAAAGGTGGTATTTGGGCTGTTGGGGATGTTGGAGATGGTGGGATTCCCTTGCATCTTTGTAGATCTCAAGACCTCGGAGATCTTGGGCTGTTTAGGTGAAGATGGTGGCACAGGTTCAGGAAGAAAGAAGAAACTCCTCGAAAGCCTTTATGTCGGAGTTCCCACTTTTACTGTTTTAAAATGATGTTACAAAGTGAACTGAGCCATGAACCCAAGTCAAAAAGCTAGAGAGCCCTGAAGTTTTCACCAAATGTATGGACATAGATAAGTTTCCTCACCACCTCAGTCTAAACCACCGCATCTACCGAATGGAGAGGATAATTCTTACCCTTCCTCTTGTAGGAGTGCTGTGAGGCTCAGAATGAAATCATGTTTGTGAAAATGTTGCAGGACTACAGCCCCATATCGGTGTGGAGCATCAGGTATAGGTAAAGATGCAACAAAGGCCAGGCATGGTGGCTCATGCCTGTAATCCCAACATTTTGGGAGGCTGAGGCGGGCAGATCACTTGAGGCTAGGAGTTCGAGACCAGTCTGGCCACCATGGTGAAATACAAAATACAAAAAATAGCATGGTGAAACCCCTTCTCTACAAAAAATAAAATAATTAGCTGGGTTTGGTGGTGCATGCCTGTAGTTCCAGCTACTCGGGAGGCTGAGGCATGAGAATCACTTGAACCCAGGAGGTGGAGGCTGCAGTGAGCCAAGATCGTGCCCCTGCACTCCAGCCTGGGTGACAGAGTGAGATTCTGTCTCAAAAAAGTAAAAATAAAAAGTAAAAAACCTATAGACCATTTGTTTGTTTTAAATGTCCTTGAGTTTAGATTTGCCTGATGTTTCTTTTTATTCAACTTAGGTTATATATTTTTGGAAGGAACACAGAGTGATGTTGTGTCCTTCCCAGTGCATATTATCAAGAGTCATACAAGATCTATTTGTCACATTATTGGTGATTAACTTTACTTGACTAAAGTTATTTATGCCAGGAAAGTAGTATTTTATCTTTATTATTAATACACATCTCAGCCTGGCCAACATGACGAAACTCCATCTCTACCAAAAATACAGAAATTAGCCGAGCATGGTGGTGGGCGCCTGTAGTCCTAGGTACTCGGGAGGCTGAGGCAGGAGAATCACTTGAACCTGGGAGGCGGACGTTACAGTGAGCTGAGATGGCACCACTGCACTCCAGCCTGGGCAACAGAGCGAGACTGTTTCAAAATAAATAAATAAAAATTAAGCATCTTGTGTGGATATAATTTACTTTCATATATTTTTGGATTTATATAATGGAGAAGTGGAGGTCAAGAGTTAAGTTTACACAAGTTAAATTTGGAATTCAATAGGCAATCAAATATATCCATTTGAAGCTCAGAGAGATTCTCTAAGATAGTATGCTATAAGACAGATGACAGATTGAGTGAGTTGAAGAGAAAATAGTAGGTAAGGAAGTCAAGACAGCCTTTGTAAAAATCTATAAATTTGGGTTGTGATAAATCACAGAATAATGGGATTAGTAGCTGACAGAGGGTATGAGATCAAGAAAGGATTTCTTTTAATGTTGGGAAATACAAGAGCATTATGATATGCTGATAGGAATGGTCCCGTGGAGAGGGGGAGGTGGCTAGTGCAGCAGAGAGAGGAGTACAGAAGCAGTAGGGTCTCTGAGGCTCATTGTACTGTAGTCAGAAAGGGTAGATTACTGGGGTCCAACGCAAGCTCTGCCACCTCCAAGGTTACCTGTGTGTCTTTGGTAAGTCCATAAAACTCTTTGTACCTCAGCTACATTTGAAAAAGAGGATTGTCAAGAGGATTAAGTTAGATGATCTTTGTAAAGAACAGGACAGAGGCTACCTACATAAGTGCTGTGTAAATGTAAAGTTAAATATGATCTTGAGCTCACTGTCATTTCATATCTTAGAATCCTTTTGTGTCTTTGAACTGAATTCTGGGGGATTTCCTCAGGTCTTTCCTCTCTTGAATCGGATCTAGGTCTGTCATTGAACCCATCTTCTGGGTTTTTAACTTCAGTAGCTATATTTTTATTTCTAATTCTGTATAGATTCTGCTTTCTTTACTGGCCTAATTTATCGTATTGATTCTCTTCTCTCTCAGAATTTTTAATCATTTAAACATAGTTATTATGTAGGCCCCTTTTAATAGTTTCTAAGAAACTAGATTTGTCAGCCTTTTTCTTTGGCCTCTCAGCTTCCTCAGAATTTAGGGGTAGATTTGCATAGACCTGCTCACTGCAGAACCTCAGAGCTCATCTCTTGTCAGTCAGCACAGCCCCATCTGCCCTGCTTTCTGTGACTCTGGAAGGGTTCTAGTAATTGCCTACGTCTTGGGGTTGGTAAATAGATGGTAAATAGGTGGTTTAGACTGAGGAGGTGAGGAAACTTGCCTATGTCCATACATTTGGTGAAAACTTCAGGGCTCTCTAGCTTTCTGACTTGGCTTCATGGCTCAGTTCACTTTGTAACGTTATTTTAATATAGTAAAAGTGGGAACTCTGACGTAAAGGGCTTTTGAAGAGTTTCTTCTTTCTTCCTGCACCTGTGCCACCATCTTCACCTAAACAGCCCAAGATCTCCGAGGTCTTGAGATCTACAAAGATGCAAGGGAATCCCACCACCTCCAACATCCCCAACATCCCAAATATTTCAATTTGGTGGGGAGCACCTATTTTTCTGTATTTTTGTATCTGCTGACTTCCCTTACGTGATTCAGTTTTTTGTTTGTCTTGTGGTTTGTAAGTTTTTTACTGTGAGCTCATCCTCAGCTGAAGTCGTTTGTTCCTGTGGTTGTCCCAGGAGCCTGGGCAGGGGAAATGTCACTACAGATTTGTTTTGCATTCCCTTTTGCCAAATGTTCTGTGGGTTTCACTGGTTTGGGAACCATATTTATGTTAATTTTGCAGCTATGATTGGGTAAATCAGGGCTCTACAATTACAAGTGTCTTGAAATTGGGGTTTCATTTCTGTAGGATAATTTTTGTTTGTTTGTTTATCTGATGTTTTTCTTTTAAATCAGAGCCCTAATCAGTGATGGGCTAATAATAGCTTTTCTACTCCTTCTTTCCAGGGACTTAGCTGCGTACAGAACTTTCCAGTCTCAATTCCCTACTTTGCAGAGGCCCGAGATCACACCAAATTCCCCTCTTGACGTATTAAAATTTCACCCTTTTGGATCTGTATTGCGGTTCCATGTCCCCCTGGGCCAGGAGAGGTGGCTGGTAAGCCTAATCCCTCTACCTGAGACCTTTCTTGCTGTTGCTGAGACCTGGAGACTGTTCATTTGTTCTTTCAATTTTGATTATGTGTTTATAATTTTCTGTGATACTTTAAATGTTTCTAGAAGGGATGGAGTCCAGTTTAGTTCAAATAACCACATTGCTGGAGCCAGAACTCTGCTACTTAATATAGTAGGTATAGATCTATAGATATTGTAAAGAGAGCCAGCATGGAGATTTTCCTGAAGAATATGCAAACCATCCTTTTGTCTACAGTCTCTGAATTCGACTCCTAGCTTAAGCCAGATGAAGAGCTATGTACCAAGAATGTATCTCCCCAGGGCCCTGGTAGAATTGCTTTTCCTGACTTGCAGTTTGGCACAATACCCTCGGCTTATATAGGCAGACTTTAAAAGAAACAGCTCCATAAAAATCCCCTCTCGGCCTTGGCAGTAAGGATATTGTTGAAGACTACATTATGCCATTTGCTAAGACTACTCCCAAGTAACTGGATTGTTTTTATTTTATGGAAACTGTGATTGAATAACTACTAATGTTTTCCTCTTTGAATGGACTTACAGCCAAGTTTGTGGCCAACTTCTAATAAGAGTATAAGATTCTTGGCATGCGTTAGTGGATTTTAACCTGTCTTGGCTCCATCTCCTTTTACTATGCTGATGCTTATTTTCTCTTTTACTCTTTTACATACATTAAGTGTATGTTCTCTTGCTATATTTTATTTATGTCTGTAAACCATTTATTGTCTTTGACAGGGTGGGGTGCATGATGTGGTTTTGAATAAATGACATTAATGTGCAAAGTACAAAGCTAGCTGAATGGCAAATTGCCTTCTGTGAGTATCTTCTAGGGGCAGAAAATATTTTATAATCCAAGTGCCACAAGAGAGTTATAAATATCATAGAACAACAAGCAGCCATTAAAAATTACATTCTTGAAGAATGTTTAAAGAAATGAGACAGACGACAACAGCAAGCTATTTTTATAAGGTTCCTCCATCACACACACACCAGTGGGAGATAACGGGTCAATAACGGTGATCTCCTTTTGGTAGGATTCGGGTTGATTTTTAAAAACGTATTCTTTAGTTACAAAAGCTTCCGCAATCAACATGTATTTCTACTATAATTATAAAATGGAGAGAAAGATGAATACTGCTCTGTCTCTTTGAATCTCAGGAGGAAACAACATTCACCCCAAAGACTCAGATGAAGAGGCTTGAAGGATGGGATCATTCTGGTGTGTCCTGGGTTAAAGAATCAATAAAGGTTACTCAGGTGCCCAAAGATTAATAAGAAAGGGAGCTATTACGATGGTACGAAATGAGTAAATAGAGCTGGAGCCTGCAGTGGGGGCTGTTCCACTGGATCTGTCATCCCAGAGAAACATGTCAGCTTTCGGAGATGCTGCGCCCAAAGCAGGGAGGCAGAAGGAAAGAAATGCTGAGATCTTTCTCTCCTTTACCCTCTGTGATGGCTAATTTTATGCACTAACCTGACTGGGCCGTAAGGTGCCCAGATATTTGGTTAAACATTAATCTGAGTATTTCTGGGAGGGTGTTTTTGGATGTGATTAACATTTATATTGGTAACTGAGCAAAGAAGGTTGCCTTTTCTTTTTCTTTCTTTTTTTTTTTTTTTTTTTTTTTTTGAGACGTAGTCTCACTCTGTTGCTCAGGCTGGAATGCAGTGGCACGATCTCCGCTCACTGCAAGCTCCACCTCCTGGGTTCACGCCATTCTCCTGCCTCAGCCTCCCGAGTAGCTGGGACTACAGGCACCCACCACCACGTCTGGCTGAATTTTTGTATTTTTTTAGTAGAGACGGGGTTTCACTGTGTTAGCCAGGATGGTCTTGATCTCCTGACCTCATGATCCTCCTGTCTCGGCCTCCCAACGTGCTGGGATTACAGGCGTGAGCCACCGTGCCCGACCCTAGAAGGTTGCCTTTTCTTATGTGAGCAGACCTCATCCAATCAGTCAAAGGCCTGAAAAGAACAAAAAGTTGGACCCTCCTCCAAGAAAAAAAATATTCTTCCTGCCCGATGACCTTTGAGCTGAAACATCAACATTTTTACTACCTTTGGAGTTGAACTGAGATATTGGCTCTTCCTGGGTCTCTAAGCTGCCAGCCCTCAGCCTGGAAATCCACCATCAGCTCTCCTGGGGTTCCAGCTTGTTGAATTACCGTGCAGATCTTGGGACCTGTCAGCCTCCATAATCAAATGAACCAATTCCTTTTAATACATCTCTTCATACTAGTTTTGTTTCTCTGAACAACCCTGACTACTACATCTCTAATCTCCGGCTGGTGCCTCCCAGCTGGCAGGGGAGCCTGGGGGATGTCACTTCCTGGGGCTGAGAGCAGAGCAGAGGAGGAGAGGGTTCCCAGGGCTGTGTGTGTTAAGTGGGGGAGAGGGAACAAACAGAAGCAAATTCAGCGCTGTGGTAGTTCACAGAAGGAATAGATGGGGACCCAATGGAGAAAATTGTATGTAGAGGTGCAATTTAAGCTATTTTTCTGAGGATTAAGTGGAATTATGATTGAAAATTATTTAATAGCTATAAACTTCTACAGTATGCCAGCTCTTATTAAGACTAAGCCATATAGTACTGCACATTACAGCATGGTGCTACTTACACAACAAAAGTTATAATAATTATATGAATGGTTAACTCTACTAAATGCTTACCATGTGCCAGGTACTATGATAAATGCTTTACATGAGAAGCTGGATGTATCCTTTTTGACTATTGGATAACAACGCAGTAACACAGACCCCTTCACAGAGGCCTGGGTGTATACGTGCAAATCCAACAAGCTTTGGAAGAATAGTTGCCGTTTGCTCAGGAACTCTGAAAATAAGAGGCTCTAACCCATTTATGCCTGAGGTTGCAATTTTTTGAATTTTTGCAAATCAGACCTTGGCAATGACCTTGAGCAGTAGGATATAAATGACTCCCACATTTTTAGTGTTCCAATAATGGAACACCAGGTATAAATGGGCCAAAGATGGAGAAGACCACGCTGCTGTATTGAGTTTCATGTTCATTTGATACAATACCAGTTATTGCCAGAGCAACACTGTCCTTGCAGTCAAGCCAAAGCTACTTCATGTATTAAGAAAACAATGTCTGCAGCTTTGCACCAGGAATGGTTTATGTCCTTGCAGGAGGAGAAAAGCGGGGCAGCATCAAACCCCTCCCACTGGGGCAACCTGCTGAGCATCTCCCTGGCCTTGGCCCCTGGCCATACCACACAAGTAAGTAAAACCAAGAAGAAAACTTAGAAGGGTGTATGACTAAACATGTCAGTCCTGGAAAGAAGACAGGAGGTGCTCGGCTTTCTGCTGATGTGAAATTCTGTTTTGTCTGGGTCTTGATGAACCTTAAGGTGGTTGTCATCAGGCTGTCAGATGTCCTTAGGAGCCTTGATAGGAAGAGGGAAAAAAAAAATCACAAATGAAAACAAGTCAAGTTGAAAGGATTAGATTGTCCTCTGCAAAGTGATCATGCCCAGAACAAGGCAGGGGAAGCTTCTCTTTGCTGTCCCTGGGCCTCTAACAGGCAGAGCAAGTTCAAGGTCAGCCTGGGATGTACGTGACACCATAGTCTGACTCATATCTGCCCTTGGCTGGCTCTTGTTACTAACAAACCAAAAAGGAATATTGAAGCTCATTCAGGGTTCTCTATACCCAGGTCAAGCATGTTTTGTTTTATGGCTTACGTCAGGAGGAACACTATAGTCCACCTGAGCTTTCGTGGGGCATTTCAGGAGCTACCATTGTTGTTATCTCCTGAATTAAGGTGTCCAATGAGTCACTGATCCTGAAGAACAAGAGAAGACTGACCACAGACCCCAAAAGGAAGCAGGAGTACAACCTTCGAAGTTGGTGGGCAACAAGAGGTCAGAGGTTGACAAGCATCCACACAGCTCTAAGACTAGCATCATGTGGCTACCCAGGACCTGGGAGAGTGCTGCAGAGCAGGAGCAGGAAAGGGACCGGCTGTTCCCATAGAACTTCATGTCACAGGTCTGGGAGCCAGGGGGCCTTGGTTCTAGTCCCAACTCTCCCTCTAAGTTGTCTTATGGCCACAGGTGAGTGAAATAGCTTCTCTGGCCTCAGCTTCCTCACGATTAAAATGACACAGTTGTGCAAAATTGCCTCCAAGAGCATTCTCAAAAGCCAGAGGGTACAGTCATGACTCTCATAGCCTAAGATAGTGGGCCCTTAAACATGGCTTCCTGGTTTCTTTGCCACTGGTGGAATCTTTTAAGGGAGGAGCAGAAAGCCTCAGCTCCAGGGCTGTGTCTACACTGCCTGGGGCCTCTTGGATTCTGATGAGTCTGTGGTTAGCTGACCTCTAGCTCTGGTCTAAGAGAGTTTTGCAAATGGCAGACAAGTTGTTGCTGGCTTATCACATACCATGGCAGACATCACTGATGGATCATGATATTATTTTCCTCAAAACCCTTCTCCACTCACAGCCCCAAGCAAATGCTATTAATTAATTACAGTAAGCTTACTAGATGAAACCTGTCTTCCCTGCTCTTGTCTCTTTCTTTCCAGTTTAACAGGCTTCATTGTACAGCATCCAAATTAATTGGATTTTTTGGGAAATTCAGTTATTCTATGAGATGACACATTTTTTAAAAAAAGTAGGGCTTTAAGTGATTGAACTCTTTAGGCAATAGTCTTTGTTTTTAAGTATTATATTAATGAAGAAATTTGTCCTCATAATTTGGCATTGGGTAAACAAGGATCACAGAATTGTGGCATTTGGCAAGAGAAACAGGAAACGTGTTGGGCCTCCAGTTAGTCCCCTGGAAGAAGCATCCTGAAGTTACTCATAACACATTCCGTGATAATACTATTTTCTTGGTTCTGAGTAATGATGTTACTTGCATCTCTTTCGGGATATTTCCATAGCCTAACGGAGTTTCACAACATCTGGCTCTCATTATCTTTTACTTAATTTAACTTACTTGGTTTAATTTAGATTGCTTTGTGCCCAGCTACATTATTCACTCCGTCCTTGTAGGTACACGTAACAATTATTGAGAGGCAGCTGTCACATCCCCACCCAAACTGAGCTAAAAATTCTTCTGGATTTGTAAGTCACAACTGGGTTAAAAATTCTCCTGGGCTTGTCTTACATCATCGACTCTAATGTTTTGATACTCTTTCCGGAATCAGTTCCAGGTGATCCATGCTATAATTACCATAGCATCCTACACTAGGACGTTTTTCTATCACTGTCAACATGCAAAGTTTGTGTATATTCTTGATTCCCATTCACTGCCACTTTGAATTTTGCCTAATAAAACTTGTTTAACTTTTCATATTCTTTACTGACTCAAAGATAGTTTCTTCCATAATTCACAGCAATGAACCAAGACAATGAGAAGTAGCGAGTACAGTTGAGGAGGCCTTGTCTGAGGAGGAGGCAGGTTTTCATGAAGATGCAGCAGATCATCTGGGAGAAATTGAGAATGAGGAAGGACTTGATAATAGGGCATCTTAGTTCTGCTGAACACTCCTGAATAAAGGGGAGGCCACAAGTCCCCACATCTGGATAAGGAGCCCAGTTGGTGGGCATGGAACGGACCTTGACACAGAAGAGAATGGAGATATGGGAGCCATGTCCTGGAACCCTGGCTTGGTGTTGAAATAAATTAGAAGCTGACTTGCTGTGCAGCTGGTAAAGCTTCCACTTCGGGGCCCTTCAGTTGCATGGGCCTTTCCCAAGACCCCAGGGAAGGGCTTAGCAATATGCTCACATGGTCTGATGTTCTTATATGCAAACAATTTTTTTAGAGATATCTTAAATATGCTTGCTCAACACCTCTGTCCACTTCTGCCTTCCCTCCATCCTTCTTCTTCTTGCCTTGAGTGTGTTTGGAGATCATGGGGGCTTTGAGGCTCCATCTAAGAGGAAGTTAAATGGAAGATCCAGTTAGCTGGGTTTCATGGGATATATTTGTGAGGTTCACAGTCACTGTTGTGTCGGGTTAAGTTACTGCTAGCTGTCCCAGTATGGAGTAGATTCCAGGAATACTCCTGAGGCCCCCGTGCTGACCTGCCCTACAGTGATGTGATTGTACAGGGCCAGGTCATACCGTGATCAGGACGTGGCCTGTGTACTGGCACTGTACGGCTGGATAGTGGAAGAGAAGCTAGGATAAACATGTGCAGACCAAAACTGGTCTGTGGAAAATTCTCCCTATCATCAGACACGTACAAAGCTAAGCAGAGGATTCTGTTTTCAAAACACCTGCTCAAAACGGAAGAGCTCTCCTGTCAGTAGACACCATCATCCACTGTCTAAAACAATAAAAGTCCTGTACAATATTTTCTTTGTTAATGGACATCAGTGAAATGACTTGTTCAGGCTTCTCAAGTGTGTAGAGCACAGACCTATGCCAGTACTACAAACAGGGAGTGAGTTCGTGTGCAAAGTTATATGCCTTATGGCCGGGTGTGGTGGCCCATGCCTTTAATCTCAGCACTTTGGGAGGCCAAGGCGGATGGAACACTTGAAGCCAGGAGTTCGAGACCAGCCTGGCTAACATGATGAAACTCTGTCTCTACTAAAAATACAAAAAAATTAGCCTGGCTACTCGGGAGACTGAAGCAGAACTGCTTGAACCCAGGAGGAGGAGATTGCAGTGAGCCAAAATCACACCACTGCACTCCAGCCTGAGTGACAGAGTGAGACTCTGTCTCCAAAAAAAAAAAAAAAAAAAAAAAAAAAAAAAAGTCATATGCCTTAGGCAACTCAGCACGTTGCGTTGCATCTCCGAATATCTTAATTTATCTTGTCTTAACAAAGTCTGGTGGTTCCAGAGGAAACAGTGTGCAAAATAGTTACTGACACAAATGATCCACTGATAAAAACTCCTGAGCTCCATCATTCATAATTAGACAAGGTATATAGAAGAAGATTTGATTAAACAGTAATGCAGCTTCATACAACCATGCAACATTGTAACGATTTAAATGCATTAAAATTGCTCTTCCGTATGCCTTAATTTCAGATGAATTTGGGATATTTCTTCAGATTTATGTTCATGTTAAAATTCAAATAATAAGAAAGAAATAGCCTAGTGGAAGCTCAAACTGTAAACTGAAAGGGAGAAGACTGACAGAATTGAAAATGTCACAAACTCTCCTATATGTCACAGTAGAAACTTGAAAAACCAAAACAAACAAACAAACAAAAACTCTGCTGGTTAAAACTCATGAGGATACAGAAAAAAGTTAAGAATGGCAAGAATATATAGGTAATCAAAATGACACAGAAGAATTTAAAAAGATGATGATGGTCAGGACACTCTTAAATGGGAAAGAAAAATACCAGAATATTAAATATTAAAATAAAAGTGAAGTAAAACACAATTTGTTCAGTCAAACAATACGCAGAAGCCAATAGCAGCTTCATTTGACAAATTCACTGACCTTGACAAATACTGTGATCTCCCTTTACAGCTTGTTACACCATTTAATGAAAATGTAGTAGGTTTTTCCCTCCAAAATTATTATCCCAATAATACAGAAAATTAAACAGAACACACAGGCAATTTTTGAAAAGAAGTTTTAAAAATAGGTATTCTGGAAAAAAAACTAAAGATGATCAAACTATGGTGATATTCTGGCTGGCCTATTCCAAGACAGCCTGTATTATTTTTGTTTGTAAGTGGTTTTCAATGAGACAGATGTCTGTATCAGGTCAGTTTTTAGATTGGGTGAATACGTTGAGAACCTTCAAAAGTCATAAAGCATAAGATGGCTATGTTTACTTGGATCACATATTGAACAAATAAAAATGTACTAGGCCAATGTCTTAAAGACCAGACAAAGAAACATAGTATTATTTTGATTGCTAAAAAGAGTTATGTTTATTAATCTTTTTTAGTGGAAGCTTTGTTTTTCTGATGTCACAGTGAAGACTGGCTTTCTTCAAATAATTGAAATTTCATAGGAATCATTTAGCCAGCTACTGAAGGTGATTCATTCTTGAGTGAGCAATTAGGCATTTTAAAACAAAGTTACGTATGTATCCAAAATAGCTTATACAATAGTGACCAAGTAACTGGGAATTGTATACAAAATGAGTTAGACAATCAAATCAGTAAACCAGATACTACTCCATTATTGTAAATCTACATTGGATATGACAAATACTTATAAGTTGGTGATAATCGTGCATTACTTTTTTGACAGAAAACCTTATGCATGGTTTTTAACTTTTTTTGCCAATTGAAAATCATCTATCTGCGAATATAATCGATAAAGGTAAACAAGTAGTCAATCATATGATGACATAGCCATTATGAAAGGCAAATACAAAAGGCTGCAAGCACTCTTTCAAAACATGAATAATTACATTCCGTAATCTCTTCCAAGAAAAACCTGTCTCCACAGTACTGAAGCTGTTGATTACTGCAGTATTTCTAAAATAGTTAATATGTTTGCTTTTGGGATTTGTCTAGTATAATAGAAATTTAATGTGAGCCACCATTAAAACTTTCTTCTAGTCACATTAAGATGAATAAAAAGAATTAAAGAAAGAAATAGGGCCGGGCACAGTGGCTTACGCCTGTAATCCTAGAACTTTGGGAGGTTGAAGCAGGCAGATCTTCTAAGGTCAGGAGTTCAAGACCAGCCTGGCCAATGTGGCAAAACCCCCTCTTCACTAAAAATACAAAAATTAGCTGGGCATGCTGCTGCATGCCTGTAATCCCAGCTACTCAGGAGGCTGAGGTAGGAGACTCATTTGAACCCATGTGGCAGAGGTTGCCGTAAACCAAGATCACGCCACTGCACTCCAGTCTTGGAGACAGAGTGAAACTCTGTCTCAAAAAAATAAGTAAAATAAAATAAAATAAAATAAAATAAAACAGTTGAAATTAATTTTAATGATACATTTTATATAATCAATAAAAATATAGTTAAATAATTAAAGTATATTTAATGATTACATTTAATTGTATTTTGCACAAAATTCAGTGTGTATTTTATTTCAAGGCATGTCACTTCTCACCAGCCACATTTTAAATATCTGTTGAAGTCAAATAAAATATAGAAATGAATCTCTAAATTTAAAACATTTTACTTGGGAAGCAAGAATTGCAATTCAGGGCATATACACAGACCAGTGGTCCTCATTCTGTCTGAAGAACAAAGAGAAGGTTGGAGATTTTATAGAAAGGAGAAATGCTATGTATTGTTTTGAAAAAAAGTTCATTGGCACCAGGCAAGTTCTGGGAAGCTGACAAGTTCTGATTGGTGACAGACTACGGTGGTGGGTAAAAGTAGTCTTAGAGCTGTAGCAAGTTGTTTCAGTAGCTGTCAGATAAAACTGGTTTCCAGTTACAGAAGGCAGTTTCAGCAGCCTGGCTTGCAGGGAATTACATTCTTGGAGCCAAGTGGTATTTCCTGAGTGCTTTCTCCCCTTGGCCTCTCAACTCTGCTTTACTTGGATATGCCCAGAATGGCCCAGTTCGTTGGATCAATTTTCACATGTGGCTCATGGTTACCACATTGGACAGTGCAGGTATAGTAGTTTGTGTGTTTTAAACACATATGCCAACTTGGATTTTTCTTTAATGGATGCAAATGTGGTGAAACAGTTTGCCCATTATAAAGTTGTTCAAACTTTGCCAAAGGGGTGTAAGCGAATAATGAGCTAAATTCAATGCAGGGACCAGGCTGACTTCTGGGCCTGCACGTGTCTCCTGTGTCACTTGAGGAGCCACACGTGATGAAGATGATCAGAAAAGTGTAGCTCGTTGGCGCCCTCAGAGGGGTAGCCGGGCAAGAGTAGCAACACTGGGGCAGCAGTGAGAGCTGGTGACCAAGCAGCTGAGCCACAGGCTCTTAAAGGGGGCACCCTGAGCAAAGGTTACAAGACTATAGAGGAGACGTCCAAAGCACATGAGGGAAAAGAGGGGCCACTGAGGACATAACTAGCTTTACTGAAGGCCAATGAGGGTGTCCCGGCACCCACTTGATATTTTGTTCTGAGTTCTTGATATTGAGTTCTGACAACTCACCGAGCCTCAGAACAAACCGCAGTTTAGGTGTCATTACCCTGAATTTACAGACAACTCCAGAAAAGCTCAGGACAGCTGAGTAATTTGCCTGACATCACGCAGCAAGGAGTGCAATCTGAATTGGAGCCCAGATCCGTGTTGCTTCAAAGCCTCTACACTCCACGCTGTGCCATAACACCCCTTTCAGAGAGTGTGGTGTTCCACTGGGGGTCTCAGGAATCAAAAACACAAAAATGACTCCCACACTTTGATAAGCACGTCCTCACCTCTGGCGTTGCCTGAAAAATAGAGGGTTTTCTTGTTACCACTGTGCTTTGGATCAAGAATGGCCTGGGAAATTAAGGATTACCCTGTGGCCGGGTGCAAACAAATGCAAGAGCAGCTGCTTGGCGGGCCTTATAAGGATTCCTCTCATGCTCTGGTTTCTAGAAACGCATTGCATCATACCAGCGGGGACCACCTACATTGCTCAGTATTCCTAAATTCCATTTGAAGCAGCACAACTCTTATTTCACTCTGACTTTTTGTTTCCAAGAGCTCTCCTAAAAAATTAAGTAGGTGGAATTTATGAATCTTACCTTTTCTCTCTCTCTCTGATAGATAGGCTTCTTAAACAGGAAAATGCTTCTAAATGTAACTAAAAGCATACGTAATTGATCTCAATTGGAATGAACAGTAGCTAAGTAATTAAAAGCTCATTATGTCCTCCTGGGCCCTTCTGTTTCTGAGCATTTTAAACGTTTTTTCTTATCACTTAAATGTGGATTTTTCCCTAAGTGTTATGTCAATTTATCATTAAAAATACTTAATCTGGCCGAGTGCAGTGGCTCACGCCTCTAATCCCAGCACTTTGGGAGGCCAAGGCGGGTGGATCACCTGAGGCCAGGAGTTCAAGGTCAGTCTGGCCGACAAGGCGAATCCTCGTCTCTCCTAAAAATACAAAAATTAGCCGGGCGTGGAGGTGCGCACCTGTAGACCCAGCTACTCAGGAGGCTGAGGCACTAGAATAACTTGAACCCCGGAGGCAGAAGTTGCGGTGAGCCCGGATTGCACTACTGCACTCCCGCCTGGGTGACGGAGTAAAACTCTGCCTCAAAACAACAACAAACAACAACAACAACAACAACAACAGAACAAAAAAACAAAACCCAAAACTTAACCCATTCCACATAGCGTTCATTAGTTTACATACCTGACTTAAAGTCAAAAATTTTTAGCATGACCATTAGTCACTGATCTATGTGGCCACTGCTGGCATGGTCATATAGAGCAACTTTAAGACACTGTCTACGTATACGGCTCACTGCTAGTGACTGGTACATCATTATCTGCATTGCCCAGAGACAGAGACCCAGGCCCTGAAAGATCACGCTATTTTGCTTGAGCCCTCTCATAAATTAATAGCACAGCCGAGAACTGACTTAGGTCCGGACTTCTAATGTGAGTTTCCTCCATTGAGCATGGCTTGGTTCTCAGCTCATGGAGAGAAATCCTAGGTTCACAGATATATCAGAGATGGCAGCTGATACTGACAAGGAGTTTTGTCCTGTTGTAATGATTATGTGATAAATATAGTCAACATTTATTAAGCAGTAAAAATGTACCAGGCCTCTGTTAAGTGTCTTACGTGCATCAGCCCACACAATCCTCACACGCTATGAGATAGGGCTAGTGTTTCCCCAATTTTCTCTTGGGGAAATGGGGAAAGAGAGAGGTTAAATAACTTGGTTCAAGTTCACTCAAGTAGTGAGTAGCAGAACTGGGACTAGATCCAGTTTTGTAAACAAAAAGAGCTTTTACCACTGGGAGCTACAGGCTGGACATGCAACGTCCTAGCATCACGCTGGCCCTGTAGTATAAAATGGCAAACGTGCCTCTTACAAAAAGATTATTTCAGGTCCATCTCACTGTCTTTAGAGACCTGACTATTGAGTCAATTTTTTTTTCCCCGGGAGGTCATTTTCATACTTGAATGTTACTGTTTGGGATCATAAGAATCAACTCTGGACTGGGCGCAGTGACTCACGCCTGTAATCCCAGCACTTTGGGAGGCCAAGGAGGGTGGATCACTTGAGCTCAGGAGTTCAAGACCAGCCTGGCCAACATGGTGAAACCCCATGTCTACTAAAAACACAGAAATTAGCCATGCATGGTAGCAGACACCTGTAATCCCAGCTGCCTGGGAGGGTGAGGCACAAGAATCGCTTGAACCTGGGAGGTGGAAGTTGCAGTGAGCCAAGATCGTGCCACTGCACTCCAGCTTGGGTGAAATAGTGAGACTCTGTCTCAAAACAGAAAAATATAAACTGTGAGCATTCATTCTTTAATTAACACAAAGGCCTAAAGGTGGAGAGCCTGGGTTCACATCTTCGCTCTGTCATTTACCCACCATGTCAACCCGGGCACACTTAACCAGTTTGAGTTTCTTCAGATGTAACATGAGGATTTTAATAATGTCCCACCTCATAGGGTTTTCTTAAGGACTGGATAAAATAATGGGTATAAATGCTTAGTTTATTGCTTAGCACATAGTAAATGCTCTGTAACCATGAACTAGTAGTCTTTTTATCATCAGCACATTTTTGTTGAACACCTATTATGTCAGACATTGTTAGTGCTACTCAGTATGGGCTCTAAAACTTTGATGCAGGAGATATTTGGGGTGACATTCTGGGTGTAGGGAGAAGAGGAGGCAAAGGACTTGTCTTAAAGCTGGTCTATAAAACATTCTGTTTGAGAAACATCGGTTGAATATACCAAAGACTTGTGAGGGTAGACTGACAGATACCATGGAGGGGCTAATACCCCTCTTAATCCATCCCTTGCGGCCACAGCTCTAGGATAACAGGGAATGCATATACATATCTACGTACCTGGTATTGTGCTAGTAAAGAATAGGATATGACACCATTTTTAAGAACCTGACCATCTGGCTGGAATAATGGACATGTAAATGCCTCATGTGGTAGGAGACTTTCTGATGGAAAGACCCTGCCAAGCCCTGTGGCAACATGGGAGAGGGAGCTGACAATATCTTCTGGAGTTGGGTACCACTTCACATGTATCACATATGAGCTGGGTTTTGTAGGATCTGTGAGACTATGCCAAGCGGAGAACCGCAGCCAGGGCCATCTCAGCAGACAGAACAGCATGTACCACACCTATCACTACCATTTAAAGGACTGGGATATTCGAAAACCAGTGTTTGGGAAATAGCTTAGGAGTCAATGTGGCTGCAATTTAGGATATAGGCTAGACGCAGAACACCAGATTAATGGTGGGACCAGATTACCTGCAAGGGTAAGGCATTTAGGTTTCATCATTTAGATAATGGCTAGCTCTTGATGATATTTCAACAAGAAAATAATATGATCACATCCATATTTTAGGGAGATTTAAAAATCAGAGTATAGCACCATCTAAGGGCCTCTCCAATTGCATTTGTCAAAATATGCTAGAGTGTACCTCAATAATAAACAAACCGCACACCTCAAAAGCTCAACAGAAGTCTCTTTCTCTCCCTCACACACTCCATGTCCCATGTGGGTCAGTCTTTGCTCCACATGGACCCTTGACAGGCTGTCTTGTAGCTGCACCATCTGGATGGAGTACAGGCCTCAAGTCAGGAAGGGAAGAAAGCTTTTGTCACATGGTCTTACCTAACCACAGAAGAGCTGGGATGGTTGACTAGCGAATGGAATATTTGCTAAGCTATAACCATCTCTGCCACACCAATAGAAAAAGAAATTCAACTATCAAGATAGGGTAGTTTAAGAGATACTGGCAGAGTGGGGGTGGGGTTGGATACAACACTTAGAACTTGTGGAGCTCATCTTGGGCCAAAAAGCCATGGAAAGGCTGGGCGCAGTGGCTCACACCTGTAATCCCAGCACTTTGGGAGACTGAGGCGGGCGGATCACGAGGTCAGGAGATCAAGACCAGCCTGGCTAACGTGGTGAAACCTCATCTCTACTAAAAAAAAAATACGAAAAATTAGCTGCGCGTGGTGGCATGGTCCTGTACTCTCAGCTACTCGGCAGGCTGAGACAGGAGAATCACTTGAAGCCGGGAAGCAGAGGTTGCAGTGAGCCAAGATCGTGCCACATCACTTGAGCCTGGGCGATAGAGCAAGTCTCCATCTCAAAAAAAAAACAAAAGCCATGGAGAAAGTGGTGATGCCTATAAAATATGTCCTTCTGTGTCCCATCCATTGCTTTCAGCGCTGCCCATAGATAATTGTCAGTGGCCCTCTACGTAGGCAGTTGTGGGCAATTAAGAAGTGTTAAGTTTAGCCTAAAGCTGCCTCTTTACATATTTTAAGTTTGGCCTAAAGTGTCTCTGTACATAGTGAATTGTAACCTAACTGGATGTGTAAAGAGCCTGTACCCTCCTCTTGTGCCAGTCACAGTTTCGGCCAGAGGTAGCCAACTGTTCAAACTGTGTTCCAATAAGGCAAATGGCAAGCTGTAGCCAATCCGCCTGTTTCTGTACCTCACTTCCTTTTTCCTTCCATCGCTTTCCTTTTCCTGTCCATGAATTTTCTGGGACCATGTGGCTGTGATGAAGCCTCTCTGAACCTGTTCTTGTTTGGGGGCTGCCCGATTTGTGAATCATTCTTTGCTCAATTAACCTGTGTTAAATTTAATTTGTCTAAGGTTTTTCTTTTAACAGAAGTAACTTGATGGAGATTCTAGGTCTGGTGGGGTCTGGGAGGGCCTGTGGAGATGCAAGGCCACGGCCAGATATGGACTTTTCAGGAATGTGGATCCTGCTGTACGTACTTCCCCTTTTACCTCTCTGGCCTCTCTGTGAGTGAAAATTAACTCAGTGGCCTCTGGTTGAAAGATAAAGACTTCTTGCAGAACATATGGGGAGAGGAGACAAAAAAGAGACAGAGAAAGAATGGCATAAAGAGAGAAGAGAGACACAGAACAAACTACTTTATGCCAGGGTAAAGGCATAAAACATGACAATATGTTAATAGTGGTTGTTTAGAGGCAGTGGGATTATAGATTCCCTCCCCTCCCCGTCCCCTCCCCCTCTCCCCTCCCGTCCCTTCTCCCCCCTCCCCGTCCCCTCCCCATCCCCGTTCCCTCCCCTTCCCCTCCCCCTCCCCTCCCTCTCCTCTCCCCTTCCCCTCCCCCTCCCCTTTCCTCCCCTTCCCTTCCTTTCCCGGAGCAGGAGGCTCCCACGTTGGCCAAGGCTGGAGTGCAATGGCCCAATTACGGGTCACTGCAACCTCTGCCTCCCAGGTTCAAGTGATTCTCCTGCCTCAGCCTCCTGAGTAGTTGGGACTACAAGCAATCTCCATCATGCCCAGATAATTTTTCCTTTTTGTATTTTTGGTAGGGACAGAGTTTCAACATGTAGCCCAGGCTGGTCTCAAACTCCTGACCTCAATTGATCCGCCTGCCTCGGTCTCCCAAAGTGCTGGGATTACAGGTGTGAGCCGCTGTGCCCGGCCTTTTTCTGTTATTTTACTGCCTTTTTTCTGTATTCTCCCATTTTATACTTAAGCAGTAATCATTTTCATTTAAAGGCAAATTGTTTTATTTGAAACAAATCAGAGGTTCCTCTATTTATTCTGACAGTGGCTCTGTAGGGTTGACACCTAGCATTTTGATTATTTTTTGCACTACACAAATGAAGAACAGAAAAGACCAGCAAAATATTCCAATTTCTCAGTGAAACTAACACTAGACTCAATCAAGGATCTGAGGCTAGAGTTTGGACAATTGCCCAGGCAGGCTGGGGAGGCGGGGCTCCAGGGAATGGGGGTGGAACCTGGCCTTGGGAGTGGAGCTTGGTTTTGGGGGTGGAGCCTGGCCTTGGGAGAATGGAACCTGGCCTTGGGAGTGGAGCTTGGTTTTGGGGGTGGAGCCTGGCCTTGGGAGACTGGAGCCTGGCCTAGGAAGTGGAGCTTGGCCTTGGGGGTGGAGCTTGGTTTTGGGGGTGGAGTCTGGCTTTGGGGAAATGGAGCCTGGCCTAGGAAGTGGAGCTTGGCCTTGGGGATGGAGCTTGGTGGCTGGGCATAGGCCACCGTCACTGCCACCAGGATGGAGGCAAATCAGGATGCAGCAGACCCAGGATCAGTGCTGCTCACCCAGACTTACATTTCTTCCTATATGTTCAGGGCTGAGATTTACATCTGACTCCTCAACTCTCTGGAGAATATTCTATTTCATCTGCCCATGACTTAATAATGAAAAGAATTATATTTGATTGTTAAGAATCTCTTACTGATTTAAATACTTTTAAAAAACACTTCGTAAAGACGAAATGGGTGTTAATTTTGTATTTAGTGCTGTGACTCTAGTCAGCAGTGAGCAGCAATATTATCTGAACAGACATAAAGATGAACACTTAAGGGACCAAAAGTTCGGGGCTTGCAAAATAATTTGCAATGACTGCGAATTATCTCCCTGTCTAAAACAACTCAGGATGGTAACTTGTGGTTGTGCAGTGGGCATTCTTTCCCTCTGCATCATTGCAGAGGTTATGCAAGCGTTCTGATTTTCCAGCTGTTTCTAATCAACTTAAATGCTAATTTAAAAACATGCTCTGAACTGAACTCACACCATCGCCTGACATCATTGTTCCTGCTTTAAGCAGCCCAGGGGAGCAGAATCTTCTTAGTGTCCGTTTACAGTGCATACTTTTGTTCCTCACAGAGAGGGTAACTACTAAATACTGTTGATTAAGCCAGTCTGCTCTCTTCTCTCTTCAGCCCCCTTTTCTTTGTAAGTCTCGTTAGAGAGACTGTGTGCCAAGCCAGGGCATGTAGTCCAGTGTGGTGTTTGACATGGGCCAAATATGATAACTAAGGCTTCAGATGACATCACCAGGTTCTGAATATTAGCCAGAGCCCAGAGATTGTTCAAACTACTTACAAACTGTTCAAACTACCTATAAACTGTTCAAACTACCTGCAGACTTCCTACAAACTGTACTATCTTCTCACTTCTGACCATAAATGTGAACACCCCAAGCAAAATGCTAGCAAAACTTATTCTACAAGATAGTAAAGGACTGTAACAATCAAGTCCCATGTGAGGGAGTATAGAATAAGTGTAACTGGTAAGAGCCCAGCCTCTAAAAACAGGAAAACTCGTGTCCAATTTTAACTCCCACTTACCGCACAATTAACTTCACCTCTCTAAATACTAATTTTTCCATCTGCATAATGGAGAGACTATGTCTCTCATTGGTTTATTGAGTGCCTGGCTCAAAATTGGAGAGGAAACTATAGGAAGAAAAATGGCTCACAGTCAGTGGAGAGCAGAACCAGGATTCAACCTCACCTTCATTGGACTTAGAACCTGAGTTCTTAACCTCTAAGCTGTAATGGAACCATGAGGCAGACATAAAAAACCATAGGTTTGCTTTTCTGCTCAGAAAATAATAATATAAGAAACCAGAAGGAAACCATGAAGGAAAGTATATAGACTTGGCCACATAATTTTTTTTAACTTTTCATATAAAAAGCAGTTTAAATAAGTTTCAGAAGTAAATAACACACCACAATGAGCAAAATATTCACAACATATTGTCAACCTAAATCGCAGAGCCTCTCTAAAAGAGGAGATGTTACTTAAGAATAGAGCTTTGCAATGGGAATAGGCATGTCATAGTGAACTATGTGCATTTTCAGGGAGGTAAAGAAAGACAAAGGTTTCCAAAGAGAAAAATGAGGAGGATTACATAATTGTTTTGAAATCATTATCCTTGGCTACAAAGATCAATAACAAGGGTGACGCCAGTCTGAGTTTGGAGAGGCCAGTTGCTGGGCAGATGTTCTTGCAGGAGTATTTTTTTGTGTGTAAGATTGTGATGGCCTTTGTGCAAGGTTGTGGTTTTTGTAGTCTTTTTTGTTATCACACACTGAAGCATGAGAACCCACTTTCCAGGGCCTCCCCTGGCTCTGTTTCTCAGGATTTTGTTTTCTTTTTCTTTTTTTTTTTTTTTTTTTTTTTTGAGATGGGGTTTTCCTCTTGTTGCCCAGGCTGAAATGCATTGGTGCGGTCTCAGCTCACTGCAACCTCCGCCTCCCAGGTTCAAGTGATTCTCCTGCCTCAGCCTTCAAAGTAGCTAGGATTACAGGTGTGCCCCACTACACCTGGCTAATTTTGTATTTTTAGTAGAGATGGGATTTCGCCATGTTGGCCAGGCTGGTCTCGAACTCCTGACCTCAGGTGATCCACCCGCCTTGGCCTCCCGAAGTGCTGAGATTACAGACGTGCGCCACCATGCCCGGCCTTTCTCAGGATTTTCTTAACATTCGTCACTCCATTTTAATTCCAATAACTTTCACGGTATATCGGTTAATATTTTAATACAAAAGCATCTTTAAAGGTGTTTTAACATATGAATATTCAATGAACAAAGGCAAAATTGAAAATTCAGAAAATAAGAAACACAAATGTGAAGCCAATAAATGTGAGGAAAATATTCAAAGAAAGAAAAACTATCCGGAATCATTAGATCGAGAGAATGACCATGCTGTACAGGTCCTTTCTTGGCCCCCGTTTTCCTCTGACTCCCATGTCTTCCTGAGCTGGGCATGCGAGGCCTGTCAGAACTCAGCCTCTGCTGACCTGCCAGCTTCCGTTCCTCCTCTTCTCCTCCATACCGTGTGGTCCAGCCCGCAGGACATGGTAGGCTCCTCACATTCCCAGATTTCACTTTCCTGGTGTTGTCTATCTGTGAGCCGCTCTGCTGAGGCATGAATTCATATTACAGACGTATGAGGGGTATGAGCTGTGAGTCACCCAGCTAGTGAGTGAGCCTCGCTGGCTTCAAGCCTTCTCAATGGACTGAGCCTTATTGTTTCATATTCATCGTTAGGGCATTCTCATAAAGTAATAAAAGGTGTTTCTTTTTACAAAATGATCATGAAGTGGAAGTTAAGTCAAAGCATGGAAGTGTTAGGAACTTTTGGTTCTCAGCCAGAACAAAGAAATCTTGGGTATCAAATGTGCTACGCTGCAGCAGCCATAGTGGTATTCACGGATAGAATATTCTAGCAGCCCTGCAGACGAATCCCTTTGCACGTTAGGAGTCTACTGCCTTGCTCTTCCCTGCATGTGTGTGCCTTGAGGCTTCAGTGCCTTTGCTCCTGTTTCTCACCCTTTTGCTTCCCTTCCCCACCTCTGAGGCCAAACCCCCAACAGCGCTTCCTCTGCAAATGGCAGAGTGGGTCTTCTCATCTTTGTATTGCCTCCATGCAATGTGTAGCACGGAGGTTAAGGGCATGAACTTGAGAGCCAGGCTACCTAGGTTCAATCCCACCTCGGTTATTTATCAGCTATGTGATCTGGAGCCTGGTTACGTAACCTCTCTGTGTCTCAGTTTCCTCATCTGCTAAACTGTGATAATAATAGCACCTGTCATAGGGATGTTGTAAGCCTTAAATAAATTAATAGCTATAACCTGCTGAGGACAGCGTCTGACATATAGGAAGCAGTGTTGTTATTCTACTACAAACCTTTCCGTGCTTCATTATGTTACCGGAAAAGGTCTCAGTCCAGACCCCAAGAGAGGGTTCTTGGATCTCGTGCAAGAAGGAATTCAGGGCAAGTCCATAGGGTAAAGTGAAAGGAAAGTTTATTAAGAAAGTAAAGGAATAAAAGAATGGCTACTCCATAGACAGAGCAGCCCTGAGGGCTGCTAATTGCCCATTTTTATGGTTATTTCTTGATTATATGCTAAACAAGGGGTGGATTAGCACCTCCCCTTTTCAGACCGTATGGGGTAACTTCCTGACATTTCCATGGCATTTGTAAACTGTCGTGGTGCTGATGGTAGTGTAGCAGTGAGGACAACCAGAGGTCACTCTTATTACCATCTTGGTTTTGGCGGGTTTTGGCCAGCCTCTTTACTGCAACCTGTTTTATCAGCAAGGTCTTTATGACCTGTATCTTGTGCCAACCTCCCATCTCATCCTGTGACTTAGAATGCCTTAACCGTCTGGGAATGCAGCCCTGTAGGTCTCAGCCTTATTTTACACAGCCCCTATTCAAGATGGAGTTGCTCTGGTGCACACTCCTCTGATAATTGTTAACAGTTTTTATATACAGCAAGACCTTTTTTTTTTTCTAAGTACTACCATAACTCAGTCATGTAGGAAGAGTGTAGTCCCTTTAACTTGTTTGTAGTTGTTCTGGGCTTCCTCATGAATTGACAACTACCACCTCCATCCCTCTTTCTCTGAGAGATAAAGTAACCAAACTTACTTTGGCTTTGCAAACTGAGTTTGTTCCAATAATTTAAGCATCTCATTGACAACATCCAGTCTTTGGGAAGTTTGTTTACTTGCATGCCCCCAATTCTACCCTCTGGGGTTTACAGAGACAAGGAGGGAGGATGGCCTACCTCTGATGGAGGATCACAGGGTCCTTCGATCCATGCCACACTCTCTCACCCTCTGTTTCCCCAGCTGAGAGAGGATGTTCCTGCATTCTACTGGGGCCTACCACCACTGACTCACACTTAGCTCTTTCTCAACTCAGGAATCATCTTCTTGCTTATTTAGTCCCCCAAGGTGTAGACTCCTCCATGACGCTGTATGTTCTCCATTCTTCCCCCTATTTCAGGTGGTCTACTCCCAGCACTCCTGCAATGATGCTGTCCCTAACTTAGCATCCCTGCTGTATGACTTGGGTGTGGGAAGCCTAGGAGGGCAGATTGGAACCTTCCTCTGCCCGAACTGGCTGCTCTGCCCTTTGCTTTATCCTGGGATACCAAGGTTGTCCCAGGACCCCCTGCCAAACTCCTAAGTCCTCCATCCTCCAATATTTCTCAAGTCCATCACACATACAACCATCTCTGCCAACCGTCTTATTCCCACAATCCCTTGGAAGAGAAAGGGGCTTTCCTCCTCTTCTCCCTGATTGGCTGTACTGTGAAGCTCTGTGGTCTGGACAGCCAAGCCTAGCCCGTTCTTTCCTTCACATCATATCTCAATAGTGCCTGGCTCTCAAGCTGATTTTGTAATGAAAAGTTCTATTTTGAATGTTAGAATTTGACTGCTAATGTTTTCTTGTTTTTGGCATTCATTTCTTTGGCAACAATTTAAATCCCCTCAAGGCAGATGAAGAAAGAAGGTTAAATACAGTAAACTCCCCAATGTACCTACACACAAAATACAAAATATTGGCCCTGTTGTTTGAGTTTATCTCCCACTTAGCCTTTGCATTCAGCAGGGCACGGGGGGATTTTCTCCTACTTAGATTTGAATCCTGACTATACCACTTACTCAGTGATCTTACACAAGTTGCTTAGCCTGTCTGTGTCTGTTTTTCTTTCTTCTTTTTTATGTGTAAAATGCAAACAAAAATAATAGCTCGTGTGATTGTTTGGAGAGTTAAATGACTTACTGCATGGAAAATTTTCAGAACAGTGCCTGGCATATAGTAAGTGCTCAAAAAATAAGAACAACGATTATTCTGAGCTCAATCCTTGTCCAAAGTATTTTCCTCAATAAAGGTTGGTTGAAAGATCACACAGTGAGGGTATAGATCAGGAGGTCTGAGGATCAGCATAGAAATATGTGTTTAATTGCATTGTTTCCTAAAAAAGAGGTCACTTGTAAGAGCAACACTCCCGCCTACTGCAATCGTAAGAGAAATTACAATAATAGTAGCTTTGGGAGGTGAAAAGGGTATGGCCCATCTCACTTGCGGTTGTGTTCAGATGAGCCACATGGCCCTGGATAAGCCATGTCACTCTTCTAATCTTTCTCCCACGGTTTCATGAGATGTCTGGGTTTCTTTCAGTAAGCAATTACATTCCTTATTTCTCTGAAGAAAGAGCATGTAGCTTTTTGACTTAGATTTGTGGAGTAGCATCCACTCAAAACCCCCTTGGATGATTGAGTCCTGCTTTAAATGGGTCTCTTGTACAACAAGACAAATTCAAGCGAATTTTTGTTGAACTTTCTGCAAAACAATATTTTTCTTAGATCCGCTCAAATAGAGTATGCAAATTAAATATACCTGATCATAGTGTTGCACACCTGTAGTCCCAACTACTCAGGAGGATAGCTTGAGCCCAGGAGTTTGAGGCTGCCATGAGCTATGCTTATGCCACTGCCCTCCAGCCTAGGTGACTGAGTGAGACTCTGTCTCTGAAAAAAAAAATAAAGAAAGAAAGAAAGAAAGAGAAAAATTGGAGTTGTCTAAACGCATGTACTTTGAACTCTTTACCTCAAGTTATTTTGTTTAAAGGCTTTGATGAATTTAAATGTGAAATCCTGTATGAATAAACCAATAGCAGCAAATGTTTAAGCGCTCTTTGAGAAAGCTCTTACTTAAAAAATAAGAAACCTTAAAGCATTACATTCATATTACATTCATTTCTGTTACTCTGTTTAGTCATCATAATGTGGATGTTTCTAGTGAAAGTTCTCAAACTTTCTTCAAAGTATTCAATATGGCCCAGATTCTAATGCTTTAAGAATCTTGGCATAATTATTTGACTATCATTTTAAAAATATTTGATAGCTATAAGTGGTGATAACTAATCTTTAATGTTACATTCATAAGTTTGTTTATAATCTGCATATTCTATGTGAGTGGACCTAGAAAAAATATTGTTGTGAAGAAAAGTTCAAGAATCATCTTTAGTTCCATCTTATATTATTATATTAATTAATTTATATATGTATATGTTGTCTAACAACTGTTCATATGTTAATTTAACTGTCTTCCATTTAAGAGTATATTAACAAATTATTTAAATACTGTAACCACATAGTCCTGGGCTAAATAAATGGCCAAGATGAGAATAAATATAGTGACATAGGTTTAAGCCAACAATGCTGATGAAAAGAATATTCACACATGAAATTTTTTCACTTTATTTTTCTTCAGTACAAGTCCTTTGTTCGGACTAGTAATTACTCATTTTCCATTGTTTACTTTCAGTTCTCCAAATTCATCTCTTTTTTCTTATTCTTCTTATTTTCTTTTTATTTATTTATTTATTTATTTATTTATTTATTTATTTATTTATTTATTGTTTTTGAGACGGAGTCTCCCTCTGTTGCCCAGGCTGGAGTGCAGCGGCACAATCTCAGCTCACTGCAACCTCTGCCTCCTGGATTCGAGGGAGTCTCCTGCCTCAGCCTCCCGAGTAGCTGGAATAACAGGTGTGTGCCACCATGCCTGGCTAATTTTTGTATTTTTAGTAGAGACGGGGTTTCGCCAGATTGGTTAGGCTGGTCATGAACTCCTGACCCCAGGTGATCTGCCTGCCTCTACCTCCCAAAGTGCTGGGATTACCAGTGTGAGCCACTGCACGCGGTCCCTTTCTTCTTATTTTCTATTTACTTTTAATTTTAGATCATATTCTACTGCTAGTTGAATGCCTTTCTCCATTCAGACTTTAGAGGCTGTAAAATTTCCTTTCTGGGATCTTTTAAAAATTGTTTTATTTTTCTTTCTGGTTCTCTCTTTCTTCTCTGTAATCTTATGGTGTTCCTTCCTGGCATGTCATGCTTTTACAGAATTTTACTGATTGTGATTGTTTCCTGAGCTCTCTATTTATCAATACTGTGCTTGAAAGCAAACTATCAATGCTGTGAACTGCCCTCAAATGCTTATGTATCTGTCAATAAAGCTGTATGGAAATAAAGAAATTAGACAATGGTTTATAGTGAGCAGTCTGTGCTGGAATATGCCTGTTCTCTTTCAAATGGAAAATCATGCTTTCTCCTTCCACGGGTTAATACTTTTCTTTTCTGAGTAATCCATAGTCCCTTGCCATGCCCAAGGTGGAATTACTTGATCTAAAGGCTGCATAGGATGGTAGAATTCTTCCAGCATTGACACCCTCTTTGTGCGTGTAAGTATAAAGATCAATTCTGAATCAACCTTTAGGAAGATGAACAAAATGAGCTCTGATAGACTGGTCAAAACACGCACTATTAAGAGGAAAAAATGTTAAATTCTAAAGGACTTGCCAAGCTGTATATCTAGAAGTTGCATGAATAAAAAGTAGAATCAAATGGTGTGAAAGCTGGAAAGGGCCTAGAATCATCTAGGCATTCTCTCTCTCTCTCTTTTTATTTTTTATTTTTGAGACAGAGTTTTGCTCTTGTTGCCCAGGCTGGAGTGTAATGGTGCCATCTTGGTTCACTGCAACCTCCTCTTCCCGAGTTCAAGCGATTCTCCTGCCTCAGCCTCCTGAGTGGCTGGGATTACAGGCATGCACCACCACGCCCAGCTAATTTTGTATTTTCAGTAGAGACTGGGTTTCTCCATGTTGGTCAGGCTGGTCTCGAACTCCCGACCTCAGGTGATCTGCCTGCCTCGGCCTCGCAAAGTGCTGGGATTACAGACGTGAGCAACCACGCCTGGCATGGGGTCCTCTCATTTTAAAGATGATTAAATAAGGTTCAGGAGAGGCACTGCACCTCATTTCCTAAGCCTCACTGGGAGTGATTGGTAGGTCCAGATGTAGCACCCGGGTCACTGCAATGCCCTCATTGGAGTTTGTTGGAGATGCCAACTTCTCCTTAAATCCATTGCTGCAATGAAAGGTACTGCAACCTTCTAGAGATCTAATGGTTAGGCTAAAACCTAAAGAAATTGGAGGATATATTTTCCTAGTGTTTTGCTTTCATAAAGATTTACTTAAGTAAAAGTTAAATTCAGACTGTCAAAGCTACACCATGGTTTTGAGCCTTTTCTTGTATTTGTGGACTGCTTTCTGTGGATTTTGGTATAGGTACATTCCGTTTTCCCTTATTTTGCATGTAGTTTTAAAATAAGAAGGCATTTGTGGGTAGGGCTGTTTTAATAGAAACATTTGGGAGGAAATTCCACATTTCCAAAGCATACTGTCAACATGGAAAAAAACAAATGTGTTGATTTTTCCCTTGGGCTTGATGTTTCTGCATGGGTCTTAGTCATAGCACAATATATGGAAACCTCATAGGACGTTATTTTAGCAAAGGGCATGAAATAGAATAGTTATCCAAAGAAACAAGACATCCAGGCAGGAACCCAAGCACCCGGCTTTCTAAGATACTTAGCCTCATTTGGAATCGCCACTCCCTTCCTCTGTGTGCAGTGAGTACGACTTTTATGGGCACAGACTTAAGTATGCAGAAATCTACCTAAATTTTTCTATAATGAAACCTAAAGCCTATCTTAAACCTCCATTCTTCCTGAAGATAGAAAGTCTAGCCAGTTCCAAGCATACCTATCACGGCAAGGGTTTTCCAGTCATTTTAGGATTTTCCTTGCCCCCTTCTTCTTTTCCCTGAAAAATGATATACATTCCAGGGGCTTGTCTAGCACCATAGCCAGGGCAGGGATGGCACGGGTGAGAGTGTGTGTTCTCTAGTTGTTCCCTTTTGTACTGTGGCATCCAGTGAGAACAATCCTATCTGGTCCTTGAGTGTGGTTCTGTCTGTACCTACTGGGGGTAAATTCATCTCTGTCTCTTCATGGGCTGCCAGGTGCATTCCCTTATCTTGACCAGGAGATACTTTGTGTGTCTCCCAAATCAGAACCCTGGCCTTTTTCTAAGTACTCTTCTCATTTTTTCTAAATTTTTTTTTTTTTTTTTGAGACAGAGTCTCACTCTATCATCAGGCTGGAACGCGGTAGTGCGATCTCGGCTCACTGCAACCTCTGCCTCCCGGATTCAAGCGATTCTTTTGCCTCAGCCTCCCAAGTAGCTGGGAATACAGGTGCATGCCACCACTCCTGGCTAATTTTTTTTGTATTTTTAGTAGAGACAGGGTTTCACCATGTTAGCCAGCATGGTCCCGATCTCCTGACCTCGTGATCCACCTGTCTCAGCCTCCCAAAGTGCTGGGATTACAGACATGAGCCACTGCTCCTGGCCATTTTTTCTATCTTTATCTACACTCTTCCCTCTATTTGTAAAGGTTTTTTCCCACCCCAATAATCTTGCCTCAAAACAATATCCAAAATGAAAAATATCATAAATTCTGGCCACAGTGGGCCCTTCTGCCTCTCTGGCCACAGTCTGTCCAAGTATACCCACAGCTGCTGTCTTTGTTCTAGGCTTATGGAATGGTCTAGACCCTGTAGACACTTGTGACATGGGCCCTAAACTCACTTTTACATTCTATTTTTAAACTGAACTTAGCACAAGGCAGGGCACAAATATACAGTGAAGGATAGATAGATAGGTAAGTAGATATCTATTTGTCTAACTTGCACTCTCTCTTTCTCTCTCTCATTATAATTGTTAGAAATAAAAGTAAGAAGAGGATAGAGAATCAAGAGGCCCGCCTACAATCCCCACGGCTGCCACAAACAGCCTGTGTGACTTTCAGAGGGTCCCTCAGCTTCCCTGAGCCTCTATGCTTCACCAATATAATGATGGGGTGGGATCAGGGTACGTGAAGACCTCTTTCCATACTGAAATCGGATGAGACACCTTTCTGATGGGCCAGCCTCTCCTCTGAACTCTTTCCTCAGACAGGATTGTTTTCATGAAAGTGGACTCGATGTAACTACTTGCCATGAAACACCTCTGTGCTCAGGGTGAAGTAATTCCCTCACCCCTGCAAGCACGGCTGGTGTGAGCTTACCTTAAAAACAAAACAAAACTAAAGTGAACTAGTTTATCCACAGACAATTAAGAAGCAAAGTCTTCTAAGCAACTAGAAATCTATGGCAGCAATAACTTTACATTAGAGTTCAACTTGTGAGATGAATCAGGTTGTGGATTATCTTCCACACATGAATTTTCTGTCTCCTGGCGTGAATAGAAAGCACATCTTTTAGCTGCATGGTGCCATGCTGGTGCTTCATCCTGTTCCTGGCAGTGGGATGCGGACTTCGAAAATCAAGTTCTAGCATTTTAGGAGCTTAATGCTGAAGTTGTGGTTGTTAGGTTCTCACCCTGATTCTTGGTTTTGTTTTGTTTTGAGACGCAATCTCGCTGTGTCGCCAGGCTGGAGTGCAGTGGTGCGATCTCAGCTCACTACAACCTCCACCTCCCGGGTTCAAGCGATTCTCCTGCCTCAGCCTCCCGAGTAGCTGGGACTACAGGCGTATGCCACCACACCTGGCTGATTTGGTATTTTCCATAGAGATGGGGCTTCATCGTGTTGGCCAGGATGGTCTTGGTCTCTTGACCTTGTGATCCATCCGCCTCGGCCCCCCAAAGTGCTGGGATTACAGGTATGAGCCACAGCGCCCGGCACACACCCTGTTTTATGAACAACATCAAAATGGCAGAACCATTGCTGACTTACGGTTCACAGGAAGAATGTGCTTTAACAATTCCCAGTACTATCAGTATTGTGAAATAATTCCTCTGAAAGATAAGAATCACTGGCTTCTAGGCGCTTCTTTTCTCTCATCGTCATATTCTTTTACCCCAGTTTCCTTACATTTTTTTAAATTGTTTCAGAGTTATTTTAGACTGTGAGACAATTATTAAATCAAAATTAATTTATCCAATACCCTTTTATTAGAAGTTTTACTAGAAAATGTATGCTTTTATTTTTTCTTAATCCGGTTCTGTAAAAATGTCTTGTAATTTTATTCGTGTATAATTTTGGTTACTTGAATTTTTAAAGAAAACATTGTTTTTGACTATGGGAGTCAACTCAACATAGCAAAACCATTTTTGAGATAATGATATAACAGGTAGTGAAACAGCTTAAGAATTCCAGAAAAGAAAAACAAAAGAAAACTTGATGTAGGCTTTGCTCTAGATGTCACTGGATTAGAATGAGTTTAACATTAGTTAAAACTGCTTTGAGTTGTTTGGATACTTAAGATTGCCATATTTATCTTGAAAGCACTAGTGGTAAATCATCCAAGAGCACTAGGATTGTGATAAAGAATTTGTGAGGTTTGGTGGATCCACCGCCACCCCCGCACCACCTTCCCATGATGAGCTATCACTAATAAATTCTGGATATTTAGATATTATGCCAGCCATGTAATCAGATTTATTTAATTGGGCCGAGCAGGTGTGTATTTACTTTAGAAAAAATGAAAAAGACAAGATTTATGAGAAATACTTGAAGGCAGTAAACTGTGGCCAACTCTTATCAGTTGGTGTTTCTACAAGTTCAGAATATTTTAAACCTGATTTACTAGACCTGGGACTTTTCAACGTGGACTAATTATTTACTCAAAGACATAGATGTGAAAATTTTAGGCAACCTTCTAAACCTTTTTCACCATGGATGAAACTATAACTTAAAGAATAATACTTAGAAGGATTAATTGGAAATCAGAGTTTGAAATAAAACTTGGACCACTTTGCATACACTCTTCTTACTTGACGTTTTAGCTGCATAATATGTACTCTGAGTATAACGTTAAGCTTTAACAAATATTTAAAGACAAAGAAACCACATCAATAAAATACTAAAAGGCTCATTTTATATTTGTTTTAGATGTTTTAAATACTTGCAATGGATTAAAAATGATGATTAAAAGGTTGCTTGTAACACAGTTTTGCCTGCTAAATCCTCCACATTTTGTAACCTGTTTTATTTCTTTGGGTGTAAAGCGCTTTTGCTTGCTATTGTGATATTGTACATGTTTTTTCCCAGTTGTATAGTAATGTTTCAGTCCATCATCCAGCTTTGGCTGCTGAAATCATACAGCTGTCAAGACTCGCCTTTGTTTCTGTTAGACTGCTTTTCAGTTCTGTACTGAGTATCTTAAGTACTGTAGAAAAGATGTCACTTACCTTTTTTTTTTTTTTTTTTTGTGAGACGGAGTCTCACTCTGTCGCTGAGGCTGGAGTGCAGTGGTGCGATCTCGGCTCACTGCAACCTCCGCCTCCCAGGTTCAAGTGATTCTCCTGCCTCAGCCTCCCTAGTAGCTGGGACTACAGGCACCCGCCACCACGCCCGGCTAATTTTTTGTATTTTTAATAGAGACGGGTTTCACCATGTTAGCCAGGATGGTCTCGATCTCCTGACCTTGTGATCTGCCTGCCTCAGCTCCCAAAGTGCTGGGATTACAGGCGTGACCCACCGTGCCCGGCCCACTTCTTCCTTTAAGGGTGTTTTGTAATATAGATAAGGACTAGAATTGTGTTTTTAAAGAAAAGCATTAAAGTTTGACGATATACTACCTGTGCTTTCACCATTCAAAGTGCTGTTTAGTAGTTGAAACTTAAACTATTTAATGTCATTAAATAAAGTGACAAAAATTTTTCACCGGCGCGGTGGCTCACGCCTGTAATCCCAACACTTTGGGAGGCCGAGGCGGGTGGATCACGCGGTCAGGAGATCAAGAACATCCTGGCTAACACGATGAAACCCTGTCTCTACTAAAAATACAAAAAATTAGCCAGGCGTGGTGGCGGGCGCCTGTAGTCCCAGCTACTTGGGAGGCTGAGGCAGGAGAATGGTGTGAACCTGGGAGGCAGAGCTTGCAGTGAGCCGAGATAGCGCCACTGCCCTCCAGCCTGGGCAACAGAGTGAGACTCTGCCTCAAAAAAAAAAAATTTTTTTTAAGTTACCTTCCTCTTATTCTAATATATTGTTTGTACCCGTATACCTGTCTACCTTAATAACTAGATATGTTGTGTTAAAGTGTATTCTTTTGCTTTCTATCTATATACGATTGCGTTTTCCTCATCTAAAGTAGCTGATTGTAGAATGAACAGTTCAGGAGTAACATATATACTATTTACCCATATCTTTCTATATATATATGTATAAATCTTCAAGACTCCACCTCAAATGTCACCTCTTCCAAGAAGTTCCGTGATTCCTCCAAGCCAGAAATAATCTGTTTCTGTGCCAAACCTCTTAGTATACTTGATTCTCTCATATCACTCACTATATATTTTGTATTTGGGTTATTTGCATCCTTTTCTGTCTTACTTTCTAGACTGCGAGCTGCCTGAGAACAGAAGACATTCAGTCTTATTCATTAAAGAACAACCATAGGATTTGAGTGTGTGAATGCTCGGAATATTTTCTGAATGAATGCAATGATTGTGTTAATCAGCCTTCACTACGATAATGTTGTGTTTTAAGAGAAAGTTCAGTGGCTTGCAGCAACAAGCATTTATTTCTCCCTTGGAGGTCATGGGCAGTCTGCAGTACTGCTGCTCCAGGCTGCCTTTGGCTTCACATATGCTTCCTGTGTCTTTAGTCTGGGACTCAGGCTGATGGAGATACTTCTATCTAGAATGCGCACTTTCCATAGTGGATGGAGAGTGGATGGAAGATTAGTGAAAAATCTCCAAGAATCTTTTCTTTTTTTCCTCCTGTGACCTGGAGTGCAGTGACGCGATCTCAGCTCACTGCAACCTCCAACTCTGGTTCAAGCGATTCTCCTGCCTCAGCCTCCTGAGTAGCTGAGATTACAGGCATGTGCTACCATGCCCAGCCAATTTTTGTATTTTTAGTAGAAACAGGGTTTAACCATGTTGGCCAGGATGGTCTCGATCTCCTGACCTTGTGATCTGCCTGTGTCAGCCTCCCAAAGTGCTGGGATTATGGGCGTGAGCCACTGCACCCAGCCTCCAAGATTCTTTAAGCCTGCAACTAGCAGGAGTTGCTACTTCCTTCATTCCATTAGCCACAGCAAGTCAGCCAGCCTAACGCAACTTCGCTTGGAAGTACTTTCCTCCTGGGGGTAGGGGCAGGACAGGTGCAGAGGGGAGAGGAAATATTTGCAGAAAAATAATACAATTCACCCCAAAGATAGTGAAGAATTTGGAGTGGAAAAGAAGCAGAACCAGAGAGGAGACTCAGTGCTGTAGCAAAGGTGCCACCAAGCTAAGTAGCTGCCCTCCAAAAAACTGTTCACATTGAATGTCCATCCTTATAAATGCTCTAGTTGGAGAGTTGTCATACATGTAGCTTTAGCCTGCTTGAAAAAATATACACATGTGGAGGAAAATACAGATCAGCTATAGAAAAACATGTAGGCTTAAAACCTTGGAAGAAAACCTAGGCAATACCATTCAGGACATAGGCATGGGCAAAGGCTTCATGACTAAAACACCAAAAGCAATCGCAAGAAAAGCCAAAATTGACAAATGGGATCTAATTAAACTAAAGAGCTTCTGCACAGCAAAAGAAACTATCATCAGAGTGAACAGGCAACCTAGAGAATGGGAGAAAATTTTTGTCCCACAAGCACTGCTGACAAAGTGCTTGCCCTTTGTCAGTCTGCCCATCTGACAGAGGTTTAATATCCAGAATCTACTAGGAACTTAAACAAATTTACAAGAAAAAAAACAACCGCGTCAAAAAGTGGGTGAAGGATATGCACGGACACTTCTCAAAAGAAGACATTTATGCGGTCAATAAACATAAAAAAAGCTCATCATCACTGGTTATGAGAGAAATGTAAATCCAAACCACAATGAGATACCATCTCACACCAGTTAGAGTGGAGATTATTAAAAAGTCAGGAAACAACAGATGCTGGCGAGACTGTTGAGAAACAGGAGCACTTTTACAGTGTTGGTGGGAGTGTAAATTAGTTCGACCACTGTGGAAGACAGTGTGGCAATTCCTCAAGGATCTAGAACCAGAAATACCATTTGACCCAGCCATCCCATTACTGGGTATATACCCAAAGGATTGTAAATCATTCTACCAAAAAGACACATGCACATATATGTTTATTGCAGCACTGTTTACAATAGCAAAGACTTGGAACCAACCCAAATGCCCATCAATGAGAGACTAGATAAATAAAATGTGGTACATATTCACCATGGGATACTATGCAGCCATAAATACGAATGAGTTCATGTCCTTTGCAGGGACATGGATGAAGCTGGAAGCCATCATTCTCAGCAAACTAACACAGGAACAGAAGACCAAACGCATTGATAAGTGAGAGTTGAACAATGAGAACACATGGACACAGGGAGGGGAGGGAGAGCATTAGGACAAATACCTAATGCATGCAGGGCTTAAAACCTAGATTATGGGTTGATGGGTGCAGCAAACCACCATGGCACATGTATACCTATGTAACAAACCTGCACATTCTGCACGTGTATCCCAGAACTTAAAGTAAATATGTATATACATGTAAAAAATATAAATATAATAAAATAAAAATAAAAATGGAATTGATATCCTTCAGTGAAGTGATCCAGGAGAAATGAAAAAGAAGGCTAATCTATTTGGGATCCATGTTTCTTGGAAGATAAAGACAAAGTAACTCAGAGATTACATCAACAATTTCTCCTGCTGACAGCTTCCAATCAAAAGCAAATAGCATGCACATATTTGTCAGGGTCATTGGCAATGGTTCTCCAGCTATTTTGCCCCTTATCATACTTCATTGTGCGTTTTTCCTTCCTGCTACTTGCTTTATCTATTTCCTGCCCCTTCTCTGGGCTTTCTTTTTCTTCTGTGAGTTGCCACACCATTAAGAGGTGGTGTTAAACATGCTATATGGTGTGATATATTATTAATAAATGGAAAATGAAACTACATTTCAGGATGTTGGTTGGGGTTCATAACAAAAAAGAGACTAACATGCAGCCTTTCCCCCCAGGGAACTCAGAATGGATAGCTCTTTTCCCCATCTGACCCAGGCTTAGGGAAGAAATGGAGGGCACAATCTTAATGGAATGATGTTTCTTCTTAAAAATTTTAAAACATCTTTATTGGGATATAATTCACATGTCAGAAAATTCACTCATTTAAAGCGTACAAGTCAGTGGCTTTAATATATTCAGAGTTGTGCAGCCATTGCCACCATCTAAATTTATAGCGTCTTCATCAACTCAAAAAAAAAGAATTCCATACCCACCAGTGACCTTTCCCTATTAACTACCCTCTAACCCTAGGTAATCACTAATCTACTTCTGTCTCTATAAATTTGCCTATTATGAACTTTGCTTAAAAAACAAATCATATAATATGTGGTCTTTTGCCACTTCTTTCTTTCACCTAGCATATGTTTTCAAGACTCAACCATGTCATAGCATGTGTCAATACCTCATACTTTTTTTTTTTTTTTTTGAGACAGAGTTTCGCTCTGTCACCCAGGCTGGAGTGCAGTGGTGCAATCTCGGCTCACTGCAACCTTCAGCCTCCTGAGTAGCTGGGATTACAGGCACGTGCCACCATTCCTGGCTAATTTTTGTATTTTTAGTACAGACAGGGTTTCACGATGTTGGTCAGGCTTGTCTGAAACTCCTGACCTCATAATCTGCCTGCCCCTGCCTCCCAAAGTGCTGTGATTACAGGCATGAGCCACTACACCCAGCCAGTACTTCATATATTTTTATGGCTGAATAGTATTCCATTGTTTGGCTATACCACATTTTGCTTATCCATTCATCTGTTGATGGACATTTGAGTTGTTTTCACTTTTTGGCAATTATGAATGCTGTTGCTATGAGCATTTGTGTACAAGATTTTGAGTGAACATATATTTTCATTTCTCTGGCGTATATACCAAGGTGTGGAATTACTGGGTTGTATGCTAACTCTACGTTTAACCTTTTCAAGGACTGCCAAACTGTTTTCCATAGCAATGGCACCATCTTATATTCTCATCGGCATTGTGCAGGTTTCTGAATGACTCCACATCCTCACCAACATTTGTTATTATCTGTCTTCTTGATTCCAGCCACCCTAGTGTAACTGCCCAATGCGTTCACCTTGCCTGCTGCCTAGTGGGAGCCAGTTTATCAAGACAGGGGAATTGCAATGGAGAAAGAGTAATTTATGCAGAGCTGGCTGTGCAGGAGACCAGAGTTTTATTATTACTCAAATCAGTCTCCCCCAGCATTTGGGGATCAGAGTTTTTAAAGATAATTTGGTGGATGGGGCTTAGGAATTGGGGAGTGCTGATTGGTCAGATTGGAGTTGGAATCATAGGGGGTCGAAGTGAGCTTTTCTTGCTTCTTCTGTTCTTGGGTGCAATGGTAGAACTGGTTGAGCCAGATTACAGTCTGAGTGGTGTCAGTTGATCCATTGAGTGCAGGGTCTGCAAATTATCTCAAGCACTGATCTTAGGTTTTACAATAGTGATGTTATCCCCAGGAGCAATTTGGGGAGGTTCAGACTCTTAGAGCCAGAGACTGCATGACCCCCTAAACCATAATTTCTAATCTTGTAGCTAATTTGTTAGTCCTGCAAAGGCAGACTGGTCCCCAGGCAAGAACAGGGTCTTTTTGGGAAGGGGTATTATCAATTTCGTTTCAGAGTCAAACCATGAACTGAATTCCTTCCCTAAGTTAGTTCTGACTACACCAAGGAATGAAAAAGAACAGCGTAAACCTTAGAAGCAAGGTGGAGTCGGTCAGGTCTGATTTCTTTCACTGTCATAATTTCCTCAGTTAAAATTTGGAAAGGCAGTTTCGCTAGTGCTATATCATGGTGGTTATGATTTGCATTTCCCTAATGACTAATGTTGGGCATCATTTCATTTACTTATTTACTGTTTATATATCTTCTTTACAGAAGTTTCTACTCAAAGACTTTGCTCATTTTCAATTAGGTTATTTATTATTGAGTTGTAAGAGTTCTTTATGTATTCCCAATAATAGCCACTCATCAAATAAGTGATTTGCAAGTATTTGCAGTGTCATAAATGGCATGGAGGTACCCACCCCAGCATGTCCCATTCTATGGGTTGCTTTTTCATTTTCTTGATCATCTCATAGAATGAAGTTCTTCTGTTGTCTTACCATTTTTTTTTCTTTCTTTTTTTTTTTTTTTTTTTTGAGACAGGGTCTCATTCTGTTGCCCAGGTTAGAGTGTGCTGGTTCTGGCATGATCATACAGCTCACCACAGCCTTGAGTTCCTGTGCTGAAGCAATACTCCTGCCTCAGCCTCCCATGTAGCTGGTACCACAGGTGTGTACCACCACACTCGGTTACTTTTTTAAATTTTTTTTTAAAGTCAGGGTCTCACATTTGTTGCCCAGACTGGTCTTGAACTCTGGGCTCAAGCAATCCTCCTGTCTTGGCTTTCCACAGTGCTGGGATTACAGGCATGAGCCACCAAAACCCGCCTGTCTTTGCTCTTGGAATTGACTTTTTTCATGGCACTGCCTCTGTGCTGCTTCTGCTGCACTAAGATGCTGGGTCTGGGGCTGCTGAAAGCTATGGCCTTGCATGCTTTTGTCCCCAGATCTTGACTTCTGTGTTCAGTTTGTCAGCATGAAGGAATTAAATTAGCCCTGACTGTGACTGTACCTCCATAAAAAGCAAAAGCAATCCCACTTTCTCTGTTTGCATAGCAGCTATAGTCCTGAACAAGTCACCGAACAATGAGTCAGCCCAGCTGTGGCCTGGCCAACAGCCTTTGGGGCAACTTCTGCTTCACTTCGATGGACCCCTTTGCACCCCAGCTGGAGCCAAGGTTGCCAAAGCCTTTCAGATTAGAGTAAAAGCTCAGGTGCTCCTTCTCTGGGTCACATCACCATGATATTTGTTCTGTGTTGTGTTACGAAATTATTTAACTCTTCACATTTAGTCTCAGATAATCCAATTAGAAAAGGGTTGGCAGGCACCGTGCACACTATACTGCATGGACTTTAAATCAATTGTCTCTCTTGGAGTTGTTTCAGAGGTACCCCAAAAACTCTATTATTTCCAGTTAACGTTCCATGACCATACCTGCACATTCTCAGTCCTCCCTCTATATGAAATGACCTAATTGAAAATGCTAAACCCATGAATTCCCAAGCATGAATGTGCCTTTGTAAACCTAAAATCTCTGGAGATCCCTTTGTTTTCAATATGCGAGAGGGCTTTGGTGTGCAAAGCCTGCTTTCAGTTTCAGGCAGTCTTTCAATTAGCAAATGTAAGCATGTAGGGAGCTATTAAAGGTCAAATGTTCTTAACTTCATTATTAAAACTGACTCAAAGCACACAGAAATTAGGAGCCGTTTATGGAATTCTCAGAGCTGCCGGGCCTGCCATGGACAGACTTACAAATATTAGTTTCACCACTCTTGAAACTCTGTGCAGTTGGGCGGACTCCATGATTGATGACAACACTTACTATCTTAGGTAGGTTTCTGGAACAGGTCCTGAGACCTGTTTTTTAATAGTGTTCTGAGGAACCACATCTGCAAAGGAGTGCAGGTTCCAGGCCTGGGCACAGAAGGAAGATGAGCTGCGATGTACTTGTTCAGAGGCCTCAGTCAACCCCACGGGGAGAGTGCAGCTGGAAAGGCCCTTCCGGTTATCCTTAATCAGGCAAGAGGGCTGAATCTTTGTACCTAGCGTGAGCCAATCATTGAATGTGGGCTGGCCCTGTGGTAGGGGTTGACTTTGGGCTAGGCAGCAGCTAGGCAGTTCCTGGGGAGAAACTCAACTGGGAGCTGCCACTAACACTTCTGGCAGCTGGGGGAGTGGGTACCTTGGTCCACCCAGGGACACATGGACTGCACGTCACTCTCCACCACACACCACCTGTGCCTCATGCTGTAGGCTGCAGTGCCATCAATGATGTGGAGGACACCCACCGCAGCATGTCTATTTCCCAAGCCTCTTCATTCCCTCCTCCATCATCTGCCATCTTTTTGTTTTTCTTTTTTTATATTGTTCATAGCAAGGTAGGAATTTTCCCTGAACAAAAGTAATGGGTTTTGACCTGTTATATTTAAGCCATGCGTGGTGGTACATACTTGTAGCCCCAGCTACTCGGGAGGCTGCAGTGGGAGGATCACTTGAGCTCAGGAGGTCAAGGCTGCAGTGAGCTATGATAACATCACTGCACTCCAGTTTGAGCAAAAGAGCAAGACCCTGTCTCCAAAAAAATTTTTTTAAATTTAAAAATAAATTAATTTTAGCCTAAAGCTGCCTCCATATATATTTTAAGTTCAGGCTAAAAGTTTTTCCACATATAGTACATAGTGAACTGTAGCCTAACTGAATGTGTGAACAGGCTGTAACCTACTCTTGTGCCAGTCACAGAGTTTCAGCCAATCAAAGGTGGATAACTGTTCAAATCGTGTTCAAATAAGTCAAACACCAAGCTGTAACCAATCCAGCTGTTTCTGTACCTCACTTCTGTTTTCTGTACCTTACTTTCCTTTTTTTGCCCATAAATCCTCTGCAATCCAGTGGCAGCACTGCAGTGGCTCTGAACCTATTCTGCTTTGGAGGACTGCTCAGTTCATAAATCGTTCTTTGCTGAATTACACTCTGTTAAATTTAATTAGTCTAAAGTTCTTTCAACAGCCCAGAGGAAAGGGCCAATGGCAGCTGGTGAAAGAGATCGTTCTCAGAACTACATTAATAACTTCTAAATGCAAACATCTATTATTTTTGTTTTAGGGTCCAATATTTATTCTCAGAAGTTCTCTTTCATGATGATTGACATTCATTCAACAAACCCACATCGCACACAGGTGTCTACTGTAGGTAACTGTGTAGTTCAATTTGCTCTTTAATGTCTTGTTGTGCCTTGTTTCCTCCCCATTGCTGCACATGAACCTTGTCTGTGACAGCCCCCACTACCTCAGCCTTGGCCCACAGATGAGGCCATCATTGAACTTCATAGAGAACCTGGTACCCTTCCATCAGCACACTCCTGATGACCTTTGTAAGGCTGCATCTGGGTCTCCTGCAGAAACTGATCACCTGTAGGCCGTCTGGTCTTACCTAGTATATGCAATCCAGTGTGTCTACTTCCCCAAGCCTCTCCATCTCTTTCTCCGCCATCTGCCCTGGCGGTTCTTGCATTTCAGCCTCCTTAGCCTGGGCCATCACCTCTTCTGTGCTTCTGGAAGCCATTTTAGTAGCCAGCTCACACTATCTCCAGGCCTTTCCAAGGTGCTCAATTCTCAGTCTCGAGAGAGCACTCTCAAATTTACATCCTTTCCGTCATCCAGTCTAAAGTTCTGGCCCCTTGATCATCACTCTCAGCGTCAAGTCTCTTGTTTGTCCTCAGGCTGTGGCTGGTACATGGGTCAGGAGGTCCTGACCATCCCCTGGTGTATAATCCCTTTCTCTCCTTATCAGGCCCAGCACATCCTCTCGGCTAGGGACTAGGTTAGGCAGCAACGTAACTGTATTTATAGGCCTAAGGGTCAAGAGAGGAGGTGGGGGACACATTTTGTTTTGTGGGTAGAGGCTCCCCACACTGTCTTCCAGCAATGGGGATGAAGTATTCTTACATTCTTACTAGGGAGGGGTGGCCCACCTCTGCAGGCCCAGAGGGTTTAGAGAATTAGGAGTTCCAAGATTGAGGAAAGGAAGGCTCTGGAATCAACCTGGATGTCCCCATCCTAGTATCAGAGTACTGTTCTTTCACACCAGGGTCCTGACCTTGCCAGAGCAGATCTATCTTGGCTGGGAGTTTAGCTTTCCTTGGAGCCCTGCTGTTCTGACAATTAGGTCCTAAGACTGGTGGTCAGCTTTCTCTGCCTTCACCTAGGAGAGGAGAGCCTCTTTCTATGCTGCAAGAAGGCCCACTGGCTTCTCCACATTTGATTTCCCATGGCCTGTAAATTGCTGTCAGGTTTTCATTTTATTTTCTAAAGTGTCAGACTACGTTAAGGCAGTAGAGTTGGATTCCATTGTCATTATAGGCACTGATTCTTCCAATGTTTTCAAATATCTAATACTTTATACCAGCCACTGCATTTCCTTCTGCTACTATACCATCTCCATTTGCCACTGGTGACAGTTTTAAGAACTAGGCTGTGTATTAATTTCCTTGCACAGTCTGTTCATAAGAAATTACCACAAACTTAAGTGGATTAAAAAATATACATTTAATCTCTCATAGTTCTGGAGGCAATAAATCTCAAATCAAAGTATTGGCAGGGTCATGGTCCCTCTAAACATGTAAGGGGAGAATCCTTCCTTACCCCTTCCTGACTGTGGTGGCTCGTGGCATTTCTTGGATTGTGAACACATCACTCAAATCCCTGCCTCCATCTTCATAGGGTCTTCCCCATGTCTCTCTGTCTGTGTGTCTTCCCCTCTTCTTATAAGGATACCAGTCACTGGATTTAAAGCGCACTCTAAATCCAGGATGATTTTATCCCAACAACCGTAACTAATTACATCTACAAAGACACCATTTCCAAACAAGTTATATTCTGAGTTTCCAGGTAGACATGAATTTTGGAGGGACACTATTCAACCCGATATAGATGGTCGCTTTATGTCAGGAGCTATTTGTGCTCAACTTACCACCGGTGATGGAATCCTTATTGCCAGCGAGGTGGCAAGTGACCCAGTTCCCAAGCCTCGTATTACATTTTCACCTACCCAACTTTATCAGTTGGTCTCTCCAGGAAGCAGACCCTGAGACTGTTGAGCCTGCAGATTGTTTATTAGGAAATGCTCCCTGGTCAACGCCTGTGGAAGGCCAGGGGGAGATGCCAAATTGGGCAGTGGGAGAAGTGAAGCTGCAGCCACCCCAGGCAACCGCAGAGGGAGTTTTGGAGCTAAAATCGCTGGTCAGAATTGGCCTGTGTTGGGCCGGAATGGTTGGATGTTTATTCACTCATATCTATCAGTCACCAGATATGGGATGCCCTGGGAAAGGCTTGACCTTGAACTAGGTGGCTCTTTGCAGATGGGGTAATCCCTGAAGGCACTGACGGTTGAAGGTTTTCTGCTAATAGTCCTTCCAGAAAAAGGCAAGAAGTCCTTCCTTGATGGAGATCTGGGTGGTGTGTCACCATGTCCAACATGAGGACTTAAAACACAGAGATGAGGCTAATGGGGTGAAGGTGGGATTATATTTTGGTGAGCACCATAGACATTCCAAATTCTGAATCTCATGACATAGGACCCATCTGGGGCTCCACTAGCCAATAATTAAGCCCACAAACCTCAGTCAGGAGTCATTCAATAACAACAATGTTGAATATATAGCAGGAAAGCCTTCGTAGAGTTAGAAAACACAACAGCTATCACCCTCCGAATTTGAAATTAATGTTGTTATTTTAGAAAAAAATAAACTAATATTCTGGAAAAGTTAACTGGCTTACCCAAAGTTACCAGCTATGGACATGAATATCTATTTCGTTAACGGTTTTTATTTTTCTCATTTTTAAAACTTACAAAATTTTAAAATTTTTATTTTATTAATGTTTATTTTAAAAATAGAGATGGGATCTTGCTATGTTGCCCAAGCTGGTCTCAAACTCTTGGTCTTAAGTGGTCCTCCTGCGTCAGCCTCCCAAAGTGCTGAGATTACAGGTGTGAGCCACTATGCCCAACAAAAAATTATGAAAAGCTTAAACATACAAAAAACTTTGGAGAATAATATAAGTAATACCCAAGTTCTCACCACCCGACTCTAACAAGTCTTGGTATTTTGTTGACTTTGCTTCAGATACTTTCATTAAAAAAAAAAAAAACTTAATAAATAGACCTCTTTTTACATTGTTCTGAACCTTCCTTCCTCCCTTTCTTACAGAAAGAAGTAGTACCATAAATTTGTTGTTTATCATTCCCATGACTTGTTTTTTCATACTGTGTATGAAAGTAATATAAACAATAGATAATATTATTTTGCATGTTTTTAGGCTTATGTAAATGAATCATGCCAAATGTATCATTCTATAACTTGCTTTGCTCATGCAACATTGTATTTTGAGATGTAATCATGTTGATACATGTAATTCTAGTTTATTCACTTTAATTATTGTATACCGTTATCTCATGAATATGCCATATTTATATATGTGCATTCTATTGAAGACATTTGGAAAATTGGGAAATGTTTTCCATTTTCACTTTTGTGAACAATGCTACAATGAAACTCTTATTTCTATCTTGTTTATATTTCTTGGAAGAGGGGTGTATATTTGTAGGTATATTAATAGATATTCTATATACAGAATTATATTAATATATATTATAAACACGGAATTATTGGTTTTTAGTTTACGTGCTTCAGAACCAGGACCAGGATAAGGCAATCAAAGACACAGAGTGCAAAATTTAAGGAGGACTTCCCTCTCAGGTGGCAACCGTATGCTTGCATGATCCTGAGAGTGAGGGCCTCCTTAAATGTGAAGCCCCAGGCACCTCCTTGACTCACCCAGGTCCTGACGCTTCTGAGCATACACTTTCAACTCTAATAATTGCTTCAGAAATTGTCCCTCTGCATGTTGGAACCAATTTATGGTCTCATCAGCAATGTATGAGAGTTCCAGTCATACCACATTCTTGTTAAGTGTGATGGAATACTTGAAAATTTTTGGTAATCTTATGGATGTGTTGGTTTAATCTATAGTTCACTTATTACTAGTCAATTTGAGCATGATATTATTGGCCATTCAGGTTTCCTTTTCTGTGAATTGCCTTTCATATTCTCTGCCAATTTCTATTGTATTGCCTATCTTTTTCTTATATTTAAGAAATATGTGTATATACAGACACACATTTATATATACGTAAAATGTATATATATATATAAACAAACACATATTTAAATATACATACATATATATATATTTTTTAATATTCAGACAGGATCTTGCTCTGTCACCCTGGCATACAGTGGTGCAATCATAGCTCACTGCAGCCTCGAACTCCTGGGCTCAAGCAATCATCCCACCTTGCCTTCCTGAGTAGCTGGGACTACAGGCATGTGCCACCATGCCTAGCTAATTTCATTTTTTTTTTCTTTTTTGGTAGAGATGGAGTCTCACTGTGTTGCCCAGATTGGTCTCAAACTCCTGGCCTTAAACAGTCTTCTTGCCTCAGCCTCCCAAAATGCTACCATTACAGGCAGGAGCCACTGTGTCTGGCCTGTTTTCTTACTGATTTATGAGATCTTATATTCGAAATCCTAACCTTTTTGTGTTATATAGGGGTAAATATAGATACAGATATCATTGTAGATATATCCTCCCAGTCTTTGTTTTGCCTTTTATAGTCCTTTGTTACACAAAATTGTATATTTTAATATACTCAAGTTATATCTCTTGTTACCTTTTTTATTGTATTTTCTCTCTGCCCTAACCAATGTTGTAAAAATATTTTCGTAAGTTTTATTCTAAAGTTCTAGTTTTTGCTTTTAACTTTGAATCTTTACTCCAAACATACTTTTGTGTATGGTATAAAGCTTTCTACAGGAATAACTTATTTCCATAAAGATAGAAAAAAGTTTAAAGATTTTTTATAAATTTTGACTCAGGAATTACACTTATTAGAATTTATCCCAAAGAAAGGAACGGAGATGTATGCAAAGAGTTACTAGAGTGATGATCACTTCATCCTATTTATGTGGATGAATTGCAGATACTCTAGATATTTACCAGTGGGAATATGGGTGAAATAAATTTAGTTACAGTTATGTAATGTAACAGCATGAAGCTATAAAATAATACATTTGAAGAAAATTTAATGACATGGAAATAAATTAATGATAGATCTTAAGTGGAAAGAGACAGTTAAAGCAATGTACATAGTTTAATATTATTTTGTGGAAAATATATAAATATACACACAAAAAAGTTGAAATGCTATTTATTAAGCTGTTAGTGGTTGTTATCTCTGGGTTGTGAAATTATGGATGGATGATTTTCTTTCCTTTCCATGTCTATATTTTCTTCAATTAATATGCATTACTTTTTTTTTTTTTGAGACAGAGTCTCACTCTGTTGCCCAGTCTGGAGTGCAGTGGTGCAGTCTCGGCTCACTGCAGCCTCCACCTCCCGGGTTCAAGTGATTCTCCTGCCTCAGTCTCCCAAGTAGTAGGTATTTTAATAGCAAAAATGGAAAGTTGTTTTAAAACAATCATTCCAAGGAATGAGGTTAATAGAGCACTCATGAGTGCTTAATGTGCAATAAATCATCTTTGTCATCTAGTACTGTAGTTAGAAGGATTGAAAACCCAGAATCTTCACGACAGAACTGAAGTCAAACGTTCTGCTTGATGGTCTTCTCTATTTCCATGGTCCCATGTCCTGATTTGGGATTCAGAAAATATGACTGTCATAACCCTGTAGGTTATGGATGCCTGCTGAAACCTCATGGAGGCTCAATTCCATATCTTAATCATTTTAATTCTGATTTATTTTTACAGAAGTAGGAATCAAGTTTGTGGTTCAACAACTACAATTTAGTGAGGCAAGTGTAGTCATTCTAGTAGTTATGAAAGGTGTTGCCTTCCTTGAGATGAGGTGGGAAGGCTCTTATCAGCCAGGGGATGTCACACATGATTTGAAGACGCTTGCTGTTGAAATCCTGTGATTAGCAGGAAGTCCAAAATTTTCTCCTGACCCAAATAATCCAGGTTTTCTCAAACACCAAATAAAACCTGGCCTTGGTTTGACCCTTTTGAGAGATGCTTTCATTTCTTTTTCCATCACCAGTAGGACACCCATGCAGTATGCTTTATGTAAAAAATATCCTGAAAAATAAAATGAAACAATTTTAATTTTTTACATTTGGAAAAGATTTTAAAGCATCCAGAAGTACCAAGATTAATTTAATAGATAAATTGGGCCAGGCACAGTGGCTCATGCCTATAATCCCAGCACTTTGGAAGGCTGAGGTGAGCGGATCGCCTGAGGTCGGGAGTTCAAGACCAGCCTGACCAACATGGAGAAACTCCATCTCTACTAAAAATACAAAATTAGTTGGGAGTGGTGGCACATGCCTGTAATCCCACCTACTCTGGAGGCCGTGGTAGGAGAATCGTTTGAACCCGGGAGGCGGAGGTTGTGGTGAGCCGAGATCGCACCACTGCACCCCATCCTGGGAAACAAGAGCGAAACTCTGTCTCAAAAAAAAAAAAATACATTGAACCCAGTGGTGTGCTAGTCAGTGTTAGTAACTAGCACTCCCTAACTCTCCAGAGGAAAACACAGCATTTGCTGGTTTGTAGCATTGGCTGATTTCTTTGGTGTAAATGCTTCCACCATGACTGATTCCAAGCTACCCCCCTGACACCATTAAATGGGCAGATGGGGAAGAGATACCCATGATCAGTTTGCCTGGTGTGATCCAGCTCCAGGCTGGAGTGCAGTGGCGTGATCTCAGCTCACTACAACCTCTGCCTCCCAGGTTCAAGCAATTCTTCTGCCTCAGCCTTCCGAATAGCTGGGATTACAGGCACATGCCACCACTATTTTTTGTATTTTTAGTAGAGACAGAGTTTAGTAGAGACACGGCTATTTTTTGTATTTTTAGTAGAAACAGGGTTTCACCATGTTGGCCAGGCTGGTCTTGAGCTCCTGACCTCAGATGATCCAACTGCCTCAGCCTCCCAAAGTGCTAGCATTACAGGCATGAGCCACCATGCCCATCCGGGCATTTCTGGTTATACCCAATAACCATAAATAATAAATGTTAATAATTTAGCAGTTTTGCATGATTTTTTTTTACAAAATAAATAAAACCGTAATAATGCTGAGGTACTCTGTGTCTCTGCACAGATTCATTTCCTCACCTTCCTCCCCCAGCAACAACCATTATCAAGAATGTGGTATGTATTCTTTTAGACCATGTTTTTGTACTCTTCCTACATGTATATGTATGCAAAAGAATACATAGTTATGCTTTGCATATTTTAAATTTTTATCTAATGCTATCATGTTGTTCATGTTCTTCAACTTCCTGTCCCCTTCAATAATATGTTTTAAAAATCTATTCATGTTAATACATGCAGATGCAGTTCATCTATTTTAACTGTTGACTGTACTCTATTGTATGAATATCACAATTTATTCATCCATCCTCTTACAATGAACATTCATATTGTTACTAATTTTTTGCTAATACAAATGTTGTTTTAATGACCTTTGAGGCATGTCTGAGTATATAAAGTTACTAGACCTAGAATTGAAATGAATGAGTTGCAGGGAATACTTATTTTCTACTTTAGTAATACTGACAAATTGTTCTCCAAGTAGTTGTTCCAATTTGCACTCCTTCCAGAAATATATGAGAGTTTCTCATTTCCCATATCCTTGTTCTTGATATCACCAGGCTTTTAAAGTGTGGCCAAACTTAGGGTATGAAATGATACCTTTTTTTGACTTTGATTTCCCAGACTACTAGTTAGATTGGTCATTGTACTAGTTAGTGTAAAGGCTAAGCAGCTGTAACAAAGAGATCTCCAGATATAGTAATCTAGGTAAGAATTTCAATAAAAAAGATCTTTTTCTTACTTAATCTTATGTTGGCTAGTCCAGGCTGGTAGGAGGGCTCTGCTCCACACAGTCACTCAGGGATCCTTCCATTTGCTACAGTGCTATTCCTTAGGTCATCAACCTTGTCTTCCTGGTTGAAGTCAGGTCGTTGCCACATACCAGCTTTTGGAAAAAAAGACAAGCTCAGGAAAAGCAATTTCCTTGCAGACAAATAAGGCAGAAGTTGCACACATTTCTTCCAGTCACATTTCATCGGCAAGGACTTAGTCTCACGAATAGGAAATATATGTGTCTGGCTGGGCAGCCATGTCCAAGGAAAAGGAAGGAATGGAGAAAGTGCTAGCATTCCTTCCCAAGCAGATGTTTGTTGACGTTTTGGATTTCTTCTTCCGTGACTTGGCTGGTAATACATTGTGCCCATTTTAATTTTGCTTTTTTCCTTATTGTTTCATAGGAAGCCTTCATGTGCTCTAGATTTGATTATTTATTTATACAATAATTTTGATTGTTTAAATGCACCAGTATATATACCTCAATAGAGCTATTTTAAAATATTCTCATTTGTGATTTAAACAAGCCATATCACATTCTTTAGCTAAATTAATATTTCTTTTGTAAAGTGAATAAAACTACTCCCATCCCAATTTTCTCTTTTCTGGGAATATAATTTTACCTATTAACTTAATCAAAATTATAGATTCATGAAAATTTCTTTAGGCTAATGTAAGCTGCTCCAAGTTAAAAGAGAAAAAAAATGTGGCTTCTTAGATACTATTGAACCCTCCAAGAATATCTGACAATCTGTATGACATTGTGGTAATTTTTTTGACCACTCTGAATTTCAATTTTCTCAACTGTAAGTGTGATATTATTTGCTCCGCCTGCTACATGATATTGTTATAAGGATCAAGCAAGATAATGCAGAGAAAATGTTCTGTGCAATGCAAAATTTTTAAGTGTTAGGAATTAGAATTACAAATAGTATTTCAATAGCATTGCAGAGGATTTCATTTGAAATGTCCTAAGTCTTGTTTCCAGTTTCACTGTTATATTCTATATACCATTTACACAGATATTCCATACTCTATATCAGGGGCTGACCTTTGGCAGTCACTACCACCTCTGGGTGTGTGCGTGTACGTGTGTGTGGGTGTGGTTGGAATAACAGCCATGTGCCCAACCTCATCTGTGTGAGTCAAGACTCTCCTGAGAGCTGCCTTTATTTTGAGCAGCTCTGTTCCTAATGGCAACCTGGGAGGCTGGCTTTCCAGCCTGTTTTCAAGCAGTGCTCAGCAAAGCCACATCACCGCAAGGTATGCTTCAGAATTTCTATCGCTGTTTCAGGCCACCCCAGCTTGGCATTCATCATTGCCTTCCCCGGGCAGTTCTCAGTTTCCTACAATGTCTCATACTGCCTGTCACACCCAGTGACAGCCTGTTATAGTCGGGTGGGCAGCACTAAATGGCTGCTCCCTGGCTCAGCCCCATCCGTCAGTGCCTTTCCCCTGCATCTCTGCTCCAGCACCGCCCTTCCTGGGGATCCTCAGGCTTGGCAGAGGAAAAACAGGGCTGATAGAGACAGAGAAAGAGAGAGAAACAGGAATGTCTTGGGGTGAGATTTTTACTTTATTGGTGATAAACCAACTGTGAAAAGTTAGAAAGGAGAATTTTAGCAACATGTTGAAGAGGGGAGTTCTTTAAAGGGAATATAGGAAAAGCTTCATAATTTTATTGATATACTTGAATTTAATTTTAAAAGTAAGGACAGTAGTACTCTTGCATCAAAATGCAGAAGATTTATTTAACGCTGTGTATCCCACCCCTGTAGGTGTTAGGAATGCCCCCGTGAGGAAGAGGAAGTGAACTGAGGTGACTACGTGGTGGCAAAAGTCAGGAAATTAGCAGAGTTAGGGTTTGTGTCCTCCCTCCTACCCAGGAAGGGATTAGCACTGACTCATTTCGTAAACATTTATTTAGCAACTTCTGTATGCCAAGAGTTATCCTCCATGCTGGAATATAGCAGAGGCTGAAACAGATGAGGCTAAATCTTTTATGTCTGGGATTTTACTGCTTTCATGGAACTTAAATTGGCTTGTTAGGGCATGGAGGAGGTTAATGGCCAGAAACAGACAGAAAGACACATGATAATGAAAATAAATAAATAGTTACATGTCAGTTACTGTTAAATGCTAAGTGTCATAGTCCACTTTGTATTGCTATAACAGAACACAATAGATGATAATTTATTTATAAAGTAAATTTATTCTTCACAGTTCTAGAGGTAGGGGCATCTGGTGAGGGCCTTCCTGCTGCATCATCTCATGGCAGAAGGTGAAAAGATCAGAGAGTATGAGAGTGCAAGTGAGCAAGAGGAAGCCAAACTTGCTTTGATAACAAGCCCACTCTTAAGATAACTAACACACTCCTGTGATAATGACATTAATCCATGAGGACTCTCCCTTCATGACCTCATCATCTCTTATTCAGCCCCACTTCCCAACGCTGTGGCATTGGGGATTACGTTTACAACACATGAACTTTAGGGAATACCTTTAAACCATAGCACCGTGTAATGATTTTTAAAAGGTGATGTGAAAGCAATTGAGGTCATTAAAGAATATCTTTCTGAAAAAGTGACATACAAGCTGCTGTAGATCAAATGTTTATGATCTATAACATCCACCCTCCCACACACAAATTCATATATTGAAATCCTAACCCCCAGTGGGAGGGCGTTAGGAGATGGAGCCTTTGGGAGGTGAATAGTTCATGAGGGTGGAGCCCTCATGAATGGGACTAATGCCCTTCTAGAAGAGACCCCAGAAAGCTCTCTTACTCCTTTCACCTTGTGAGGACTCAGCAAGAAGATGGCCATCTATGAACCAGGAAGCGGACCCTCACCAGACAGAAAATCTGCCAGCACCTTGATCTTGGACTTCCAGCCTCCAGAATCATAAGAAATAAATTTCTCTTGTTTATAATTCTCTATGGTATTGTTGGTATAGCAATGTGAACTAAGACATAAGTTGAGATCTGAGTGATAAGAAGTAGCAAATCATGTTAGTTAGGAGGACAGAGTGCATTGAGCAGAGGCCTCAACTAACATGAAGTACCAAAAGTAGAACGAAGTTTAAAAAGTCCCAGTGGGGCTAGGAAGAAGGCCAGTGGGCCTAGAGTGGGGCGGGTGAGGGCAGAAGGCAAGGAGGTATGTGTGGAGAAGTGGCTGACCCTGGTTTACATAGCTCGGTCAGGTGGGGGTAGGATCAGGAATCACAAGTCCAAGGGTTTAGCCCAGACAGAGATCCCCTGCTTGGGGCTTCTGGGGCACTGAGTAAGCTGTGGCTTTCAGAATCAGGTGACTGTCAGATTCAGGGAGTTTTTCTCGGTGTGCTCAAGGACCAGAGTTTGGTGATGGAGGGCAGACATTGAGGAGGCAGGAACCATTAAAAAACAGGGTCCAGCCCTGGAAGAATAGACTAGTAGATATTGGAAAAGTTGGTTAAGGTCTCAGGTGAATGAAGTGAAACTCCATAACAAGACAGAACAGAGAGACATGCTTCTTGTGAAGGCTGAGTAGGGGCACTGCAGGTCTTCACTCACACAGGCATCTGGGACTCAGTTCAGCCCCTGGGATCCATACTTCGGACAGCAAACATTTCCAGAGCCCACTTGCTCATACAATGGGAGCTCCAGTGTATTAAAAGGTCAGACTTCTCTTGGCATAAATATTCACCTGGGTGAGCCTAAAGATGGCAGGTCATTTTGCAAGCACTGAGAGAGACAGCCAAATGTAAAGAAGCTTGCTTTTGACGGTTTAGGATCAAATTTGGAGCTCTGTGTCTTTGAGTTTGGGTACCTCTCAAGCCAAATCTTTAACATTTTTTTTCTACATTGAAAAGCAACCAACTGACGAAGGAACAAAGGCGAAAGTTCACTGTGAATAAGACTTGATTTTGCATTCCAAAGACAGATATACCCTGGATTAGGTTAGCTACAAATTGAAGCTTTATGTGACAAGTAGCATCTCAGGATGGCAGAAAATGTCCCTGTTTCTGAAGACGCACCGTGTCAAACCGTAGTCTCTAATTTTTGTGGCAAGGAAAAACTTCACGTGGCCCCAAAGCCTGTACTCTTATAATTAGACCATCCTGTCTCCAAGTAAGCATATTATTCCAATTTTTATCTATTATAGTCAAATTAGACCACAATTATGTGGAATTAAAATGAGGCATCATTCATGGAGATGTAGTACGTAATGTTAAATTAAAATGTATGTGCCTGTTTGCTGAGTTGAAACCATATAGATAGATAAGACACCTGATTAGATACAGCATATGGAGTGCTTTTTTTTATTTTTATTTTTAGACAGTCTCACTCTTATCGTCAGGCTGGAGTGCAGTGGCATGATCTCGGCTCACTGCAACCTCTGACTCCCTGGTTCAAGCGATTCTCCTGCTTCAGCCTCCCAGGTAGCTGGGACTACAGGCACATGCCACCATGCCCAGCTAATTTTTGTATTTTTAGTAGAGACAGGGTTTCACCACGTTGGCCAGGATGGTCTCGATCTCCTGACCTCGTGATCTGCCCACCTCAGCCTCCCAAAGTTCTGGGATTACAGGCGTGAGCCACCGCGCTTGGCCATGGAGTGCTTTGTATAAAAAGATAACAATGAAGCTGTCAATATTTTCACTAGAGGCATTCATTTCTTCATGCCTTACTGTAACAGTCCCCAACCTTTTTGGCACCAAAGATTGGTTTCATGGAAGAAAATTTTTCCAGGGACTGGGGCGGGTTGGGAGGGAGTGGTTTCAGAATGATTCAAATGCGTTACATATACTGTGTACTTTGTTTCTGTTATTATTACATTGTAATACATAATGAAATAATTATACAACTCACCATTGTGTAGAATCAGTGGGAACCCTGAGTTTGTTTCCCTGCAACTAGGCAGTCCCATCTGGGGGTGATGGGAGACAGTGACAGATCATCAGGCATTAGAGTCTTATAAGGAGAGGGCAACCTAGATCCCTTGTATGAGCAGTTCACAATAGAGTTTGTGCTCCTGTGAGAATCTAATGCCGTTGCTGATCAGACAGGAGGCAGAGCTCAGGCGCTAATGTAAGCAATGGGGTATGGCCATAAATACAGGTGAAGCTTTACTCACTTCGCTACCGCTGCTTACCCCCTGCTGTGCGGCCCAGTTCCTAACAGGCTACAGAATAGTACTAGTCTGTGACCCCAAGGTTAGGGACTGCCATCTTACTGTGTCCTAGGCACTATGCTGAGCACATTTTACATGATCTCATTTCCCTTATATTATGCCATTGTTTCTAAGTAAAAGTAATGTACTCAACAAATCTCCTGGCTTGGGGGACAGTGGTGGGGGTCATCTGGTCTGACTTATATCATTTGACTTATAGCAAATTTTCCATTAATGTATCTTCTTTACTTCATGAGACTTGAGAAATCACTTATTTGAACTTCTTTTTTTTTCTTTCTTGCTACAATGAGGGCAGTAATACATTAACTATTTAGGTTGGTAACAAAAGTAATTGCAGTCTTTGTCACTAAAAGTAAATTTACTGCCACTGCACTCCGGCCTCGGTGACAGAGTGAGACTCCATCTTAAAAAAAAAAAAAGAAAAAAAAAAAGAAATGACTCAAAGCAAAAGGAAAAACACAAAGCTTTTACAGATGATGAAGAGCCCAACCAAAATCTATTAAAAAGTAAATTTACTTTTTATGGCAAAGACCACAATTACTTCTGTTACCAACCTAATAACTACTTGGTTCATAGATATCATAGTGAGAAAGGACCTTGAGAGGCGTGAACCAGGCTTCCGCCTTCAGACAGTTGGGGCTATTTGTTCACAAATAGGAGGACAAGACTGGTGAAGTCACCTGCTCAAGGCCACACAGCTGGAGAAGGGCACAATCAAAACCAGCGTCCGGGTCTTCTGTCTCCTATTAAGATCTCCTTTCCCTAAGCTGAGCTTCCGGTGAGAGCAAGAGTCAAGGTGTGTTGGGATATAGCACATGTCTGCCATTGGTTCTCCCTGACCAGTTGTACCTGTAAAGCATAGAATGAAAGGGTAAGGATGGAATAAAACATGGTTCCTGTGAATGGCCCATTGTGCTTCTAACTGGCCAATTTGTGAAGAATTTAGGAAAGGCAGCTAAAACCAAAAACCATGGCTCAAAATAAATAAGCATCACTCCAAGGAAAAGGATCACGGCCTTATAACAACATTCTACCCGGATGATGAGATTCACATGCCTTCCTCCTGCCTCGCCTCTTCTACTGGGAGCACAACTGCTCCATCCTTTCCACTTGCCAACTTCCCAAACCTCAGCTTAGGACAACTCCAGTGTGCGATACAGGATTTAAAAGGAATAAAGAGGGAAGATGCTGAGGGGACCTTTTTTTTTTTTTTTTTAAACAGAGCCTTGCTCTGTCACCCAGGCTGGAATGCAGTGGCACAATCTCAGCTCACTGCAGCCTCTGCCTCCCAGGTTCAAGCAATTCTCCTGCCTCAGATTCCCAAGTAGCTGGGATTACAGGTGTGCACCACCACGCCCAGCTAATTTTTGCATTTTTAGTAGAGACTGGGTTTCACCATTTTGGCCAGGCTGGTCTTGAACTCCTGATCTCAGGTGATCCACCTGCCTCAGACTCCTAAAGTGCTGGGATTACAGGCATGAACCACCACTCCCAGCCCTGAGGGGACCTTTCAGCCAGGCTCCAGTCATTTTTAAAATGCAGAAGTGGCAATTAGCACAGAGACTTATTTGTGTGTGTGTGTGCGTTTGTGTGTGTGTGCGTGTGTGTGTGTTGTCAGGGAGCACTTTCATCCTTATGACTGTGCCTGAGAGCCAGACTTTCCTGACTCACTAATGAGTTTCCTGCAGGGCAGAGAAATCACCCCTCCCACCATGAAAAGGGCCAATTGCAGAAAAATCTCTAGTGAGAGAGAAAGATCTGAACAAACATAAAATGGACATTGATTTAAGGCAGATGCTGGCACCACCCAGGAAATAGGGAATAAAAGGCAGTGTTTGGGGAGAAGCAGGAGCATCTCTTGAAAGGAAGGAGAAAGCAAAGGAATACATTAAAAGACCAAGAATTGGCAGCAAGGAATTTGTTTTATAACAGGCATAACCGTGTCAACCAAAACATGTAAAGAAATGACTCTGTAAGCAAAGGCCGGGTATGGTGTCTCACACCTGTAATCCCAGCACTTTGGGAGGCCGAGGCGGGTGGATCATCTGAGGTCAGGAGTTCAAGACCAGCCTGGCCAACATGGTGAAACCCCGTCTCTACTAAAAATATAAAAATTAGCTGTGCGTGGTGGTGGGCACCTGTAATCCCAGCTACTTGGGAGGCTGAGGCAGGAGAATTGCTTGAACCCAGGAGACAGAGGTTGCAGTGAGCCGACACAGTGCCACTGCACTCCAGCCTCAGTGACAGAGTGAGACTCCATCTCAAAAAAAAAAAAAAAAAGAAAAGAAAAGAAAAGAAATGACTCTAAGCAAAAAGAAAAACACAAAGCTTTAACTGATGATGAAGAACCCAACCAAAATCTGAAAACTGTTTCCCAAGTTGTAAAACTCTCATCTCCCTAGTGAGTAGGGATTAGAGCTTAAACTGTGCCCACTCTGGCATAATTTATTTACAAATAAATTACGTATCCATAACTAAGAACGTCAATTTAACAGAAATGTTTACTCATAATACTGCCCATACCATGCTTGATGATTTATTCTTACATGACCCCTTTGCATTTAAAGTATCATTAGGGAGCTGAGTAAAAAACATGGCTAAATTTTGATGGGATTGGAGGCTGGGGAAGAGAGGAGGAAAGGATACGGGACCCCAAGAATTAGCTGGATTTTGCAGTGGGGCTCTCACAGCAAAAGACCATTGTGGATGAGGGGTCTCTGTACCTTTACCTACTTGCCAGGGAGGAGGTTGTGATGGAGCTAATGACCCGAATGAAAAGTTCCAACAGCAGATACGGGGTGCGCTAGGGGACTGAGTCAGTGTGTGAGTCAAATCCCACTCCACCCAGGAGCAAAACGACAATGGAGTCTTTCAGAGCATGGGTGTGAGTCATGCCAGAGCATCAAGCCATGCCATGCGACACTGTGACATCACTCCCACAGTCTCCATCTGGGCCCACAGAGCAGCTGTGGAAACGGTGATTGGATTTAAATCAAATTCAACTCTATTAAGTTAACCTTTGCAAGGTCAACATCTACTACTTGCTTTTTGGCCAGGCAGCAATATCTCGACAATGAGTGTGGATGGCTTCATTAATGAGGCTTTGATAATAGAAATCTGGGTCCCGATTAGACTGTATGCAGCATGTGTTTGTGGACTCCAGTGTATTTTACTGGGTTTCTCAGAGTTGTCAGTTGTATGTAGGAAATTATAATAGCAAAGGTATTTTTAAAAAGTCTGAATTGGCCGGGCCGGGGGTGGCTCATGCTTGCAATCCCAGCACTTTGAGAGGCTGAGGCAGGTGGATCACTTGAGGTCAGGAGTTTGAGACCAGCATGGTCAGCATGGTGAAACCCTGTCTCTACTAAAAATACAAGAAGAAAAAAAAATAGCCAAGTATGGTGGCTCGAGCCTGTAATCCCAGTTACTTGGGAGACTGAGGCAGGAGAATCGCTTGAACCCAGGAGGCAGGGGTTGCAGTGAGCCGAGATCTCACCACTGTACTCAGCATGGGCAACAGAGCGTGAGCCTATCTAAGTCTAGCTATTTTAGCACTAAGTACATATCTGTGTGTGTGTGTGTGTATGTATATGATTACAAAGTGCGTATATGCACAAAATTGTTCAAACTGCATATGTGGTTTTTTTTTTTTTTTTTTTTTTTTAGACAGAGTCTCACTATGTCACCCAGGCTGGAGTACAATGGCATGATCATAGCTCACTGAAGCCTCATCTTCTGGGGTCAAGCAGTCCTCCCACCTCAGCCTCTCAAGTAGCTGGGACTACAGGTATACACCACTATGCCTGCTAATTTTTTTCATTTTTTTTAGAATCCCTCACAAAGTGCTGGGATTATAGGCATAAGCCACCATGCCTGGCCCATGGAAACATTTTGGTTACAACAATAAATGTCCAACAATAAGTGCCTAACTGTAGGATATTGTTTAATTAGATTATGGTATGCCTGTACGATGGGATATTTTGAAGCTGTTGACAAGAAAAAGGTACATTGATATATATATATGAGCATGCATGCTATTATAAAATACTATTATTTTTAAGCATCTTAAGATATTTTAAGTGAACTAATCAGTTTTCTGACCTGTGCTGTCAACAGAATTTCTGATGATCAAATAATAAAACTCAGACAATGTTGGTTTTGTGCCATCAAAAAAAAAAAGAAAAAGAAAAATACGTAGTAGAATCCCATTTATGTAAAAATAAGATAGACATAAATATAAGTCTATATTAAGGCTTAGACAGTCTCTGGAAAATGGAAAAATAGCTATAACTGGATTAGGCTCAGGAGAGGGACTGGTGGGCTGGTAGAAATAGAGTGGTAGAAGAAAGAATTAGTTGGTTAAAATTAGTTTTCTTCTAAATGCATCTTTTAACATATGTCAAACATTAAAGACACAATAAATGCATTTAATATTCAGAAACCAAATTATCATTACTAAGTCACTGACTGCTGAAAATACACTTTTAAACTTGTTCCAAGTTTCCGTAAATAAGGATTCAAGTGCCCCAAAGCAACTTCATTGTTAATGTTTCTGTACTTCCATATTTTCTTTTTAGCATGATTTCAAGGAATTTAGGGGCATTTTCTTCCTAGATATTTCCTTTCTCAGTAATTCAGACAATCATTGATCTAATAATAAAAAGGAAGCTATTAGAGACTCTGTGTGCCAGATATTACTCATGCTTGATAAATTGCATGCCCAAGGGAATATAAAAAAAGCACATCAACAAAAATAGAATTTAATTCTCATTGATTAAAACAATATGCGCGAAAGAGTTCTTTTTATGGAAGAGGAGAAATAACAACGTATTTCAAGAAATCTAACCACTGAATGCAGGAGATTATGGCCCCCCCATAGGTTTCAACTATTCAATGAGCTTTTCTTGATTATTTATTTGTATCAGGCATCTTGTTGAGAATTACTCACAGAACAGTATGGTAACAGAATAAATAAGTTAAAATAACCATTACAGGCCAAGCACGGTGGCTCATGCGTGTAATCCCAACACTTTGGCAGGTCAAGGCAAGAGGATCACTTGAGGACAAGAGTTTGAGACCAGCCTGGGCAACATAGACTCCTTCACAAAAAATGTAAAAAGTTAGCAGGGCATGGTGCCACGTGCCTGTAGTCTCAGCTACTGAGGAGGCTGAGGCAGAAGGATTGCTTGAGCCTAGTAGTTTGAGGCTGTAGGGAGCTATGATTGTGCACTGCACTCCAGCCTGGGAGACAGAGTGAGACCTTATTTCAAAACGCAAATGCACACACACACACACAAAATATCATTGCAAATGCACTTCAATAAGTGGTAGAGGCCAACGAGAAAATGTATTTCAGCAAGCAAAGAAGAGGAAGAGGCCCTAAAAGGAGATTGTATAAACTGGCATAGAGACATGAAAGAATGAGGTATTTAGCAAGAATGCTGCAAATCCTAGGTGGGGAGGATACATATCTCAAACTGCCTATTTAACATCTCCAGGTGGATATCTAATAAGTAACTCACAGTCAATGTATACCAAATTGAGCTTCTTATTCCTCCATGCCCCACCCCTATAGGTGCCTCCCATGGCCTTCCTATTCTCAGTTCATGGCAAGTGCATCCTTCAGACCGAATGCTTGGGAGGCACTATTGACACTTGTCTATAGCGACAGCCAAGGTGTCAAGGTATCAGCAAATCCTTTTGGCTCCACTGATTAGATCCAGAACCCAGCATATCTCACCAGCTCAGAAGCTTCCACCATGGTCCAAGTCCCTCTCATCTCTTGTAGGGTTGCCCCACTTCAATCTGTCCTTGACATAGCAGATAGTGTGATCTGTTTGCATAGCAGATAGAGTGAGCCATTTATACTGCAAGACAGATCATGCAATTCTCTAACTCAAACCACCCCTCCGGTGGCCCTCATTCTACTCTTTGTAAAAACCGGTCCTCACTATGGCCAACAAGGCCCTGCCTGACCTGGCACTCCCCCTCCCTAATTCACCTTCCTCCCTCTACTCCTCTCTCTTGCCTACCTCTGCATCCACACTGGCCTAGCTTTTCCTCCAGCCTCCCCAACCGACTTGTTCCAGCACCTACAGTCTCTAGGCGATGATCCTTCCTGGAATGTGTCCCTCACCCTCCTCTGTAAAATGGCAGTCTCCCCCTTACACCCTATCCTCTTCTCTTTTATTTTTGTCATATCACATATCGCTATCAAATACATTCTATATTCTATGTGTTTATTTTGTTTATTATCTGTCACATATAACCCATCCCTGGAATATAAACTCTGGAAACGGAGGGATTTTTGTCTGTTTTGTTCACTGCTGCATCAGCAGAACCTAGAATAGCACTTGGAATATTGTAGGTGTTCAAGAAATATTTGTGAAATTTGTGAATGAATGAGAGAGGTCTGAATGGGGTCTGAAATGATAGAAGTTGAGGTTAAAGCGCTACACAAGGGCCCAGCTCCAGAAGGTGTCTTGGTAAGAACTTTGGACCTTATCAGACAATAGAAAACTGTGGGGAAAATATAGATATAATATACACACATACATATAATATAAAAATATACACACATCATAAATACAGCATGAGGTGGGGGGAGGCAGAAAACTGAAAAGTTAAAAAAATTATTTGTGGCCGGGCGAGGTGGTTCACACCTCTAATCCCAGCACTTTGGGAGGCCGAGGCGGGCGGATCATAAGGTCAGGAGATCGAGACCATCCTGGCTAACATGGTGAAATCCTGTCTCTACTGAAAATACAAAACATTAGCCAGGCATGGTGGCAGGTGCCTATAGTCCCAGCTACTCGGGAGGCTGAGGCAGGAGAATGGCGTGAACCCGGGATGTGGAGCTTGCAGTGAGCCGAGATCGTGCCACTGCACTCCAGCCTGGGTGACAGAGCAAGACTCCGTCTCAAAAAAAAAAAACAAAATTATTTACACTGTGAGGATGGAGAAAATGACACGAATTCCACAGACATTGTAGAGCAGCATTGATGCAGCTTAGTAGCTAAATTAATGAGGAAGGTGAAGGAGAACATTGACCCAAAAGTAAATCTGAGTTTCTAGCCTGGGTGTTTGGGCACGTATGGATGCCACTAAATGAAGTTAGAATGTTTTTGACCTCAGAGGAAGCTATAAAAGCCAATGGTGGTGTCTTCCAGGAGGAAAGGCAAACTGGCTGGCTTCCAGACATTATAATTGATCTTATGCTGTGAGTCCATTTTAAAATCTCGCACAAGTGGTGTCCCGCAGCAGATGGTGGACATGCTAGTTATGACCTATCATTCAGTTCCTTAAAGGTTCTGTCTGCATGATGCCAAGACATCTGGATGAAAATGAAGCACCCGGCACATCTTTTGTGTGTTTATGTGACACCATGCGTCTTGAGAGCGACGACATCTTTCGGTTTCTGTCAGGGCGTTTGATGTTTTAGAAATGTTGCCTTGGGCTCATTGATGAGGTTCCACTTACGAAACTTTAAAAATCACTACAAGTGTTAAGCATTTTAATATGGATTTAAATCTAAGCCTGGAAATATGGGGAGATAAAAATAAGCAATTCATACTTAGATTGGAGATACTTGGAACTTATTAGATAATACTGCAAAATTATAGGATAGAGTGCTTTAACATCACAGAGAAATTTAATGAACATAAAAGCAATTCATATACTGCTAAATAGAAGAGAGGAAGAGAAATAAATAACAGCTAAGTAGATGCTGACATAATACTTGCTAACGTTGTATAACATATTAGAGTAAGAATCACAATTATTCAGGCTGAGTTTGTTCTATAAAGGCACCCTAGGACATATGCTTTGAACACAGATAGACTTTACTTGAATACTAAATGTAAGAATATTCTTAGCTTCCTTAAAGAAATACGCTTCCTCTTTTTTATCCTGAGCCATGTGATTCTCTCAGTATAGCTTTCGTTTTCTAACTTTTGATAGAATCCTGAACCTAAGAAATGTTTCACTCTTCTCTTTGTCCCATCACAAGAAAAATTCCAGTGTAATAAAATGGAGAAGCAGGTCCAATGATCAGTGGCAGCTGTCTCTTGGTCCCCATCGCAGCTCATAGTCCTGCTGGTTGTGCTTCCAGGAATGTCAGTACAGGCCTACCAAGAGAAGCTGGAAATGCAGTTTTTCCTACAAAATCTCCCTTTTGAAAAGGTTAACAAGCAAGTACAACATGTTAAAGCTCTGTGTGGGCCAAGAATAGACACAAAAACTAAATACATCTGTGGGCTTCAGTCTAAGTTGGAACCTGTTTTTGAGTTCGTAAAACTTGAGCCTCAAGTCCGTTCTCTCGCTTGACTTCATAATGACCCAGTGACATAGTCAGTCTTATCATCTTCTCTTTCTAATATTGTAGTGATCTCAGAGAGAATGAAAGGCTTACTCGAATTTCATAAATCCAAGTCTTCTCCAATCTAAGCCTCCCAACCCAAATTTTGATCTAGAATTTGAACATAGATGCATCTGGTCACAAAGCCTACACACTACCTCAATTCTAGTGTCCACATTGGAAGCATTTTGCCATCAGGTAGTATTAGGAATCCAATTACTATGCAATGATTACATCCATACTCTAAAAATCATATTGAATGGGGATTGATAAGAGGGAAAGGGAATATAGGCAATGTTGCCTAGGTTTTTCTGTAATTTAAATAAAAGAGAAACAGATTTCATTAATTAAAATATAATAAGGAATCTCACTAGAACCTATTCTTCACTAGTAATTGTTACGGGTTGAATTGTGTCCCCCACAAAAGATGTTTTCAAGTCCTAGCCCCTAGTATGTGGCCTTATTGGAGATAGTGTGGTTGCAGATGCAATTAGTTAAGATGAGGTCATACTGGATTATGGCAGGACTTTCATCCAATATGTCTGCTGTGTGGTACATGAATTATTCCAATAATTGCATAAATGCCTTTAGTTAGGCATTGATTTCACCTTGAGAGAGTGACCTCAGAGTGTGAGTGGCCAGCCTTGTTGATAACTGCTTCCTGGAAGCTCACTCACCACTCCCAAGGTTACGCTTGGAGTACAGGACTTGGTCCCTATCCAAGGATGTCCTGTTTGGTGTTTGGCAGTCACTTGAGTTCAGTTTATAGCCTTGTAATGACAGGAACCAGTGACCTCATGAACTAGCTTGTTCTTCTTTAGTAACCCTACTTATTAGGAAGTTATTTGGTTGAGTAAGAATGTACCTCCTTATTAGTCATTATGATATCTTGCCCTCTGAAGCCACAAAGGCTGAGTTCATTGTCTCTTACATATGACAACTCATATATTAGTTGAAAATAGTTATGCATTTTCATTCATTTTCTCTTCTCGGGGACAAAGTCTTTCTGTATCTTTCCTCATTTCTTGTGCATCAGGGTTTCTGGTTTGTTACAATCCCTTTCAATGTGTAGGATCTGGAACTCAATCCTATTGCCAAATTTGATCAGTGACTCATAATGGACCATCAAATCTTTCTTGTTTTGAATACTATGGGAGAGTTTAAACAGTGTGTTAAGCACTAGGCTAGAGTTTTTGGCCATGAAAAAAAGAATGTACAAAGCTCACCTCTTACTTCCAAAGTGTGATGGACTTGCCTAGAGCCTCTGAAGGAATTGAATGTAAATCAAAAGTCTATCAGTGTATAGACCTTCAGTTCAGTCATTCTCAAAACACGGTTTGTAGACTTCTGTGGAATCTCCAAGATCCTCTCAGAGGATCCATAAGATCAGAACTATCTTCGTAATAATACTAAGACATTATTTGCCCTTTTTTGCTGTGTTTGTCATGGCACTAATGGTGCAAAAGCAATAATGGTGTCAAACTGCTGGCACATTGAACAATGACATGGCACCAAACTGTATTAGTTGTCATAGTATTCCTCGCTACCATGCACTTTTAATGAAGGAAATGCTAATTTTACTTAAGAACGTACTTGGCCAGGCCTGGTGGCTCATGCCTGTAATCCCAGTGCTTTGGGAGGCCGAAGTGGGTGAGTCACCTGAGATCAAAAGTTCAAGACCAGTCTGGCCAACATGGTGAAACCCTGTCTCTACTAAATGCAAAAAATAAATTAGCCAGGCATGGTGTCACATGCCTGTAATCCCAGCTACTTAGGAAGCTGAGCAGGAGAATCACTTGAACCCAGGAGGCAGAGATTGCACCATTACACTCCAGCCTGGGCAACGAGAGTGAAACTCCATCTCAAAAAATAAAATTTACTTAATAAAGCAATAATAATTATTAATTTTATTAAATCAACCCCTTGAGCACACATATCTTTACTATTCTGTGGGACAAAGGGGAAAATACACATAAAGTTCTGTTGCCAACCAAAAATGCACTTGATTGATTCTCAGGGAGAAGTACTTGTATGATTATTCAGGTTGCAAGGTAAACATGCCACTTCTTAAAATGGAACACTATTTTTACTTGAAACAAATGACTCACAAATTATGGTTATTTAGACTTGGATATTTCACAGATAGTTTCTCAAAAATGAGCAAAGTGAGTCAAGCAGATCACTTAGAGCACAACAATGGGCAATATTTGTTGCAAATAATAATATTTGAGGTTTCAAGTAAAAATTAGCATTTTAGGAAACTAATATCTGCCACCATGCGTTTGATAGTTTCCATACATGAAACTTTTCTGATGAGATCACCAGTGATGTTGACTAATAAGATTTTTCAATGTTATGTAATGAAATGTGTCAACATTTAGAATGTTTTTGTAATGTAGCAAACAAATATTTTCCAAATGGCAAATGATGAAACAAAATCACGAATGGATAAAACAGCCATTCAAGGTAGAAAATGTACTGAAGGGTTTGTTGTAAAGAGATTTAGAAAGTTTATTGATATGGTTTCAGATTTTACAAGTTGCTTTACAAAAGTACCACTTGTTCAGCTTTGGTATAAAATTAAAAAAGAATATTCCCAATTATCTGAAAAGGCTATTCATATGAGTGTGAGGCTCAGTTTTTAAAAAACACACCTTAGCGAAAACAGTGTGTTGTACATAACAGAATGCGTGCAGAAGCTGATATCAGAATTCAACTATGTTTCTATTAAGCCAGACACTAAAGAAATTCGCTAATATGAAAAACAATGCCTATCTTCTCAGTACATTTTTTGTTTTGTAAAATACAGTTATTCTTTATGAAATATGTTGCCTATGTTAACATATAATGGGTTCATTATTGCAGCTTTTAAATAAGCTAATATTGTAAAATTTTTTCAGTTTTAATTTCTTTTTTTTTTTTTTGAGATGGAGTTTTGCTCTTGTCGTCCAGGCTGGAATGCAATGGCATGGTCTCGGCTCACTGCAACCTCCACCTCCCAGGTTCAAACAATTCTCCTGCCTATGCCTTCCGAGTAGCTGAGATTACAGGCATCCGCTACCACGTCTGGCTAATTTTCGTAATTTTAGTAGAGATGAGGTTTCACCATGTTGGCCAGGCTGGTCTCAAACTCTTGACCTCAGGTGATTTGCCCACCTCGGCCTCCCAAAGTGCTGGAATTACAGGCATGAGCCACTATGCCTGGCCCGGTTTTAATTTCTAACACAGTAAATATTGGTAGTTATAATCTACATAAACAAGCTCTTTGGCACCCTCAATAATTTTTAAGAGTGTTAAGGGGTACTGAAACCAAAACACTTGAGAACTGCTCATTTTAGGTAACTGAGTTTGCTAGGAAACAGAGAATTTCAGGAATATCTGTAGTGCTTTGTCATTGGTAAGATTACATTTCTTTCTAATCAGTATGCATCTTTCAGTGAAATCAAATGGGTTTCTAATAAATGTTTATTGTAACTACTGTAAAATAATCACAGCTAACACCTAGTGAATATTGACTATGCATCAGTCTCTGTGCAGGACAGAGAGGATACTGCAGCATTCAGACACCATCCCTGCTTGGTGGAGCTTAGAGAAATGGAAAAGACAGACACTCAGTGAGAATCTACTGGGTGGGAGTATGAGTCAGCACTATCTTCAGGATGCTAGAAGGCATCCTAGTTCCTCCATGGTCCAAGGACTGACACTGGAAACCTGAGAAGAGGATGGGTTTAAGATATATTTGGTGGGATTTGGGGACACGACTTGTGATTAATTAGATACAAACATTAAGGAAAAGAGGAAGGATTAAAGGATTACTAAGCTTGGTGGCTTAAGTTCATTCCATCATCAATTCGACAAGTGTTTGTTCAGTACCTACTATGAGCCAGGTATTCTAAGTGTTGAGAGGAGAATGCCAAGCAAGAAAACTCATGTTAGTGAGATGGGCTGGTGAGAGGAGGGGGCAGATCATGAAACAATTGATCAATTGGTCAATAAATTGTTAAGGAATGACTGCCATTGCAAAGCATTAACATAGGCAGATGTAAGAGAGAAGGACGGGGAGGCCACTTTGGATTGGGTTAGGGAAGCTCGTCTGAGGAGATAACATTTAAATTTAATTTTGAACAACAAGAAGCAGCCAACCATGCAAAATAGGAAAAAGAATGTTCCCAGAAGAGGTACTAATTGATGAAACTATTTGAAGCAGAAATGGGCTTGGTGAGATGATAAATCAAGTTGCCATATTTAATGAATAAAAATCAAGGCACCCAGTTAATTTTGAATTTCAGAGAAGCAACATTTTTTAAAAATATAAGTATGTATGATGCACTATTTGGGACATGCTATACTAAGAAAAGAAAACTTTGTTGTTTATCTGAAATACAAATTTAACTAAGAATATGCAGAAAATTCCAAAGAACAAATAAAAGCTCTTAGAACTAATAAGTAATTACATCAAGAGTACAGGATACAAGGCTAATATACAAAAATTAGTTGCTTTTCTATATACTAGCAATGAGCAATTGGAACTTGAAATTTAAAACACATCACCATTTACATTAGCACCAAAAAAGGAAATACTTAGGCGTATGTAAATCTAACAAAATATGTACAAGATCTATATGAGGAAGGCAATAAAATTCTGATTAAACAAATAAAAAATATCTAAATAAATGGAGTGATAGTCCATGTTCCTGGATAGTAAGACTCAACGTTGTTAAGATATAATTTATTTCCCATATGTTCTACAGATTCAATGCAATCTCAATCGTAATCTCAGAAAGTTATTTTGAAAATATTGACAAACTAATTCTGAAGTTTATATGGAGAGGCAAAAGACCCAGAATAGCCAACTCAGTATTGAGGAAGAAAATCAAAGTTGGAGGACTGACATAGCCAAAATTGATTATAAAGCTACATTAATTAAGACAGTGTGGTTTTGGCAAATGAGTAGATTAATAGATCAATAGGACACAATGGAAAGCCCAGAAATAGACCCACATAAATACAGTTAACTGATCTTTGACAAACGAGCAAAGGCAATTCAATGAAAAGAGGATAGTTTTTCAACAAATATTGCTAAAATAATTGGGCATTCACATGCAAAAAGAAAAAACAAAAAACAAATCTAGACAAAGGCCTTGCACTCTTCATAAAAATTAACTCAAAATTGATCATAGGCCTAACTACAAAACCACAGAACCTAAACCATAAAACTATAAAACTTCTAGAAAATAACATATGAGAAAAACTAAGTAACCTTGCATTGGTGATTAAAACTAAAACTTCTTTTCTGTGAAAGATACTGTTAAGAGAATGAAAAGACAAGCCACATACTAGAAGAAAGTGTTTGTAAAACATATATCTAATAAAGAGCTTGTATCCAAAATATACAAAAAAGCCTTAAATTTAACAATAAGAAACCAAACCATTTAATTAAAAATGAGTAAATGATCTAAACAGCCACTCATTAAGGAAGATTTACAGATGGCAAATGGCATATGAAAAGATGCTCAATGTCATGTCATCAGGGAATTGCAAATTAAAACAAACTATATACCTATTAGAATGGTTAAAATCCAAAATACTGACAACAGCAAATGCTGGTGAGGATGTGTAGCAACAGGAACGCTCATTCATTGCTGGTGGGAATACAAAATGGTACAGCCACTTGGCAAGATATTTTGACAATTTTTTACAAAGCTGAACATAGTCTTACCATATGATCTGGCAATCACACTCTTTGCTATTTATCCAAATGAGTTGAAAACTTATGTCCATACGAAAACCTGCTGCTATGGTTTGAATGTTTGTTCCTTCCCAAACTCATGTTGAAATTTAATTGCCATTGTAACAGTATTAACAGGTGAGACCTTTAAGAGGTCATTAGGCCATGAGGGCTCTGCCTTCATGAATGGATTAATGTGGTTATTTTTGGAATGGGTTTGTTATTACAGAAGTGGGTTCTTTATAAAAGGATGAGTTTGCCCCCATTTGTCTCTCTGTCTCTTTCCCTCTCTTTGCCCTTCTGCCATCTGATCTCTTCCACCATATAATGATGCAGCAAGAAGTTCCCTGCAAGATACTGTCACCTTGATATTGGACTTCCCAGCCTCCAGAGCCATGAGCCAATAAACTTGTTTGTTATAAATTACCCAGTCTCAGGTGTTCTGTCACAGCAGCAAAAACAGACTAAGACACCTGCTCATGAATGTTTATAGCAGTTTTATTCATAATTGCCAAAACATGGAAGCAAAAAGATGTCCTTCGATAGGTGAATGGATAAACAAACTGTGGTTTGTTCATACAATGGAATATTATTCAACAACAAGAAATGAGCTGTCAAGCAAGCCACAAAAAGACATAGAGAAACCTTCAAAGCATATTGTTAAGCAAAAGAAGCCAGTTTGGAAAAGCTACATACTGTATGTTTCCAACTACAAGACATTCTGGAAAAGACAAAACTATAGAGACAGTAAAATGTTCAGTGGTTGCCAGGGATTGATGGAGAGTGGGAAGAGAGTTGAATGAGTAGTGTGGGGAATTTTTAGGGCAGTGAAACTATGCTGCATAAATACTGTAATCACCAAAGAAGATAAACAAACAGCTGATAAGCACATGTCATTACACATTTGCCAAAGCTCTTAGAATTGTACAACATAAAGAGTGAATCCTGATGTAAATTATGGACTTGAGTTAATAATATCGTGTCAATATTGGTTCATTGGTTGTAACAAATGTATCACACTAATGCCAAATGCTAACAATAAGAGAAGCTGTATATGGATTGGGGAGGGTAAATAGGAACTGTCTGTACTTTCTGCTCAGTTTTTCTGTAAACCAAATACTGCTGTAAAAATAAAAGTCAATTAACTGAAAAAAAATTTAACGGGAATCCTTATCTGACAACCCCAGGAACAGAGCGGCCAGTGTGGCTGTATCTAGTGGGTGAATGGAAAGTGGAGTGAGTTTAAAGAAGTCGAGACAGGCCACATTATAGGGACGTTGAAAGCCAGAGGAAGGTTTTTATTTCCTCCCATGTGTAATGAAATGCCTCTGAAAAGGTCAGTATTTTAAAAATTCTTTCTGGCTGCTGTAGGGAGGATAGATGGTTCCTACAGTGGAAGTCCAGAGATGTTTACAAGGTTATTGGTTCAGCCCAAGCAAAAGCTAATGTGAGCTAGTTGGTGGCAGAGGAGGTAGAAAGCAGTGGTCAGATCTCCGAAGTGAAGACAGAAGCTACAGTTTTATTTTGGAACTGTGGGTGGAGAGCTAGTAAAAGAGAAGAATCCAGCCAGGTGCAGTGGCTCAGGCCTGTAATCTCAGCACTTTGGGAGGCCTAGACGAATGGATCACCTGAGATCAGGAGTTCCAGACCAGCCTGGCCAACATGATGAAACTCTGTCTTCACAAAAAATACAAAAATGAGCCGGGCATGGTGGCGCCTGTAATCCCAGATACTCGGGAGGCTGAGGCAGGAGAATCACTTGAACCTGGAAGGTGGAGGTTGCATTGAGCTAAGACTGTGCCACTCCACTCCAGCCTGGGCAACAAGAGCAAAACTCTGTCTCCAAAAAAAAAAAAAAGAAAGAAAGAAAGAAAAGAAAAAGAAAAATCCAATACAGCAATGAAAGTTTTGCCTAAGCAATTGGGTGTCTTGTAGTACCATTAACAGATATAATAAATAATAAGTACCAAAAGTAAAGAGTTATTTTTGTCCTTGTTAAATTTGAGATGCCTATTAAACATCTAGGTGGAGATGTCAATTTTACTGAGCTAGGAAATGATATTACTGACTTATATAGCAAACAATGGCAAGGGAGCAGTTTGCACAGGGAAAATTATAAATTGGGTTTTCAACATGTTGAAATTGAGGTGCTTGTGAGAGACCTGAATGGATGTGTTGAGTGGGCAGTTGGGTATCTTAGTGTCTAAAACTACGAATTGAAGTCTGGCCTGGAGATAGATGGCATTTGGTAGTTGCTGGTACGTCAGCCACAGTTTGGAGCTATGGAGTTGAATGAAGTGACCTGTTGAGGAGTATATACGTTGTCATCATTTCTACACCAGAATGGCATGGAGCAGGGGTAAGCATTCTCTCAAGGCTGGCTATTTCTTACCCTAGGCTATAACCCAGGTCTTCTCTCCTTCAGATCCTCAAATTTTAAAAAAGATTTCACTGGGCACTCCCAATTTCTTCTGGAGGATGGAGATGGGGGCAGAGCACATGGTCCATACACTACGTCTATTTTTTTTTTTTTTAGACAGAGTCTGCCTCTGTCACCAGGCTGGAGTGCAGTGGCACGATCTGTGCTCAGTGTAACCTCCACCTCCCGGGTTCCAGCAATTCTCCTGCCTCAGCCTCCTGAGTAGCTGGGATTACAGGCGTGCACCACTACGCCCGGCTAATTTTGTATTTTTAGTAGAGACGGGGTTTCTCCATGTCGGTCAGGCTGATATCGAACTCCTGTCCTCAGGTGATCCACCCGCCTCAGCCTCCCAAGGTGCTGGGATTACAGGCGTGAGCCACCATGCCCAGCCACTACTTCTAATTGTATTCTTCCTCTTCCTTGTCTCTCTCTCCTCCAATCTTAGAACTATTTAACAAGTTAGAGGGGTGGGAAGGGCCCTGTTCTACATAGTCACCATCAGTTTGGGCCAGATCGTCACTGAAATAAAACTTAAAGCTTGCTTTATTTCTAGCAACTACTTTTTCTGGGGAAAGTGCTGCTCTGTGTCACATAGTCCAAGTCAGGTTAGAGTAGGAGACAGACAGAACAAGCTGGTTAAAACCAAAAATATAATTTCATGAATTTGTTTCTTACTGCAGGTCCTGTCTTCTCTATTCTGTACATGAATCTTTTCCGTTTTTTTAAATAGCAATCCAGTTTATGTATCAGTACACTGGCAGAATTTTATTTTTGAGAACCTTCCCATCATTCTTGAAATACTCTCTCCTTTAGTTTCTGAGAGGGAAGTTCTAAGGTAAAGATTCTCTAGGAATGAGATAATAATTGCAGGGAGGTAAAATTTGGTTTTGTAAAATCACTTATGCTTTTATAAAAATCTTAACCTGGACAATTATCTGGGATTAGTGCAGAGCTATTTATTTTCTAATTCCTTTCCTCACCAGAATTATTTAATGTCCATGTTTTGAAACTACTTTTAAATTGAAGTATAACATGAATACAGTAAGGCATCAAATCTTACAAAAGTTTCACATAATTCTATGAATTGGGCAATTCTTACAGGTTAATGAATTTTAAACAACTATGCAACTGTATACCCTAGAATTTAATATATATATATACATATGTATGTATATATATGTGTGTGTATATATATGTGTGTGTGTGTATATATATATGTGTGTGTGTATATATATGTGTGTGTATGTATATATATATATATATAGCCAGGCACAGTGGTGTGCACCTATAGTCTCAGCTACTTGGGAGGCTGAGCTGGGAGGATCATTTGAGCCCAGGAGTTCCAGGTCAGCCTGGACAACATAGTGAGACCCAATCTCTTAAAAAAATCTTTTGTTTTCTTTCCAGAATAGTAGAAATAAAACACGTCACAGAAAACATAGTTATGTTGCTTAATCTCTTTAGATGAGCATTTTTTAACTTTTTGGTGTAAGGACCCCTTTACACTCTAAAAACAAAAATTATTGAGAATCCCTAAGAGATTCTGGCTTTGTTTTTATGAGAGCTAGCAAGCTAGCTAGATATATGAGATATGTATGTATATTAGATGTAAATATGTTATAAATTAAGTCTGAGAATGTTGTGAAACATGAGAATACACAAGTACACATTCCATGAGCTGATAAAACAATGATGTCATGGAAAATTCTACTGCACACTTGTGATTAAAAACAGAAATAATGACAAGTGATGCTGTGTAGTTGAAATGCTCATACATTCTTCCTGGGATTTTAAAATGGTAGTGCTGTGGAAAACAGTTTGACATTTGCTCAAAAAGTGAAACTAGAGTTACCATGTGACCCAGCAATCCCACTTCTAGGTACATAGATGAGAGAATTGAAAATATATGTTCACACAGAAACTTGTACACAAATGTTCATAGCAGCATTAGTTCAAAATAGCCAAAAAAAAAAAAAAAAGAAACAATTCAAATGCCTATCAACTTGGGAATAGATAAATAAAATATGGTGTATGTATAAATGAAATACTATCCAGCCATAAATGGAATATTATTCATGTAGGAATGAAGTACTGATTCATGCTGCAACATAGATAAACTTTGAAAACGTTACCTAAGTGGAACAAAAGCAAGACACAAAAGACCAAGTATTGTATGATTCCTTTTATATGAAATATCCAGAATATGCAATCCACGTAGACAGAAAGTAAACTAGAGGCTTCCAGGGGATGGGGGAAGCAGGGAATGGAAAATGACTGCTCGCAGGTATAGAGGTTCTTTTCAGAATGGTGGAAATGTTCTGGAATCATATAGTGGTGATGATTGTACAACATTGCAAATTTACTAAAAACAACTAACCATACTAAAAACCACTTTAAAATGGTGAATTTCATGTTATATGAATTATATCCCAATTAAACATTACCACATAAAAAGGTATCCTCCAGAAATTATTATTTGGAGCTTTAGAGACAACTTTGTGATCCAGAAAAATAAATGGATAAAGGAGCCTGTACAGCTGATTTTTGTTGAGGAGAAATGCGCAGAGGATTCCTGTTGCCAGACTGAGTGGGCCTCCCAGATAAGCAGAGTCGAACTGAGTTCTTGGGTCACTGCGCTCCCCGGGCGACGGCTGACATGCTCCATGTTTGCAATTGCGATTGTTCAAGCTGAATGAACGCGATGTTGTTGTGGCAAAAGAAAACCCACAAGAAAGTATAGATAGGCCAGTCTAAGGGTGCCTGAGTTAGGGCAGAACTTTTCTCATATGTTCTTGTAAAGCTCAGGCACAAAGAAAACTAGCTAATAGAAAGAAGGAAACAGGCCGGGTGCGGTGGCTCACGCCTGTAATCCCAGCACTTTGGGAGGCTGAGGCAGGAGGACTGCTTAAGGCCAAGAGCTTGAGACCAGCCTGGCAACATGGCGAAACCCCCATCTCTACTAAAAATACAAAAATTAGCCAGGCGTGGTGGCCCACGTCTGTAATCCCAGCTACTCGGGAGGCTGAAACAAGAGAATCACTTGAACCCGGGAAGGCGGAGTTTACAGTGAGCCGAGATCACGCCACTGCACTCCAGCCTGGACAACAGAGTGAGACTGCGTCTCAAAAAAAAAAAAAAAAAAAAAAAAAAAAAAAAACAGAAAAGAAGAGAAAAAAAGAAAGAAACAAACAAAACCAAAACAACACTATTACAATAACAAAAAAAAAAGCACGTGGGTCTCATACATCATCAACAAATTATTTATGCATGGAGTGCCTTTTCTCTGGTCATTCATGGAGGTTTAGGATAGATGACCCAATTAAACCAGCCCTCATTTGAATTCACTCCCAAAAGAAGAACGTAATGGTAAGAGAATCAAGTTTAACGGCAAAAAGATGACATTTTCAAAAACATATGAGCCAATTAAAAGCTCATTATCCAGAAACCCATCTGATGGTGTCAGATGGTTTAAGTGTTAGGAGAAAATGTCTGATGAACCTTTCTTGAAGCTGCTCCCAGATCTACTGCTGGAGGAAGAACCCCGATTGAGACAGGGAAGCAGTGGCAAACTCAGGCTGCAGGTGGAAGCTCAAAGGGGAAAATGAGACAGACCTGTCACAGAGTCAAGGAACTTTCAGAAATATGGCTCTCCACACACCAAGCAATGGGATACAGTCATTGGCCATTGAAAGTGGAGCGGTAGCTTCAGGTGTCACCTTCTTTGGGGAACGTGGCATTTTCAAGGGACCCTGAGCATGAGGGAACCTCATCTGGATTTTCAAGTCATGACTCAGATGGTCCCATAGGGGCAGAAGGAATGAGGGTGTCCCAAACAGACTGGCATGTAGAAATTCTATGTGGTATGCAAGATTTGGGAAGTACATTACGGCTTGTGTATCATGTAAGCTGGCTATACTAGAGTGCTGAACTTATACTAGAGCAATAGTACTCAGAAGAAAATAGTAATTTGAAAGACATTTGAATATAATTACTGCATATTGTAAACTATATATAGAGTTACATATTTCACTCACTCTCAGGAGAAAAGAAATGGGATTTTTCTAAGAGACAAGAAATTATACATCCTTTTCATTAGTTTTCTCATGTGCTAGCTTTATGCAAAATGAAATTTAGGTACAAAGGGCAGTAAGCAGTAACAAATATGAAACACCCATCTGGAGTGGTATGTGAATAGTTACTAAGGAAAGGTTTCCAAGAAAGGAACCATAAATGCTTTCACCAAAGCCAGATAATTAGAAGTGTTAAAGAAACAGTGTAGGTTTTTTTTTTAAGTCCTAGTTATGGTAAATTACATCTAATTACATTTTTAATTGCCAATTTCTACCCAGATCCTTGAAATCTTTCAGGAAAATGAATTTAAACCATAATTCTTAGTAGGAAATTTGAGGATAAATAAACTTTTTAATACATTAGATTGTTGCACAGTTTCTCAAAATAAGTTATAATCTTAACATGAACACATATTTACACGCACTACTCTTTTCATAATTCATGGAATTCATTTTCTCTTTACAGTTATACTAAAAAGATTCTACATATCTTCTTTCTGTGTTAGTAGATTTAGAGAAGGTAAATCTAATTACTATAATTGTATATAGACTTGCAAAGACTGGCCCACATCATAGAGAGACAGCATGCATTATCCCAGAATATCTGAGACATATCTGGCAACCATTATAGCACCCACTGAGTTGTCTTCGAGTTAGGGCATGATTGTGTGAATACGCAAATAAAGCACAGAAGGGAAAAAGTAACCTTTGGGAAAGTGGCTCAGAGCAGCGTAAGTGAGTAGATGAAGGGCCCAGTTCCTTGCCTTGCCTCCCAAGCTGTGGCAGCCCACAGCAAGATTCCAACCCTGTATCTGAAACTCATGGGGTCAAGTGTATTTCAAACTCCCAGGGGTTTTGGACTTCACGAAGATGATTTAAGAGACTCTGCCCTCTTCTTCCTGCAGAGAGGGAAATCCCTTCCTAGGCTGTCGGTGGAAAATCCTCTCCAGCGTCTTCTTTGTCCTCTGTCGCCCCCACAACCCTTCACAATAGAGCATGGGCAAGAGACAGCAGCGCCAAACAGGAGGCCGCTACCTCTATGTGGTGCCCCCAACAGTGTGCCCTGTACGAGGTGGATTTGACGTTTAGTCAAATTAATAGATTCTTGTTAGGAACACACCCAAGAGAAGGAGTGTAATTACTGTGGGATTTGGTGAATCATGGTGAATATGTCAGTAACCAAGTAATTACCCTGGGGAATCTTTTCCTCTATCATCCACCTTTACCTAAATTATATGTTAGCATCTAAGTAGTCCTCCGTAATCTGATGATTTAAAATTGTTTAATTTCCTAGTGTATTTAAATGGGCGAGGTATCCCTGTCTTTTCTCCTTCTCTATTCTCTTTCTCATCCCACTGAACTTTGTGCCCCCAAATCAAGTTAAATGAACTTAAAAGTATGAACAAGGCCGGGCACAGTGGCTCACGCCTGTAAACCCAGCACTTTGGGAGGCCAAGGCGGGTGGATCACCTGAGGTCAGAAGTTCAAGATCAGCCTGGGCAACATGGTGAAACCCTGTCTATACTAAAATGCAAAAATTAGCCGGGCATGGTGGTGCATGCCTGTAATTCCAGCTACTTAGGAGGCTGAGGCAGGAGAATTGCTTGAGCCTGGGAGGCGGAAGTTGCAGTGAGCCGAGATAGCGCCACTACTCTCCTGCCTGCGTGACAGATATAGACTCCATCTCTTAAAAAAAAAGTATGAACAAATTCTGAAAAGCTTTATTTTGGGTACTGAAATAACTAACACCTTGTCTTAAGCATAGTAAACGTAGTCAAAATGAAGTAAGACCATCTTTTTGGCTATGGACCAATTTTTTAGGTAGGACTGGCAGAAATGACAGTTTGGGAACTGAATATGCCATTTTCTTTGTCCCCATACCCATGAAATGAAGGAAAATGATGACTGGTACTTAGTTGGAAGTACTAAGGGTGTATCAGAAAGGATTTACTGGGCGGGTGCAGTGGCTCATGCCTGTAATTCCAACACTTTGGGAGGCCAGGCAGGAAGATCGCTTGAAGGCAGGAGTTTGAGACCAGCCTGCACAACAGAGGGAGATCCTGTCTCTATATTAAAAAAAAAAAAAAAAAAAGAGAGAGGAAAAGAAAAGAAAAAGAAAGGTTTTACTAAGGCTGTGTGGACCAGTGCCATTCTATAGAAATATAATGTGAGTCATATTTATCATTTAAAAGTTTTTAACAGCTACATTTACAAAAGTAAAAAGAAACAAGTAAAATTAATTTTAATAATATATTTTAAACCAATATATCCAAAACATTAAGATCCCAAAATATAATTAATGTAAAAATTAATATTTTACATATTCATTTTTTATACAAAGACTTCGAAATCTAATGTGTATTTTACACTTAGAGATAATCTCAATTTGTACTAGGCCCATTCCATGTGCTCAATAGCTACGTATAGCTATTAGCTACCTTATTGGAAGGTTCATGAAATGTGAATGTTTAGAAAGCAGAGCTGGTGCCCAAATCCTCAGCAATCTGTGATTCTTCTGGAAAAAGAATGGCCTCTACTTTGAAATTTCTTTCATATTTACTCTACTATATATTATAAACTGAAATAAAGACCATCCGTTAGTAAAAATAATTTTATTTTTAGTACTTCCTGTAAATCAGTAAAATACACTAGATTTGTGCTGAGAATTGTACATCATTCCTTAGTTAAATAGGAGTCACAATTTGAATCCAAAATTTGAGGAAACTAAAAACAGACACATAGACCAATAGAACACAATAGAGAACCAAGAAACAAATCCACACACCTACAATGAACTCAGTTTTGACAGATGCCAAGAACATGCACTGGGGAAAAGACAGTCTGTTCAATAAATGATGCTGGGAAAGCTGGATATCCATGTGCAAAAGAATGAAACTAGACCCCTAGGTCTCACCATATACAAAAATCAAATCAAAATGGATTAAAGATGTAAATCTAAGACCTCAAACTATGAAACTACTACAACAAACCATCAGGAAACATCTCCAGGTCATTGGTCTGGACAAAGACTTCTTGAGCAATACTCCACAAGCACAAGGAACCAAGGCAAGTGGGATCACATCAAGTATCCAGCAAAGGATACAGTTAACAAAGTGAAGAGACAACCCACAGAATGGGAGAAAATGTTTGCAAACTACCCATCTGACAAGGAATTAATAACCAGAATACATACAGAGCTCAAACAACGCTATAGGAAAAAATCTAATAATTCAATTTACAAATGGGCAAAAGATAATGAATAGACATTTCTCAAAATTAGAAATACAAATGGCAAACAGGCATATGAAATGGTGCTCAACATCACTGAGATCATCAGAGAAATGCAAATCAAAACTACAGTGAGATATCATCTCATCCCAGTTAAAATGGCTTACTATAAAAGACAGGCAATAAGAAATGCTGACAAGAATGTGGAAAAAAGGGAACCTTGTACACTGTAAGTGGGAATGTAAATTAGTACAGCCACTATGGAGAGCAGTTTGGAGTTTCCTCAAAAAACTAAAAATTGAGCTTCCATATGGTCCAGCAACCCCACTGCTGGGTATATACCCAAAAGAAAGGAAATCGGTATATAGAAGAGATGTCTGCACTCCTATATTTGTTGCAACACTGTTAACAATAGCTAAGATTTGGAAGCAACCTAAGTGACCATCGACAGATGAATGGATAAAGAAAACGTGGTATGTATACACAATGGAGTACTACTCAGCCATGAAAAAGAATAGGATCCAGTCATTTGCAACAACATGGATGGAACTGGAGATCATTATGTTAAGTGAAATAAGTCAGGCACAGAAAGACAAACATTGTATGTTCTCACTTATTTGTGGGATCTAAAAATCAAATCAATTGAACTCATGGACATAGAGAGTAGTGGGATGGTTACCAGAGGCTGGGAAGGGTACTGGAGAGTTGGGCGGGGGAAGGTGGGGATGGTTAATGGGTACAAAAAAATAAAAAGAATAAATGAGATGATTTGCAAGAACAATAGCGTGACTATAGTCAATAATAACTTAATTGTATATTTTAAAATAAAGAATATAATTGAATTGTTTGTAATTCAAAGGATAGATGCTTAAGAAAATGGATACCCCACTCTCCACAATGTGCTTATTTCACATTGTATGCCTGTATCAAAACATCTCATGTACCCATAAATATATATGCCTACTATGTACCCACAAAAATTTTAAAAAATATAATTAAAAATTGAAAAACAAACAAGAAAATGGGAGAAAACTGCAATAAGAAAGGGTCTGCCCATCTATCTTTTTGAAAAAACATTTGCAGAATCGTATATATTCTGTTGAATTTAACCCTGAAATCCTGTTAGTAGCAACTTAAATTGCTCTAACGAAAGCACAATGCATGAAAAGAGATGCTAGGAAGTGAATGTTGAAATGATTCAAAAATAGACTTTAAGCTTGTTAAGGCAATTAGACTGCTTCCCTGCTGAAACCAGGGAATTTACATTTTACAGTCTTGTTTTTCAGCAATCATTCTGCGTCTAGAATTACTCAACTAGAAAATGAGAATAATAATAACAACAGCTGGCACTTATTATAGGCATTGTTCTCAGTGTATTACATTTATTGATTTGTTTAATCCTCACAATAACCATGTGAAGAAGACATTGTATTTTATTCCCACTTTAAGAAACTGAGACCAAAAAGGTACAGTAACTCACCCAAGATCACACAGGGAGGTATAAATGCATTCGAATTCAAACACATGTTAATAACCATTTCACTCTGACGTTTCACCCATTAGCTTTCCAGGATAAGGTCAAAAAATATAATACAATGATATTTGATTATTTTAAATAGAAAGCATAGTATAATACATTGTTAATATTAAAAATAATTCTTGGCTGGGCCTGGTGGTTCATGCTTCTAATCCCAACACTTTGGGAAGCTGAGGCGGGTGGATCACCTGAGGCCAGTAGTTCGAGACCATCCTGGTCAACATGGTGAAACCCTGTCTCTACTAAAAATAGAAAAATTAGCCAGGCGTGGTGGCAGATGCCTGTGATCCCAGCTACTAGGGAGCCTAAGGCAGGAGAATCGCTTGAATCTGGGAGGCAGAGATTACAGTGAGCCGAGATTGTGCCATTGCACTCCAGCCTGGGTAACAGAGTGAGACTCCATCTCAAACAACAACAACAACAAAAATCTCTTAGAGGCTGGGAATGTTGGCTCACGCCTGTAATTCTAGCACTTTGGGAGGTCGAGGCGGGCAGATCACTTTGAGCTCAGAAGTTTGAAACCAGCTTGGGCAACATTGTGAAACCCCATCTCTACTGAAAATACAAAACTTAGCTGGGCATGGTGGTGCATGTGTGTAATCCCAGCTACTCGGGAGGCTGAGGCTGGAGAATCGTTTGAACCTGGGAGGCGGAGGTTGCAGTCAGCCAAGATCCCACCACTGCATTCCAGTCTGGGCGATGGAGCAACACACCATCTCAAAAAAACAAAATAAAAAAAAAAATAACTGTTCGAGAACATGACTCTTATCAAAGAAAATCCAATTTTGTTTTATGTTTAAATTATATGTAATGTGTCTCATGTTGTACCAAGACAGCTAAAATTTAAACTTATTCATTCATATATTCTGCTCAAATGTCACCTGTCAAATGAGGTTTTCCCTGGTCACTTAAAGTAAAATAGTAATAGTCTTGCCCAGCTCTTGGTAAACTCAATCTTCCTTACATATTTCATATATTAAATGTGCTTACATATTTTTGTTGTATCTTTTTCCTTCCACTATAATGTAAGCTCCACATAGGTGAAATATTTTTCTCTTTTGTTCGTTGCTGTATCCCAGTATTTACAAAACAATGTTTAGATATTTTACTATTTATTTATAATAAATTTATTACTATTTACTTATAAATCCTCAAGAAATATTTATTAATTTAATGGTGAAATTTTATATTTATTCATTTATTTATGCCAAAACAATATACGTAGCAATTATGTGCATGGGCTTTGGAACAAGACAGATTTGGGTTAAAGTCATAACAGCCATTTACCATTTGTAAAATAAACAAATCACATTAATTATATTGACCTTGTAAGATTGTTGGGAAGATTAAAACTGGCATAGGGTCTGGCATAAGGCTATGCCCCATGAATGTTATTGCTATTATTTTTATACATTTTTAAAATTACTTATTCATTTGTTAAATAAGTACAGTATCAAACACCATGTTAATTGCTTAAGAAGTTTAGAAATGTAAAAAAAATCTCCTTTGATACAAATTACATCTTTTAATATACTGCAGGACTCAGGAGAGGTAAAGGAAATCTTCAAGGACTTTCTTACCCCCACAGCTTCTAGTCCCCACTTCTGTCTCCCAACTATAAAGTAAGTAAAAACAGAAACGGGAGCTGGGAACAGTCAGCAATGGGACATGAGTGTTTACCTGAGAGCAAAGGCCGTTGCAATAAGGAGCTCAAGCGTCAGGCCAGCAGCAGGTGGGTGAGTTAAACCTGCTATTCTGGTGCAAACCAGAGAACTCCAAAGAGGACTTTAAAAGCGCCCGTTTCAGTAGCAGCAAAAACAGGCACAAGTTCTCTTTTTAGAAATCGGCATCATTTGCATGGATTAATATCAAGCAAATATGAGTTCACAATCAAAGATCAGCAAAAAACACAAAGAAACAAGTCAGATTGATGAATAAGAAGGAAGTAAACAGACTTAGACCCCAAGGTGTTCAGATTTTAAAAATTATTAAAGGACATAAAATAATTAAGTGGGAAGTATTTGTAGAAATAAAGAATGGTATCATAAACAACTTGATCAAAAAACCAAATGATAGGTAGATTTACAAAAGAGCCTAATGGAACTTTCAAAAATGAAAAAATACAGCCAGGCACAGTGGATTATGCCTGTAACCTCAGCACTTTGGGAGGCCGAGGCGGGCAGATCCCTTGAGGCCAGGAGTTCAAGACCAGCCTGAGCAACATGGGAAGACCCTCATCTCTACAAAAAATACAAAAATTAGCCAGGCATAGTGGCTTACACCTGTAGTCCCAGCTATCCAGGAGGCTGAGGTGAGAGGATTGCTTGAGTCTGGGAGGCTGAGGCTGCAGTGAGCCACGATCATGCCACTGCACTTCAGCCTGGGTGACAGAGGAAGACCCTGTCTCAAACAAACAAACAAAAACCCAAACTAAAACAACAACCAAAAACAAGGAAGAGAGAAAGGGAGAAAGAGAGAGAGGGGGGGAGGGAGGGAGGGAGGGAAGGAAGGAAGGAAGGAAGGAAGGAAGGAAGGAAGGAAGGAGGGAAAAAAGGGAAGGAGGGAAGGAAGGAAGGAAAAAAGGGAGGGAGGGAGGGAGGGATTGGATAAGCACAGAGTAGAAAAAAAGTGAGAAATATAATTGTTAAAATAAAAACTCAATGAACAGATTCAATAGTGAATTAATGGCAACTGAAGAGAGACTACATCAGCCTAGACACAGGAAATATGTGGAAGGAATATGGAGGATGGAATGATGACTTCTACCATACATATTATCAATCAGAGCCACAGAGGTAGAGAATAGAAAGAACGGAAGAGAGGTGGTGACTGAAAAGCAAAATGGGTTTCTGATGAAAAACGTATATGTACAGAAACTTAGCAAACAAGATCAATAAAAATACAACTGTACCTAGATAAGCCCTAGTGAAATTGCAAAATATTAAAAGCAAAGAGAAGATCTTAAAAGCAGCCAAAGAAAAAAGGTGGCCCACTTACAGAGGTGTGACAATGAAACATGGAAGACATGTCAACACACACAGAAAGGAAGCCAGAATGATGTGTACCTGTTATGCATCAATAAGATATTATAAAATAAAAGACAAAGTCAGATATTGTGGAACAATATCATCAACAGCTGAATGAAAACCCAGAAAAAACTGTTTCAAGAATGAGAGCAAAACAACAACCGTTTTAGATACTGAAAGGCTGGGGAAGTTGCCACCAGCAGACCTTTACTGAAGAAACTTCTGAAGACTCTACTTCAAGATAAAGGGAAATGATTTCAGAAGGATTGTATGATACACAAGAAGGAATGGTGAGCAAATATATTAGAAAATATGTAGTTTATTGGCCAAGCCATGGTGGCTCATGCCTGTAAATCCCAGCAGTTTAGGAGGCAAAGGTAGCAGAATTGCTTGAGCCCAGGAGTTCAAAACCAGTGTGGGCAATGTAGTGAGACCCCATCTCTACAGAATTTAAAAAATTAGCCAGGTTTGGTGATTCATGCCTGTAGTTCTAGCTACTCAGGAGGCTGAGGCTGGAGGACTGTTTCAGCCCGGGAGTTGGAGGCTGAAGTTGCAGTGAGCAACCGCAGCTGCAAGACCCTCCACCACTGCCCTCTAACCTGGGCAACAGAGTGAGACCTCATCTCTTAAAAAAACAAAAAAGAAAGCATGTTGTTTATAATAAAAATTATGATGTCTAATTGTGGAATAAGGTATTCCAAGGTTATTTTAGTTTGAGAAAAAGACTAAGATATTGATTACACTTGGGCTTTTTTAACTTAAATTTCAAGGAAAGTGACAGAAGAATAACAATAGAATATTTAGCTTCCAAACCAAAAGAAAAAAAAAGAAGCCAGGGGATAAAAATAAATAAATAAAAACCTTGTTAAATTTTTTTTAAATGCAAGGAAGATGACAAAAGAGGCGCGGAAAAAGTAGGACAAATGAAAATAATCAGTTAATGTGTTATAAACAAGTCTAACTATATCAATAAGCACAATGAATGTAAATTATATCATTTTACAAGTTAAAAGCAAAGTAAACCATGAGAGAGGGAGATTGTCACCACTGAGGAAACAATTCCAGCTATACGCTATTTATGAGACACACCTAAAACATAACATCAAAAGGTCGAAATAAAAGCATAGAAAAAGGTAAAATGGAAAAATGTTAATTTAAAGCAAAATCATATTAAATAACTCTTTGAGTGAAGAAAACTGCCCCCAATCCTACCAGAATTACTTTCATTTTAATAAATTCTTTTGTTGCAAGCTTCCATATTTTTGTATTACTGTATTTGTGATATACATTTAATTTTAAGTTTTTTCTTTTAAAATATATTCTTTTAAATATAATATAATTATTTAAAATATAATCATTTCCCAAATTTTTAGGTAGTTTTTTTTTTTTAATTTGAGGTAATGTCTCACTTTCTTGCTTTGTTGCCCAAGTTGGAGTGCAGTGGTACAATCATAGCTCACTGCAGCCTCAACCTCCTGGGCTCAAGCAGTCGTCCCACCTCAGCTTCCCAAGTAACTGAGCCCGTAGGCGCACACTACCATGCCTGGCTGATTTTTGTATTTTTTGTAGAGATGGGCTCTTGCTGTGTTGCCCAGGCTGGTTTCGAACTCCTGGCTTCAAGTGATCCTCCAGCCTCAGCCTCCTGAGTAGCTGAAACCATAGGGACATGTCACCATCCCTGGCTAGTAGTTTGCATCATTTCATAATAGATACTTAGATAATGATTGTTAAATGTTCCTGACCTTTTTATAATTCAATTATATTTCCTGTGGGCACTGTGGCTCATGCCTGTAATCCCAACAGTTTGGGAGGCTGAGGCAGGAGGATTGCTTGAGGCCAAGAGTTCGAGGACCAGCCTTGGCAACATAGCAAGACCCTGTTTCTAGTAAAAAAATTTTAATTAGCCAGGTGTGGTAGTTCATGCTTGTAGTCCCAGCTACTCGAGAGGCTGAGGCAGGAGGATTGCTTGAGCCCAGAAGCTTGAGGTTGTAGTGAACGATGATCATGCCACTGTACTCCAGACTTGGCCACAGAGTAAGACCTTATCTCTAAAAATTTTTTTTAATTAAAAAAAGGTATATTTCCTACCTGACCATTTCAGTAATTAATTTATTAAGTTTATTACCTACTATGTGAAATAAAAAATTCATTTTGTCTTAAGCTCTCAATCATTAAACTTCAGAGTCCACTTGTCATCTGAATACCTGTAGATTTAGGGACTACCCATATTCAGCTTACACATGCCATTCAGATTTGATAGATTTTGAACATGATACTGTTTGGACATCTTGCAGGCTGAAGTGTTCTTCCCTTTTAGCGTGTCTTCACTTAGCTCCACCCATCTGGCTGATCATTTTGTCTGATCATTTTCTTGTTCCTTTTGAAGAGGGTAGAAAGAAAACAGCTGCTCTGTTGGGTAGGACTTAGATTTGGGGGTACAAGACCTTTGAACAAAGCCTCAAGATGGGGCACAAGACTGAAGTGGAGGTGCTCAAAAATATGAAGAGACAACACCATCAACAACAATGATAATAAATGATATTGACATTGGACTTACTATATGCCCTGTGCTATTTAATCACATTATATAACAGTGCTTAATTATGAGTCCATAAAGACCTTGAATACCTGTTCTTCTCTTTCTCTTCGATCCCTTTGTTTCAAAAGAAATCAGAGACAAATGATAGGAATTCAGGCACATTGCCTGTGTGCAGAAGCTGTAAAGCTGGCATCAGTACTCCCATTCATCTGCTTCTCTTCTGGGTCAAGAGGGTGTAATGACAGTATAGATTATTAAACAAAGGCGAGTTAACTTAGGGGCAGGAGGCCAAAAAAACTTTTTAAAAATTCCAAATAAACAAACCATAAAGGTCAGCGCTAATGAGCAGAGAACGGGCTTGTAACTAACATTCTCCAAGGCTCTGAGGAACTTAATAAAATTGGATTATGTTTCAATGATTGGCATCAGAGCAAAGCTAAATAATAATAATCATACAGTTAGCACAGTACATACAAATTATTTTTGTACATAATTACAGATTTATGCCAACTAATGAACCAGATGAACTCCTCACTCGTCTCTGACTGCAAACTTTTGTTTCCCTTTTGGGAGTTCAAAAAAAGTCAGTGTGTCAGCAATTCATCTTTTTCTGCCCATTGGATCATCATGCAGAAATTAAATGAGGTGCCTAATTGTGAATTTAAATATCAACATTCTGTTGAACTATAGGACGATGTACTAAAATGTTTAGTTTGCATTGCATTTCAACACATTTGTGTCATTCTGAGTTTGTTAATTTTGGATTGTGAAAAATGAAAGTTTTGCATAAATCTAAGTTGTACTAAGGGCCCTGTGCCAATATATTTTTCATATTGTTTTGCAGAAGGATACGCATCAATCTGTTCGATCTCGTCTCTTAAAATCTTCTTTATAGGCTGCAGAAAGCAATTACCTCTTTAATCTCAAACATATAGCCATTGTATTAATCTTTTGAACAGCTCCCAGAAAGTGTAGTAGTTTGATCTGGCAAGCTAAGCATTTGACACCAGTATTATCCTGATGCATTAAAACCAAACCAAACCGTAACAAAGCAAAAAAGCAAGGCTCTTGTTGCCAATCAGTTGGTTAGTCTGTGCTAGAGTCACTCCTAGGCCCTTGCTCTTGCCTCCTGACAAATGGTCCATATCTGAGAATAGAGACTAGTTAGACCCAGAGCTGTAGCCCTCAGCCATGGACTTGAGTCTATGTGAGTTGTCCTATGCCAACTGATAACAGCAAGATTTCTTATTACAATTTAAGCAAAGTGAGTGTGCAACACGATATTAAATATTATATATGTAAACAACCTGTAGTGTGTGCTGAATGTCGGCTCACTTATGTAATAGCTTATCTGAAAACTGTCTCTTTATGTGGTGAATGTCCCTCACTACCCTTCTAACTATCATCACCATCCTCCCAGTCTAGTCTCAGCCCTCATCATGCAGACTTAGGTCACTGTAACTCTTCCCTCATTTTCTTGCCTTCAGTTTCATCCCATTTCAACTGCTCTCCACGGTAAAATTAATCTTCCTATAATAATGCAACTATCATGTCATACTCGACTAAACAACCTAGAGTGGCACTCAGTTGCGTATAGAATCAGGCTCAAGCTCCTCGATCTAGTTTTATCATCGAGCTTCTCTTTCTTCCTTCCTTCTTCCCCTCCTTTCTTCTTCTCTCCCTCTCTCTCCTCTCTTCTTCCTTTAACTTTTTATTAAATTATAACACATTAAAGAAAAAATGTACATAGAATAAATGTACAACAGCTTAATGAATTTGCAAAAAGTGAACATACGCAAGTAACACCCTGATCAAGAAAGAGAAACTTACTACCACTCCAGGAATTCTTTCTTTCTTCTGCCACCCATCCATCCTCAAGGAAACCACTAACCTGACTTCTAAGAGCAGAAGTTAATTTGATCAGGCTTAACTTTGAATAAACTTCTTCTACGTGCAGCACTCAGGAGAAGGCTCTGATGTGGGGGACATGATGCCTCAGGCCCTCCAAACCTTGCAGCCTACAGCGGCAAGTCTAATTCAAGGTCATGCAACTGATGGATCTGAGTGTCCTGAGATCTCATCTGCTGTACTCAGAATTTACTCAGGAACTGCCAGCTGGAGGTATCAGGGTGACAGCTGATGAGCACTGGGCACGGGGAGACTGGCAGTGGGTAGGGTTTGATGACGATGATCTGAAACTAATATCACAGACTTCACCTCCCTCCCATCTTCCACAGTTCTGCTCCTTAGTCATTTCTTCAGCTTCCTACTCACTGCATTTTGACAAAAGGCACCTGCAGCTGTGGCATTCAACCCTAAAGTCCCCCTGTTAATACTTAGGGTCTTTTGGATGCCAACTGGAATGTCCCCCACCATGGGAGGGCTTCTGATGCTGCTCTACCCTAAAGAGCATTCTTTCTGTGTTCCAGGAGCAGAGCTGAGAAAATACTTTTTATCTGTGATTCTTTTTAATAGCAATTAAATGAATGCTATTATTATAAAGTTATTATGATGACTTTATATAACAAGGTGTCTTATTCTAAAGTGGAGAATTTTCTGAAGCATTTGTATTGAAAATGTAATATAAAAATAGTGAGCTAGTGATTGAAGAAAGGTCAGGGGCCATTACTCATCGTCTCAACCTAACTCTACAACGACTTTAATTTTTGCATATTGTCTCCCAGGTTGCGTCCATATGGACTCCAATTTTTGTACACTATGGTTATTGTAGAGTTCATATCAGAAGACTATTTTTAAATGGCCTTGTTTATGCAAGCTCTTTGCAAAGGGAAAATGTTACTATGGATTCATAGAATCTTGCCTTTCTTTTCTGCAAGTTGTCACCTTAGTGGCAGACTCTCATTCTGTTCCTTCAGGGGAGATGCACAGCTGAGGCTAAAACAAATGGCAAAGATACCCATACATGAAGTAGCCTGAATTCTTACTTCCTCTGTCAGTTGCTTTTTAAGTAAATACAAAGAAATCACCTTAACCTTGTTGTACTTCAGAATCTCCAGGAGTAATGTATGAAGTTAGTCCTGGAGATTCTAAAGTATAACAAGGTTGAGGTGATTAACCTACTGATATAGTCTGGGTGTGTGTCCCCGCCCAAATCTCCAATCGAAATATTATCCCTAATGTTGGAGGTGGGGCCTGGTGGGGAGTGACTGGATCCCGGGGCATATTTCTCACGAATGGTTTAGCGCCACTTCCCTTGGTGCTGTTCTCAGGATAGTGAGTCTTTGTGAGATCTGGTCGTTTAAAAATGTGTGGCACTTCCCCCTGCCTGGCTCCTGCTTTCCCTGTGTGAGGTGCCTGCTCCCGCTTCATCTTCCAACATAATTGTAAGTCTCCTGCGGCCTCCCCAGAAGCCAAGCAGAAGCCACTATGCTTCCCATACAGCCCACAGAACCATGAGCCAATCAAACCTCTTTTCTTTATATATTACCCAGTCTCAGTTATTTCTTTAGAGCAATGCAAGGATGGACTAACACATTTGCTTATCTCAGAAGATAGTCCGTTAATTCAATAAACTTATTTGAGCATCTACCACATATGCACAAGGCTCCTTGCTAGGGACTGGAAAGCAACTGAGCCAGAAACTGCAACTCTTGTAAGGCACTATCTGTGGACAGGTGAGGGCTCTGGTACAGATGAGTGACGTTCACTCAGGAGAAGACTACAGTCAGGCCTTGGATCTGGGTTCTGGTTTTGTACAGTCCCTGCTTCTTTTCCCTCACCCTAGAACTTTCTAAGAATGGGCTTCTATGGCCTCCTGGATGGCCCCTGGCGTCTGAACATTCCAAGCTCAGATCCCTTCTGCCGATTTCCTGTAGTCTTCTCAGATTCCCCGCAAACAGCTTCTACCCACACCCTATTTAGCCTTCCTTCACCAAAGCCTCATTCTCTGTCTCTTTCCTAATCAGGAATTCAGGGGTCTCTCAAACAACAGCCCCCTGCTTTGAGGCCGAGGCAGGAGGATCACGTAAGCCCAGGAGTTCAAGGCTGTGAGCTGTGATTGCACCACAGCACTCCAGCCTGAGCAATAGAGCAAGACCCGAAAGAAAGAAGGAAAGAAAGAAAGAAAGAAAGAGAGAGAGAGAGAGAGAAGGAAAGAAAGAAAGAAAGAAAGAAAGAAAGAAAGAAAGAAAGAGGAAGGAAGGAAGGAAAAGAGAAAGAAAGAAGAAAGGAAGAAAGAAAGAAAGAAAGAAAGAAAGAAAGAAAGAAAGAAGAAAGAAAAGAAAGAAAGAAGGAAAGAAGGAAGGAAAAGGAAGAAAGAAAGAAAGAAAGAAAGAAAGAAAGAAAGAAAGAAAGAAAGAAGAAAGAAAGAAAAGAAAGAAAGAAGGAAAGAAGGAAGGAAAAGGAAGGAAGAAAGAAAGAAAGAAAGAAAGAAAGAAAGAAAGAAAGAAAGAAAGAAAGAAAGAAAGAAAGAAAGAGAAAGAAAAGAAAGACAAAAATTAGAGCCCAAACCCTTGGCAATACAACACAAATCCTGTTTAGCCTTCCTGGAAGGGAGGTTTGGGGGTCCTTAGAACTACAGGGACCTCCCTTCAGCATATACCTCCTGCCTCAAAAATGCACATAAAAAAAGTTTTCTGAAGAGGGAAAAAAATGTCTTAAAACATCCCATTTTGAATTGCATATCCCACTCCACTTACATAAATTCAGAAGCGGGAGCAGTGGTCTCTTGATTGAAAGGATCTTGCAGGATGTTGCAGAAAGAGTGACATTCATGTCAGGCATTAAAGACAGATGAGACTAAGTTAGGTATCACTAGCAGGTAAGAGCATCTTACATGGAGGAGCACTGGGGGCCAAGCTCAGAAAGGGGAAAATCTAGAATGTGTTGGAGGTCTGCGAGGCCACGGATCCAGCAGGAAGACGTTCATGCAGGGTGTCCCAGGGGAGCTGCCACCCTGGGCCACATGGGCAGGACTGTGGTCCCAGACCACCAGAACCAAGACTCCTGTAAGAGGCCATCAAGCCAAATCTCACTGTACAAATCTCCGTTTGCCTCAACCATGGAAGAGGTCCCAGCATCCCATCATCCACTGTCAACAGAGCTCTCACTCTCACACATCTCTGTTTACTCCTCTTCGACCAAGTTCTCCTTCTCTTCCACCATAAAATGTTTCCATCTCACAGCCTCCCCTTGTAACATTCTCTTCATCTCCATTCTGAAATGCGGTGGTTTTCTGAAACCACTTCTCCCATGGCCACCAAAGGCTGTTTTATTTCCCATACTCCAAGTAACCATGTAAGGTGGGTGTTTTCCTTCCTTTCCTCTGTCACCACCAGACCATTGTCCCCCTTTTCCTGCAGAAACTTTGCCCTTTTGGGTTTGTGTGACTTGGATACACCGTCTCCTTTGTTCCCACCGTCTCCCCACCACTCCTCTTTATTCACTGAAGATTTTAGTTTCTGGTTCCCTGTCTTCCTCTCCACCCCAAATTCTGTCATCACTCTTTGTAACCTCAGCATTCCCAGGAAAGGCCATTTCAGTCCCCTGGCATCTCAGCTTCTTCACCTCCTTATCTCTAGGGATCTTTTATTTCTGTCTACTTCAGTCACACACTCCAATAGTTGCCCACTGGACCATTGTACAACCTCTAAAATCTTGAAGGCCAACATCAAGCTCTTGGGCCATTCCATAACCTTCTAGTTTATTTGTTCAAGTATCCCTACTAGAAAAGTCCTTCAGTTTCTTCACGGCCTCCACTCCATCCATTCTCTCACTTTCTCACTGTTCATCGATATCCTCATAAATGCCTCCTTTCTTGGCTAGTTTCAATTCCATATTCCACCATTCTAGTTACTTTTTACGAAGACCATAAATTCCTTTATCTTCCATAGCTTCATGGATAAACTCAGCCTTCTTTCTCTGTGCATGAGCACAACTGCAGAAAGTTATATTATTTCTTTCATTCCAAATTAATGACTTTAGACTTCGAATGAGCTCTCAATTGCTTGTCAGTGGTCTTCTACTTCTCTGGTAAGCTCAACTTCCAGTTCTCCTGCAGAATCAATCTCCCTCTCTTTACTCAATCAGTCTTGGCATAGACACACATTCTAGTATCTCCCTCCCCAAACCCCTTAAGCTATCACCTATCAAAGCAGAACTTCTCTAAAGGATTGTCTATGATCCTTCTATTCCTTGGTTTCTCATTCCTTGGTTTCTCATTCATTCCTCAGCCAATGCCAAACTGTTTTCTGCCAAAATTGTATTTCTCAACCCAATGTACCCCAGGATGCCAAATCTAACAGTGAGTTTTCTAGTCAGTGCCTGTGGTAGGCTACATAACGCCCCTTGCCCCGAGATGTTCCCGTCATACTGTCCTCTGCTGTGAATATTCACTTTACATAGCCCACCTTGCAGACAGGTCTGAATCAGAGACTTCACACATGCTAGTCCCTCTGCCTGGAATGTACGGTCCATGTTTCACCTTGTAATCTTTTTAGGGAAGTCCTCCTTGATTCCTAGTGAAGTGCCTTTCCCCTGTGATTCTCCGTTACGGCATCTGCTTCGTGACACTTCTCACAATGAATTGGTATGAATTGGTTTGTTTTTTAATTATATTATCTTCTCCCTTAGTGACTCGATGGAAAGCTACACAAGACCTGGAGACATAACTCTTTTATTCACCAACATTAACCTGACACTTAGCAAAGTTCAAGGCATGTAATATAGATGCTTAATAAATATTTGCTGATGTTCGTTATTGAGAGGGAGGTAGCTGAAATGGTAAAGTGTTACTAGAGGCACAGAAAGCTAGAAAGTGAGAGGCCAGATTGTGGGGAGTACCGAATGTCATAGTGGAGAGTTCAGACTTAATGGATATAGAGAAACATGAAATATTTTGAGCCAAAAAAACCAAATTGCTTGTATCTGTGTTATGGACAAATATCCCTCGCAACAATATAAGGGATAGATTACATTAGAAAGAAATTGGAGGTGGCTGGGCACGATGGCTCATACCTGTAATCCCAGCACTTTGGGAGGCCAAGGAAGGCAGTACACTTGAGGTCAAGAGTTTGAGACCAGCCTGGCCAACATGGTGAAACCCTGTCTCTCCTGAAAATACAAAATTTAGCTGGGCATGGTGGTGCACACCTGTAATCCCAGCCACTCAGGAGGCTGAGGCAGGAGAGTCACTTGAGCCTGGGAGGAGGAGGTTCTAGTGAGCCAAGATCACACCACTGCCCTCCAGCCTCAGTGACAGAGTAAGGGAGACTTTGTCTCAAAAATAAACAAGCAAAAAAAAAAAAAAAAAAAAAACTGGAGGCAAGGCTCTGGAAAAATAAAATGATTCAGCAGATATATATACTCTGAGAAGGAAAAAGGATTATATAAAAGTGTAGATTATATAAAAGTAGTACTATATATAACTATAAAAGTTATATATAGTAATATTTTATTAATAATTAACATTATTAGACTTCATTTAATAATTCAGCCTGAGGTTTGTTGTGTCCATATTATTATAGCTTTGGAATGAATGTCCCAGGTTATCTCAGAATATATGTATTCCCACAAGCTATAAAGCATTTATAGTTTGTGGTTTGGGGGCTAATCAGGCCTAAAAGCCTCTCTCCACAGTAACTGGAAAAAGCCTCCCATATTCAACTGACTATTTTTAAACACAATCAACCATTCACTCCTTCCAAATCTGATTGCTGTAAACTTGGTGAGCAAGCCCTCTTCTCAGGTCATGTGTGTGCCAGCTCTGAGTTCTGAAGCCTGGTGCCTTCAAATTATCTGGACTGAAATAGTGCCTGGAAAATGTGATTAAAGTAGTGGATGAGTTTTGAAAACTTAGAAAATAGCCGTACAGGTTTTAAAGATGGGTTTAACACAAACCAAACAAAAACTAATTCTACCGAAAGTACTCAGGAAAAAAAGAAAGAGGCAAAGAAGAGTTTTACTCTAAACACCAGGAGAAATAGGCAATGGAGAAAGAAAGGTGTTGACTTTATGCCAAGAGGCCTTCTTTAAAGCAAAGGGCTTTAGAGAGACGTTTTTTCAGATGCTGTCTCTAAATCCAAACATTTTCAGTGGCGCAAACCAGTGGATGCATTTGGTTCCATGTCAGCAATGCATGAAGAGATAACAGGGGTGAAAGTGGGTCCGCTACCTGCTGAAATGCCCTTGCAACTCAGGTACCTGCTTCAGAGGCTCTGCAGCTGGGGAGCCTCCCTGATTGTCACCCAGCACAACTGTCACCCACCCTCAGTTGGCATCCCCAGCACAGTAGAAACTCAGAGAAAATGTAGGGAAACAAAATGGAAACTACTGTGAAAGGCAGCTGAATTTCATTAACTTCAGTTTTCACTGTTAGTACAGAAGGTTTTATATTATTCCCTAGGTAGTTCTAGGACTGGAGTGATTTGTCTTGAAGGAAGAGTGCAGGCTGGGTGTGATGGCTCACGCCTATAATCTCAGCACTTTGAGAGGCTGAAGCAGGATTGTTTGAGCCCAGGAGTTCCAGGCTAGCCTGGGCAACACAGAAAGACTCCTTCTCTACCAAGAAATTTAAAAAAAAATTAGCTGGATGTAGTAGCACACACCCGTGGTCCTAGCTACTTGGGAGACTGAGGTAGAAGGATTGCTTGAGCCTGGCAGGTTGAGGCTGCAGTGAGCCATGATCATGCCACTGCACTCCAGCCTGGACAACAGAGCAAGGCCCTGCCTCAAAACAAAACAAACAAACAAAAAGAAATAGTGTAATGAAAAGAAAGGAAAAAAATAATTCAAGTAAAAGAAACTTGACAGATTAAAGCCAATAGGCATTCACAATGTGTTTAAGTGATTTTATGCCAGTATTTTAAAAATGTGTTAATGACATTCATCTGTCATGTACTTGAACCTCTTGGATTAAGACTACAGAATGGAAGATACAGATAGTGACGAGCCAAGGAAAGGGGTCCTCATCCAGGTTTCAGGGGACTTGAATGCTAGCCAAAGCTCTGCCTCTTACTAACTCTCCAACCTTGAACAGGTAGTTTCACTTCTCTGACACTTATTCTCATCTTAGACTAGAATATGGCTTTCACTTTAGAAAGGAGGACCAACATCTCAGGGACTGGCAAAGACAGAGTCTGTAGATGTAGATGTGTTGGAGTGGAGCAGAAGGCTGGCCCACAGCTTGGATGTCACCCTTTCTACAGCGGAAGTGGTGAGTTCATCCATGGAGAGGAAGAAGCAGTAGACTGTGTGAAGAGGAGCTGGGGAAGGGTGTCTTTGGCAGGCGCATGGGAAATCAGGAAAAGCTGGCGAAACCACAGTGGCGTTTACGAGCACAGACTTGTAGTGAGCTCACTGATGGCCCCTCGTGGTCCTAGCGTTCCCCAGTTTGTGGAGTAAGAACATGGAAATCCTGGAGCAGTGGGAGGGCAAGAGGGAGTGAGGACCAACAAAAGGTGCTGGCCAGGCCTGGGGGCTCACACCCGTAATCCCAGCACCTCGGGAGGTCCAGGCAGGGGCATTGCTTGAGCCCAGGAGTTCAAGACCATCCTAGGCAATAGAAAGAGACTCTGTCTCTACAAAAACACTTCTTTAAAAAAATGAACTGGGTGTGATGGCACATGTCTGTGGTCTCAACTACTCAGGAGGCTGAGGTGGGGGGGATCGCTTGAGCCCAGGAGTTCGAGGCTGCAGTGAGTGATGATTGCTCCACTGCACTCCAGTCTGGGCAACAGAGTGAGACGCTGTCTCAAAAAAAAAAAAAAAAGAAAAGTCCTGTGCTCAAAGGTCTTGAAGAAACATCCCAGAGTACTTCCTTCTTGAAGATTTGTGGTTCATGTTAGCATACTAAAGCCTCCAACTAGTCCTGCAGTAGAGAAACGGTTAACTATTTACATCACCATTCTAGAACTTGCTTGACTAAAGAAACTTTTTTTAAAAGATATGTTTGTTAAAGTTTCACTGAACATAATAGATACAACATCATTCTAGGGTATAAAATTCAAGCTTCCTGAGAAGGTATATAATGCCTCTAGGATCAGGCTTCTGCCACTGTCTGCTTCAGACTTAGTTGCTACTGAGCAAAACCACCTGGGTGCTCATCTGCCCACCCCTGCTCACCCACCACCCCTCAAGTCTGCATGCCCCAGCCTGCCCTGCAGATTACACGCCTCATGGTTTCTTTGTGTGTGTGTTTTGCTCATGCAAAAGCTAACTGCTCTCTCTCCTACTCTTTAACTGCCCAATTCCTAATTATCCTTTAAGATTCATGTTACTCAGAATTACCCTAAAGGGCATGTTGTCATGGATATTTAGTGACCTTGAGTCAAGCCATTTGTTCAGAAAAATAACTCCCTTGTACATAGTAATCTCCATTCTATAAATTGCTTTCTTACATACTATCTCCCTTAGTTCTTGCTTCCGTTCTGTAAAGCAGACTGTATTATCATCATCATTTTATTAGTGAGAAAATGAGCATTAGAGAGTCCAAGTGACTTGCCTAAGATCACCCGCTCAGGAAATGGCAGAGGCAGGCCGTCCTCAATTTCAAGCCAAGCCCTGCCCATTCTGTGGGTTTGTGACTCACGAGGCATGGAAGAACTCAAAACATTTGAGCAGCTTCTTTTAAAACAAATAAGCTAACCGTTTCTCCCTCCCATCTCTTCCTCTGTCATTGTCACTGCCAGCGCTGTCACATCTGCCTCTCAGATGGGGCTGTGGTGACCAGGAACAAGAGCGTCTGGAGTTAATGAGAAATCATTTGTAACCCCTGCACACATCTCTTCTCACAGCTGCTGCTCTTCCCAATTTTCTGCTTGGATGACTTTTTTAAAGCATGTGAACTGTTTTTTTCCTATGGCGGGATGGAAAACAAACAGCACAGTCACGTGTGTACACACACAAGTATATTTCCTTTAGATGCAAATGTTTGCTATAAAAAGGACCTGGAAGGGATGAAGCTTGTTCTTAAAAACATTGTTACATTATTTACCGTATTTCCAAAGTAGAAAATGACCAAAGACGAATTCTCCAACTGCAATTGTGAATGAGCTTGGTAAACCTGGGCCGCTGCAGGTCTTCATCATGAGCTGCCTGCATTCTTGACTTCTGTTGAGTTCATGGAGGATGTTGAGTGCTGCTAAGCTTGCCCTTGGCCTGCCTGTGGCCCATTCTCTCCTCCTTCCACCACCACCCATCTGCAGGAGCTGCTGGACCTGGCAGTATAGGAGGAAGCAGTCTCAGAAAACCACTTGAAGCATGATATTAGGGATAGAGGGTTTTCTCCTCCCAGAGTAGCTAATATTTTAAAGGAGAATTTGCTCTTACCCCCCAAGACAATGCTTAACCCAGAAAAATCAATCTGTAAGGGTAGAACTCTTGGTTCTATGGCACTCTGATGGGTGCATTTCCCAGAGAGGAAGGACCCTTTCCTCTCCTACTTACACGGCTTTTTCACTAGAGGGGAAGGAAGACAGGTTGAAAAACAAGCTCAACTGCATGTATGTGCTCAAGGGAATAAGCAGTCATTTGCCATCAAGAAGACCTAAAGAAAAGCCTTATGCTTCAAACAGTTGCTTTTTTTATTTTTTTGTGTGTGTTTTGAGACAGGGTCTCCTGTCATCCAGGCTGGATTGCAGTGGTGCAATTACAGCTTGCTGCAGCCTGGAACTTCCAGGCTCAAGCAGTCCTCTCATCTCAGCCTCCCAAATAGCTGGGACTATAGGCATGCTCCACCACACGTGGCTAATGCTAATTTTTGTTTTGTTTTGTTTTGTTTTGTTTTTGTAGAGATGGGGTTTTATCATGTCGGCCAGCCAGGCTGATCTCAAACTCCTGGACTCAAGTGATCCATCTACGTTGGCCTCCCAGAGTGTGGGGATGATAGATATGAACCACTGTGCCCAGCCATGGTTGTACTTTTAATTGTTGCTTTCCTCCCACTACGTGTCACACTTCATCTACTTGGTGTGACTTTTTAAGATAAATAAGGCCATCCTTCCACTATTGCGAGATTTGCTTCTGAAAGGCATAGAGCATGTGAGCTGAGCACATGTGCTCCTATCCCACTCATACCCTGCCAAGGTTGTCCATACCTCCAGTTCTGCCAGGCAGAGGTGAAGCAGATCACGGGCCCACTCAGGGTGGCTGCATCCCCACCCAACCTGAGTGCCCCGCCCTGGGCATAGACGGCACTGAGGGCCCTTCCAGTGGAGCGGCAGGACTTCAGAGCCCCAGGTTGGAGTTAGGACAAAAAAGGTTCAAGAACTGGCTTTGCCTCTTGTTAGTGACCTTGGGCAAGTTGCTTCAGCTCTCAGGCCTCAGTTACTTCATCGCTGTAGCCCGGGGAGTATTAAATCGAGCAGCCAATGGGAACTGCTTGTCTCACAGGGGCACTAGATACAACTGCAGCCATTGCCAAGGTCAACAGACATGAGCTGACTACTTAGAAAATGTGCTCTTAGAAGTAATTCCTATTCATCTAATCAAGGTTTTGTGAAGGCTGCTTCCAGTAAATGCACAACACTGTGAGGATGACCTCACTGAGGAGCAATGAGAGGTTAAGGGGAGGAGGTACAGCCCCTGGCTCCTGCCTGGGTGGCTTAGAGCACAGCCACCCCACACCTCACTCCTCACACTCAAATGGCATCTACCGCAGCTTCCCACTCACTTCATGGTGTGGAACCTGAGCCCTGCCTGGCTAAAGGACCCTGTCTCTCACTGCCCAGCACTCTTTAGCATAAAGAGCTTCAGTAACCATGAATAAGAGAACCGGCCGTCTGGGCTTGACACAGAACAGGGCATTCAAACTCCCCGTGGCTCAGTACTCTTGTCTGTTTGGGCAGTCTTTCCATTTACTTCAAAAGCAGTCTGCCTGTGTGATCAGCTGCCAGGGTAGGCACATATCGACCTGAAATACAAAGAAGTGCTCAGAACGTGCCAATGTGTGCATGGGATGGGGATCGGGGCTGGAAGGGAAATAGAAACCGGATGGAAATGAAAGACTCTTTCTAATTAGAATGTTTCCCAAGCTTTCCCATCTGGTTCTTCCAGAAATAATCATCACAAGGGGAAATATCTGACACAGTGTCATCTCCTGAAGAAATGAACTGGGCTTGCTTTTCAGGGAGAGGCAAAAAATGGTCACCAGGGACTCAGTTTGGAAAAAGCACGAGTTTAAGAGGTTGAGGGGATGACGGGCCCTGGTTCCTGGAGAGGAGGTGAAAATGTTTTCTTCTTTTCTTCCCCTCTCCAAATCTCAGGTCTTTATCTCTAAAATACAGTTATCTCCTAAATATACTAATTAGGAAGCAGCCTGGCATCATGGAAACAGCTGGACTTTGGAGCCTGAACAACGTGGACCCGCATCCACTCCATTGCTGTCACTTCAGGGAAAGAGTTTCACTTCTGCAGACTTGTGTCCATGTCTTTGAGACAGAGATTCTAATATTTACTTCGTTCTAAAGATTAGAAGTGACGAATGTAAAATGTTGAAATCTTCACCTCTCCAGGGATGATATTAGGATATGGAGCCTTTGGGAGGTGATGGGTCACGGGGGCAGAGCACTCATGAATGAGATTAGTTCCCTTATAAAAGAGACTCCAGAGAAACATTCCACCCCTTCCACCCAGTGAGGTTGGAGTAAGAAGACCACTGTCTAGGAGGAAGCAGCCCTCACCAGACCCCAAATCTGCTGAGACCTTAATCTTGGACTTCCCATCCCCTAGAACTGTGAGAAATCAATTTCTGTTGTTTGTAAGTCACCAAGTCTATATTATTTTGTTATGTAGCAACCTGAATGGACTAAGACAGTAGCTATAATCATCATCATCATTGTCAATACCAATATTACATGAAGCTCACATGTACAGAAATTTCCTTATAATAGTGGAAAAAACTAAAGCTCTGACTCTGAAGATGTATTTCTAACCAGCAGATAGAATATCCTAGAACATCTTGAAGCTTTATTTGTTAAAGCATGAGTAGGGATGGTCAGTGCTAGTTCTTACCATTGCTCTGATTCTCCTAGGTCATCTCTCAGCTCAGTCACCTCATCTATGCCCTTGACACACACTCCCTTAACACGCTCATACCTTCCTAGCTATTCAGGTTTCAGTTCCGCCAGACTCTCCCTCAGTCCTGTGTCCCATTCCAGCTGTACCTTGTGTCTCACTTTTTCTTGACTTAAGAATGCAGGTCATTTTCCAAACACAATTCTTACAGCAGGAAATGGCTAAGATTACCACATTTTTTTCTTCCTATCAGCTGTGAATGCCCACCAGGTCACAACCAAATTGGGCACAGTGACTCCAAAGAGCTCTGCAAATAAATGCCAAGGACAGACAGTGGTGGACTCCACCATATGAGAGAATGAATGAGAATTGGGAGGCAGGTTGTGCCTCCTTTGATCTAAAACTCTGAATGGAATATTTCCAGGAATCCTTGGGATTTCCTGGGTCTTAAGCCTCTAACACTTGTTCTCTGGAATTATCATTCCTTTGAGATCACTGTTTTTCTTCACTTCAATCAATGGTCTTGATAAAGTACCGTTTTTATACAATCTTGAATCACATGAGTTCTTAAAAACATTAGGGAAACAACATTAGAGATGGTAAAGCTCCCTGATGAGCAAAGGTTGCTCATGTGGGATGGGTGGATCTTTCTTGGGAACCTGGGCTTTGAGGCCAGGAAGTACAGTCAGGCTGGACATGCTGGTTACATTAAGTTCACTGGTCATAGAGAGGAGAGGAAAGAGCCAGACCTGTATACCCACCTCAACCACTGTTCTCCCTAATGATGTCACATTCTGCAAGCCTCTCAATCTCCCCCATTCTCTCTTTCTGCATTTCCAAGAAGGGGATCATGCTGCCTACTTCTTAAGGTTGTCATAAGGTTTAAGTGAGAGAAGTTGGTGCTCTGGTGTCTCCCCCTCCTAACAACGCTGTGTCCACACCCCTTGTCACCATTGTTAGGATTCTAGAATGTTCTTTTTCTCTGTTGAAGTGATGAGAAGAAATCACTAGCACAAAGTATACTTTTAATGATCTGTTGTTTGCATTCATAGTTTATGAATCTTGAAGGTCTGTGGTGCTAGCAAAAAAATAGGGCCTCAACTTAGCATTATTTCAGAGCAAGAAACCTTGAGACTTCAGAGGAATCACAAACGATGATTAGTTTAGAATTACTGTTAGTAATAATAATATTATTATAACAACATTCATCACAATTCAAGGATCTAACATACACAGTCATGTGTTGCTTCATAACAGGAATATGTTCTGAGAAATGCATCCTCAGATAATTTTGTCATTGTCGAACATCACAGAGTGCACTTTTGGACACCTCAGTGGTATAGCCTACACCTAGGCTTTCTGGTCTAGCTTACTGCTCCCAGAGTACAAACCTGTGCACCATATTGCTCTACTGAATACTGTTGGCATGATAATACAATGATCAGCATTTGTGTATCTAAGCATATCTAAACGTGGAAAAAGTATAGTAAACATACAGTACAAAAGATAAAATATGGTCCACCTGGCCAGGTGTGGTGGCTCATGCCTGTAATCCTAGCACTTCGGGAGGCTGAGGCGAGTGGATCACTTGAGGTCAGAAGTTTGAGACCAGCCTGACCAATATGGTGAAACCTCATCTCTACTAAAAATACAAAATTAGCCAGGCGTGGTGTCGCACACCTGTAATCCCAGCTACTTGGGAAACTGAGGCAGGAGAATCACTTGTACCTGGGAGGCAGAGGTTGCAGTGAGCTGAGATCACACCATTGCACTCCAGCCCAGGCAACAAGAGCAAAACTCTGTCTCAAAAAAAAAGAAAAGAAAAGAAAAAAAGGTCCAACTATATAGGGCACTTACCATGAATGGAGCTTAAAGGACAGGAAGTTGCCCTGGGTGAGTGAGTGAGTGAGTGGTGAGTGACTGTGAAGGCCTAGGACGTTACTGTACACTACTGTAGGCTTTATCAACATAGTTCGCTTATGCTCCAACAAATTTATTTTTAAAATATTTTTCCTTCTTCAATAATAAATTAACCTTAGCTTACTGTAACAGGTTTACTTTATAAACTCTTTTATTCTTTTAACCTTTTGTCTCTTTTGTAGTAGCACTTAGCTTAAAACACAGTTTCCAGCTGTAGAAAAATATTTTCTTTCTTTATATCCTTATTCTATAATAAAGCTTTTTTCTGTTAACATTTTTTTCTTACTTTTTAAACTTTTTTGTCAAAGACAAGGGCACAAATACATACAACTGCCTAGACAGGGGTCAGGATCATCACTATCACTCTATCCCCCCTCCAAATCCTGTCCCACTGGAAGGTCTTCAGGGCTAAAAACAAGCATGGAGCAGTCCTCTCCTAGGACAGCAATGTCTTCTTGTGGAATACCTCCTGAAGGACCTGCCTGAGGCTGTTTTACAGTTAACTTTTTTTTTTTGAGATAGAGTGTCACTCTCACCCAGGTTGGAGGGCAGTGGTGCAATCTCGGCTCACTGCAGCCTCCACCACCCAGGTTCAAGCGATTCTCCGGCCTCAGCCTCCTGAGTAGCTGGGATTACAGGTGCCTGCCACTATGCCTGGCTAATTTTTGTATTTTTAGTAGAGATGGGGTTTCACCATGTTGGCCAGGCTGGCCTCAAATGATCCGCCCACCTCGGCCTCCCAAAGTGCTAAGATTACAGGCCTGAGCCACTGCACCCGGCCAACTTTTTTTATAGGTAGAAGGAGTACACTCTAAAATCATGATAAAAAAGTAAATACATAAACCAGTAACATAGTTGTTTATGATCAAGTGTTACATACTATAGTACGTATTATCAAGTATTACGTAATATACATAATTGCATACAATTGTATGTGCCTGGCAGCATAGTGGTTTGTTTACACCAGCATCATCGGTGATGCACTGTGCTATGACATTACGACAGTGACCACATCACTAGATGACAGGAATTTTTCAGCTCCATTTTAATCTTATGGGACCACCCATCACTAGCCGAAATGTCATGTGGTGTGTGACCTTACATCAGTTTTATGTTTACAAAGTATTCCTACATAGATTATCCCATTTGACCTGCAAAACAATTCCATAAGGTAGGAAGGGCAGAAATTTACTCCATTGTGTTAAAATAATGTCCACTGAGGTTCAAATTTGTTGTGAGTCACAGCTAAAGATTAGTTACTCCAGAACTCAGACCCATTTCCCCGACCCCAACTCCCTTGCTGACCCTCCTACATCCCAATTAATTCCTCAGCCCTTAGGTGCTTTCCCATCAGACAGGAAGCATGAAAACATGCATGTAATTACCCGTTGCAGGTTAAAAAAATTATACATTTCATGAAACAACTCAAATTGTTCTGTTGGGTGAACAAGTTTTCTCCAGGATAACATGTGGATCTAAATTCTAAAAGTAACTAACATTTATTTTACAGAACCGATTAGGTAGCAGGCAATATGCTAAGGAAGCCTTTTGCACCTGCACTTAATCTTCACAACAGCCCTTGAAAGTAGCTATTTTTTTTTAACTTTTATTTTAAGTTCAGGAGTACACGTGCAGGTTTGTTATATAGGTAAACTTGTGTCCTGGGGGTTTGTTGTACAGATTATTTTGTCACCCAGTATTAAGCCTATACCCAATAGTTATTTTTCCTGATCCTCTCCCTCCTCCCACTCTCCACTCTCCAATAGGCCCCAGTGTGTGTTGTTCCCCTCTATGTGCCCATGTGTTCTCATCACTTAGCTTCTACTTATGAGTGAGAACATGCAGTAATTGGTTTTCTGTTCTTGTGTTAGTATATGAACACTTTTCAAAAGAAGACACACATGTGGCCAACAACTATACGAAAAAAGCTCAACATCACTGATCATTAGAGAAACGCAAATCAAAACCACAATAAGATACCATCTCACATGTGTCAGAATAGCTATTATTAAAAAGGAAGTAGCTATTGTTACTTCATCTTAGAGAAGAGGACCTGATTGTCAAAAAGGCCAAGTAAATTATTGATATGGTTTGACTATGTCCCCACCCAAATCTCATCTTGAACTGTAGTTCCCATAATCCCCCATGTGTCACAGGAGGGATCCAATGGGAAGTGACGGAATCATGGGGGTGGTTACCTCCATGCTGTTCTCGTGATATTGAGTTCTCACAAGATCTGATGGTTTTATAAGAGGCTTTTCCCTTCTTTGCTCTACACTTCTCCTTGCTGCCACCATGTGAAGGACATGTTTGCTTCCCCTTCTGCCATGATTGTAAGTTTCATGAGGCCTCCCCAGCCCTCCAGAACTGTGAGTCAATTAAACCTCTTTCCTTTATAAATTACTCAGTCTCTAGTATGTCTTTATCAGCAGCATGAGACCAGACTAATACACTTGCCTAAGGTCACACAGCCACACAGTGGAAGCAGGGCTAAGAAATGTCTGTGTGGCACCAAAGTCTGTGCTCTCAAATCACTCTGCTGTTTACTCATGTTTCTCTGGCACTTTCCCCCACATCTCACACAGAGCTCCCACCCCCTAAATGCGCCTCCTAATACTTAAGGGTGTCCCAAGGAAATGCGTTACATGAATCCTCCAAGTCAGCCCTCCTGTCAGCTCTCAAGTGTCATCCACCATTTATTTACCCTTCTCCTATTTCAGTCCACACAACCCAGAAATGAAATATTGGGCAGTAATCCCCACTGTGGTGAGCTTGCAAATAAAAAGAAGACAGAAGTGCCCTGGACACGCTACCAGCACCACCATGGTTTCCTTGGTACTTTACTTCATGTGGTTTAGAAGTTGGATGTTTGAAATGGAAAGAGGTGAAGGAGTGAAACTTCTCATCCGACAGCTTTTTAAAGCCCCTGCCTACTTGGGGCAGTTGTGCCTTCCCTGAGCTTCACATTCCTTAACTGCAACATAGAAATGATGCCACCTACTTCACAGGATTGTGCTGTGCCTTGAATGAAATACACTATGCAAAGCCCCTGATGTCATGCTTGGTACCTTCAGAAGGTTTCTTCTCACCCAAATTCCTGTTCCCTATGAAGACATAGTTTCCCATGTTACTGGCAGTTAATCAGTCAACACGCAGTACTGTTTGTTGAGCGATTACAATGTTCAGACAAGTTCTTGTATAGAAGAGTGTGAAAATTACCTATAGAGGACTAGTCATCACTTATGTAAAATGTTTTATGAACATTAATGTAATGAGATCAACATACAATTACAGTTAGACATAATATGGTTTTGTCAAAATTTTCTTTGTAGATGTGATAAAAAGGATTATAGCAGCCGGTGCCTGGCCTAAACAGATTTGAGCACATTTCTAAATGAGATGTAGATTGAGTCACTTGCCAGCTATTGGAAATGTGGGCAAAACCTCCTTGACCTTTGGTGAAAAAACTTTTAAAGTATGAAGACGTTTAACAAGGAAAACTATCATAAGACTCCAACTGGGCATCCTGGCATCCTGAGAATTTCCAAGGATTCAGCCTGGTCAGCCACGGTCAGCCAAGGCCAGTGGCCCCTGATGCCTCAGGGGTGCTGCCCGTGTGCGGGGATACTGAGGAGTCAGGGAGGGAGAATTCACCCAGGCTTCACATGATGCTGCATGCAGAGCAAGGAAGTTCTAGACCACATGCTCACTTTGTTTTGGAGGATGATTTCCTGGTTCCCTTTTAGTCAAGTTATTTCACATTGACGAAGACTAGAGCTTTCTCACACCTGCCTTCTTTCCTCCTCAGGTACAGGGTCAGCATGACTCAAAAAGATTCCTTTCCCCCTAAGAGGTACTGAGCCTATAGAAATACTCTGAATGTGAGTGAGTCAACTGAATTTTAAGGTGATTTCTTTTCTTCTTCCTTTTGTCTCATTTTTTATTTATTATACTTTTCAATTGCCTATTACAATTTGCTAAAAAGAAATGATCTCCATTTTTAAAAAGCACTGCCATGTTCTCACAAGTTAAAAGATTAGATTATTTTTTTCTTTCCTCTAATTAAGATGGGCTAAATTATTTTTCAAAACAACAAAAACAACAACAACAAAAAGCCCTTCCAGCCTGATTTGTTACCTGGATTTTTTTTTTTAATCTTATTTCTTCTTTCTCTCTTCTTTCATGTTTTTCTTTTTTCTTAGTTTTTTCTTTCTTTTTCTTCCTTTCTTTCCTTCTTTCTTTCTCTCTCTTTCTTTCTTTTTCTTCCTTCCTTCCTTCCTCTCTTTTTCTTTTTCCCTTACTTCCTTCTTCCTTCCCTCCCTCCCTCCCTCCTTCCTTCCTTCCTTCCCTCCTTCCTTCTTTCTTCCTTTTCTCTCTCTTACTTTCTTTGATGCTAAGTGTCTTCTGCACAGCTGCAACAATATACCACTTTCTTTTCATTTTGTGGGGTAATACCAAATTTCTTTCATGCTGCTCTAAGAAAATACCATAGACTGGGTAATTTATAAAGAAGTGAAATTTGGTTTCTCACAGTTCTGGGGACTGGGAAGTCCAAGATCAAGGCACCTGGTGCCTCGTCTGGTGAGGACTTTGTCCTCTGGAGGGGAGGAATACTGTGTCCTCATTGGGTGGAAGGCAGAAGGGCAACCTACTGCTCAACAGCTGTGTGAAACTTCTTTTATAAGGGTCTTAATCCCATTCATGAAGGAAGGCACCTTCAGGATCCAATTGCCTCTGAAAGGTCCCACCTGTTAATACTATCACATTGGCAGCACCAGAATTTTGGAGGAGACACAAACCATGACACCAAGTATTTTGATGTGGGACCTCTCCTACAGAACCCATAAATGACCACAGATTTAAAGTGCAAACTCATGAAAACATTAAAGTTGCTTACAACTGTTTGTTGCGCACTTTATCCTAGAGGTCTTAAAAGTATTTAGTAAAAATAATGCAGACAAAGTAGATGAAAAGTACACTTCAAAGCTTATTGGAGGCTTCATTTATAAACCAGTGTCTCACAGGTCAGTCACCAAGTAACAAGAACAGCTAACACAGAATTTAGGATTAAATTATGAAATGAATAGTGTTTTCATTTCAAATAGGAGGAAGGGGGCAGTGAAGAAAAAGTGATTCCATGTAGATACACAAAGGTGAGAGGGGGCCGGCCGCAGTGGCTCACACCTGTAATCCCAGCACTTTGGGAGGCCGAGGTGGGGCGGATGGATCACCTGAGGTCAGGAGTTCAAGACCAGCCTGGCCAACATGGCAAAACCCCGTCTCTACTAAAAAGTACAAAAATTAGGTGGGTGCGGTGGCGCGTGCCTGTAATCCCAGCTGTTCCGGAGGCTGAGGCAGCAGAATCACTAAAACCTGGGAGGCGGAGGTTGCATTGAGCTGAAATCACACCACTACACTCCAACCAGAACAATAGAGCCAGACTCTGTCTCAACAAAAACAAAAACAAAGTTGAGAAGGGTTGTCTTGACTGTCCTCACTGTCACCCCTCACTTGTAGATTATTCTCCACTAATATCTTTTTGTGATTCTGTGATATAAGTGCAAAGTCCAGCTCCATGGCCAAGATCATTATCTGACCCCCCTATTTTAAGACTCCCCTGGGTGCTGAAGACATGTTGTTTGCTTCCTCAGGCTGTCGGTGGAACCATGGGGCTGAGTCACGTCTGCCCACAGCTGCTGCTGTTCGCATCCCTGGGCACTGAGGCCTGAAACTCCACCCTGGCAGGGACCAGCCCGACCCCCCTGGAGGAAATGGCCGGGCAGTTTCAGCAGCAGCAGATGAAAACTTCCTTCCTCTTCATCCAGCTGCGGGCTCCTCCAGCCTGCACTCTCCCCGCCCCGTCTCCAGCGGCAACCCCAGGGGGCCTGGAGGAGGGACACAGTTTCCCAAGTCCCAGGACAGGCCTCTTGGCAGGCTGGGACCTCAGGCGCACACAGGGCTCAGCTGCCCCTCCTTTGAGGCTGCTGCAGAAGGCAGGCCCTGAGACGGAGGAATCAGCTGCTTTCACTTGCTCTGCTCCAAAGGAAAAGAAGGAAGGGAGGAAAAAATCCCAGGATCCGGACGTAAGCAGGGGTGGTGATTGCAGATCCCCACATCACAGGCATTGCCAGGCCCCTGCCTCCAAGACACTGGGCTGGCTACAGCCCCTGGCATGGAGGCTTCCTAGCCCAGCTCCCATCATGAGTGATGAAAGCAGCAGTCCCTCCATGGGCTGGAAGCACTGGCCAGTCACTTCTGCCACCCAGGATCTGTGGGGCATGGACCCCCGATGCAGGGATGCCTTGGGATGCTCCCCTCCAAGGGCTGTCCTGGTCCACGCTGCAGATGGAGCGGAAAGGACTGTGCTGAGGAGAGGCGCCGAGACCTGCCAAATACTCCCCAGGAGCTGTAAGGAGGCCACAGGTACCACAGCGCAGGCGACAAGGGCATGGCTCTACAGGTACTGTCCAGCTGTGCACACCAGCAAGGGCTGCCCAGCCCCGCCTGCCACTCTGCCTCTCAAGGTAAGAACTCGCATGTCCTGAATCCCAGCAGAAGAAAGGGAGCCAGGGGACAGACGTGCCACCCTGGCCTCCAATTTCTGGCGTTGGTTCTCTCCTCTGCTTAGATGGGCCACACCTCAACAGCAGAGGTACCCACGAGCCGCAGCCTTCCCAGGCCTGGCATTTGCTCTGTCCTCTGCCACCTTCCAGGCCACCAGAAACATTTTGTTTGGAAGAAGGCAAGGATTAACTATTTCCCAAGATTTCTGCCAAAGATGGGAAAAGAAAAGTCAGGCATACTTTATAGGGGAACACCAGAAGGAAGGACAAAGGAGGTACCCAGACATTTATTGGGTCCTGTGATGTGCTAGGCATTTTCTCACATCCCCTTACTCATCTTAACCACTTTGAGAAATAGAGCTCCACAGCTCCAGTTTCAGATGAGGGGATGGAGATGTGACTGGGCAAACATCCTCCCCACCCTTGCAGAAACACAAGGGCAAAAGCAAAGCTTGTTCTCCAGAATGGGCATTGGGAACAATGGGGGAGGCTCCAGGGAGCTGTGGAGGTTTCCAGAACCGGAGCACAGCCTTGGAACTCAGCCACACCCTACTGTCATCCATGAACACCTGACTTTCTAGGGCTCTCATGTACCTTCCATCTCCCCAACACACCTAGACCACCACCAAATGGATGTGCAGCCTGGGACAGGAGCCTCCATTCCCCATCAGGAAGGGAAAGGCAGCCCTGTGTGGCCTCCAAGGTCTTTTCCAGCTCTGTGGGCTCCTGTTTCCAGCTCTACGGGCTCTGCCTCTGATCATGGCCTTGCCTGCCCTTGTTGTTAGCATCTCACACTCCGCACTTCTGGCCCAGCCTTCCCGTTGTTCTTGTGCCTGCAGCCCACCCTCTCCACCCAGCTCAGGTGCACTGTTCTCAAATTGGGTGGACAAAACTTAAAATTATGCATTCAGCTTTCTTTTCTCACAGTGTGGGCATCTTGCTATCCTTTGCATGTGTGTGAGCATGAGGGTGGAGGTGAGGAAGGGTGTGGAGGGTGGTGGGATGAGACGGAAGGAAGAGGGAGTCATTGGAGTGTTGAGGGTTAGCATGGACAGGAATCTCAGGGAAGTCACAGAAGAAATGAATGAAATTCACAGCATCTGGCAGGGGCCTCCCATGGGCTTAGAGGGGGTACTGCGTCATCCAAACACCATGCCCTCTCCTGCAGGCTTCTCACAGCACCCTTCCTTCCCTTTTCTCTTTTTAACAAGGGCCTGCGTAGCCACAGTTAAGAAACGGGGAGAAAGCTCTCCAGAGTAGCGCTCTTGGAGGAAGAGATGCTAGCATGCTTCCTTAAGAAATAGTTCACATTCCATCCTAATTCTTGCATCTCTCATTTCCTACCGGGATTTAGGAGGAATGACATACTCCTGCATCAGAGCCCATCTCTGTATGTGGGGTCACACAGTTATTGTTTGTGTACTTCAGTGCTGGCCTGATGACTTGAAAACCCCATCTTTTCCCACTCTCCCCTCCCGCCTTCGGGGGATAAGCTGAAGCCTCAGAGCTGTTGCCATTTCTCTGGGAAGAGGCACTTTGGGAATTGGTCCAAGTGTGTGGATCTCACCCTTGTCCACCTAATTCAGAGGGCTGCAAATGGGACCCCGACATCTGCTCGGTCTAAGTTAAAGGTTGGAGGATTTCTGGCTAAAAAGTTAGAAGCCCCAAGTCCAAGTCCTTATTGAGAGCAACCCGCCAGAGCTCTCTGAGGCTCAGTTTTTCCACCATGAAAACACTGATGACGTCCCCTGCTTCACATTGCAATGGAGATTTGCGGACTAAAGTGAAAGGGGCCCTCAGTAGTCCTAAGGGAGAAAAGAGGAGAAGCCAAATCAGTGAGACACCAGGTAGGACCAGGGAACCCATGGAGTCAGAGGTGGTCAGACAATGTGATTCCCTCTGCCATGGGGAGAGAGGAGTTGGGAAGTTAGCACCCTTAGATCCTGTAGGTGCCGTACGGCTATCACTAACCAGGGAACCCCTGCCCAGGGTTGGGTGTTAAACAAAGCAGCACAATAGTTTTTCCATGTGTCCAGCCCTGGACAGATTAAGGTGCTATCTAGACTTGAAAGATGAGTGTGTGAGAATTACTCAATCCTTTCATGTTTTAGAATGTAGCTATATGAATTGTCGCAAAGTATCAAAAAGCTGATTAAAATATAATATCTTCTTGACCACTGTGGATGCTAATGCCCTCGATCCCCCATAATGGAAGCTTTCAGTCGATGAACTTATGGAAAATGTGCTCAGTTATGTTTATTAAAGTGAAACGTTGGTTACAGGGAAGGAAACTCCATTCCTACACGTGTACAGTAGAGTTGAGGTCCTAGTGTCAATTTGGAAAATCCTGGATCTGAAGAGTAAACTTTCTTCTTTGCAGGATTCAAAATGGCTGAATTTATTCTCTCAGTGATGAAACATCACAGGCTCCATAGTAAAAAATCTTGGCTTGCATCTTTCCAAGTATTATAAGGAATGAAGAACAAATCTTCATTGGTTGGTTCTTAGTTTGTTCTATGACCAGGCTTTAGTAAAAGTAATCAGAGCGTTCTGTGACCTGGATGGCTTCCGTTGCATTATTTCCTCTTATGAAAATCTCGAAATTCTGCAAGGATGTATGTTATTATCACCCCACTTCACTCGTGAAAGGACAGATGCTTGCAGATAGTAAGCAACTCCATGGGACTAGGATGAAGCAGCTTGGGCCCAGCCCTCAAGTTGTCTACCCCCAGTCCAGGGCTCTGTCTGCCTTCTTTCACTGTCTTTCCAGCTGGCAAAATTTCCTTGGAAGTAACCCTACATTTCCTGAGGCCTGGTGGTCTGTACTGCACTCCTAATTCCTCTGGTGGAGAGGGTGGGAGAAAGACACTCAAGACTTTAGGTCTAGTGACCTAACCTTGTACGAATGAGTCCAGCCAGCTTTCTAGAAGCAGTGAAGGCCTAGGTGTTGGGGACGTGGAGTCTCAGCTCAGGGTGGTGCCAACGGACGGCTCTAACATTTCTGTGGTGAGTCTGTCAGTGTGAATCAGAGAATATTCTATGGGCCGGGACCAGAGCCTGCCCTAACCATCTCCCAGGCCTCATGTGCTGCTGCCCCTCTGTGGGAACCCAGGGAACTGTTCACATTTGATTTGAACTTGGGGCTAAAGATAAGAGGATAAGGAAAGCAGACCCAACTCAAAAGACAGGGGGGAAAAGCTTTCTCTATCATCGTTTCGGGACATTTCCACATCTTAAATTTTTTTTTGCTAGGTCTTCATATTTTACATATTTTGTGTCTTAAAATGGCAGTGACTTTTGGTATATAAGCAGCCTTAGAAAATTAGTGAAATAAGTTTTTTAATGTCCCTCATTTTTACTGACCTCAATTTTATCTATGGCCTTAAATTTGCGAAAAGATTGACTGCTCTATTTTGGTCTTCCTTTCTCCCTTCCTACCTCACCGTTGGTCCTCAAAACCAATTCACTTTTTGAGCTTTGATCACTAGCTTGTAAGACTGTTCAGGGTTTAGGAAACAGCGAGGAAATGAGCATGACAGGCAAGGAGCCAGCCAGGGGGTTTGTGTGAGAGGGAGACAGGCACTGGGACATCATTCATTTACCTAATCAATGGAAATGCAATGGAGGTCTATTTTCTCATGTGCAGACCCTGTCTAGCAGACTAGGAAAAATAGTGTGAATTCTCTGTCTTGGACTGTTACTCCTTAAAATCAAACTAATGTCTGAAATGTAAATCTATGAAGTACATTACCTTTTGGGTAGAAAGTTTTTGTTTAGTTCACAAGATAACAAAGAAGCTCTGGTTTTGCTGACAAACTAGTTCTGTGGCCTCTGACATCTCCCTGAACAAAGCTAGCTTCTCTCATTGTCTCCAGGAAATCTTTCTACCTCAAAAATTCTATAATACCTATGCATCTATGAATACAGAAAGGGAATGAAACTCTTTAAGGAAAGATAAGTATTAAAACAATTTATTTTGGCCAGGCGCGGTGGCTTACGCCTGTAATCCCAGCACTTTGGGAGGCTGAGGCTGGCAAATCATTTGAAGTCAGGAGTCTGAGTTCAGCCTGCCAACATGGTGAAACCCCATTTCTACTAGAAATATAAAAATTAGCCAGGCATGGTGGTGGGTGCTTGTAATCTCAGCTACTGGGGAGTCTAAGGCAGGAGAATCGCTTGAACCCAGAAGGTGGAGGTTGTAATGAGCCAAGATTGCACCACTGCACTCCAACCTGGATGACAGAGCTAGACTCTGTCTCAAAAAAAAAAAAAAAAGCTATTTTCTTCTATCTCAGCTTATCTCTAAAGATTCATTATTTTGTCAAATGACTTCACTACAGGAAACTTACCTATAGAGTGAGCTTACCTTTCTTAGGGAAAACTGGGATTTCCATGAGGAGCAAGACATTCAGGTATGAAAGAGTCAGTGCTTTCTTTGAACAGTAATACAAATTCCCACCACAGAATTTTGGACCGGTATTGCAAGCCGTCTGTCCTGTAATGGTTCTAGTTAAATAAAGTCCCCTATTACGAGTTGAACATTGACTCCCTGGTCTACTTAACCCCCAGGAAGCAGTCACTTACCTCATTAAAGGTAAACATTTCGTTATTCAAGCCTGTTTGACTTCTGGTCTGTCATAAGTTTAAAAGTTGTTTTTCTCATAAAATAGTATTCTAGATAATTCTGTCTTTATATTAATTCTACTTGGTGAGTCATTTAGAATTTTATAAAAGAAACTAGAACAAAGAAAGAGCATGCACAAATGCTCACATAGTAATTTTAACAGATATATAGATTAAATGTGCAGTGAAACATCCATTTTAAAAGAATGTGGTATTTAGGAGTCAGTATTGATGGGATTGAAAAGCTTATCTTTAGTTCATTTTACGCTACGTTGGTTTTGACACAGATGTCTTGATTTATTACTTGAATAAATAAAGCCTGAGATAGCAGAATGGGTTTCAATCCTTTCTCATCTTGTGATTTGCCTTAGTGTTCCCATGACAACGTTCTCTTGCTCTTTTTCTCTCCTTACCCCATCCTCAACATTCACACACAGGAGTCCTGTGGATCATTGTATAGGTGCAATCCTCCTGGAAGTTTAGCATCTGGATCCACCTATAGGAAGCAGAGGGCCAAGAGTGCAAGGACACCTTTACAGCTGTGTCCCTTGCAACATGTTGAAAAGCAATTGGATTGGGAGCTGGGACACAGGGGCTCAATGCAACTCCAATAGGTCTTGTTTTTCATCTCTCCTCTGCTATCTTCTGCTTGCCCATTCTTCAGTCTTCTCTGATCCCTCTTTCTCTTTCTGCCCATCTGCTTGCTCATCTCCCTACTCCACAGGGAGGAATTTGACCAGCACCACTCCCAGGTTTACATCTCTTTCTTTAGAAGACAATCCAGGCTAACACTGAATTCTCTTAGGCCTGCATCCCTGGGAGGAGACTTTTTGCTCTGATGTGGGCTGGTACCCACTAAGTCTACTATGGTGGGCACAGAGGTAGGTGCGGCTCACATTGTGCTAACAGGGGTGCTGAGATCCTGAAGATGGTTACACCATGGAGGTCTGGGAAAGGGACAACTCATAAAGGTTGATGGGGAGCAGAGAGCAGAGGAGAAAATACAGACAGCCAACCCAGTCAATGCCCAGAAACACTTGCAGGGAGTTGTCAGCTGAGAGTGGAAAGTGATTGCTTTGTTTAAGTATTCTATCTGAGCTCTCTCCAATTTAACATTTTGAGATTAAATTATACATTACTGTATAATTAATATAGAATCTATAAATGTACTATAAAATTATACATGTTATAGACTTTGGGGAGATTTTTAAAAACAGCATCCTTTGACTTTGTAATATATTAGAATCAAATCATTACCTGATGTGATTTATAAATAGATTTGCTTCCACAATCTGCTACAGGTTATGATACGGTAAAAATTTTATCTTTGAAAGACTTTTGTTTTCCTGGCTTGGCTCGGTGACTCATGCCTGTAATCCCAGCGCTTTGGGAGGCCGAGGAAGGAATCTCAGTTGAGCCTGGGAGTTCGAGGCTGCAGCGAGTTGTGACTGTGCCACTCTACTCCAGCCTGGGCAACGGAGCAAGACTGTGTCTCAAAAAGAACAAATTTTTTTTTCCTTGTAGATTTATAGACTATAGGATACAATGAGACTTACAAAGACTTAGTGAAAGCAGGTTGTATGGTAATCAAATGACTATCATGGATTCCGCATGTGGTCTCTTCAACTTTACATTAGTTCTCTGGGACTCCTGACCCAGTATTCCAGAAGTCAGAACACCAAAAAGGTGGAGATTAGCCACATGCCCTGAATTGGGTTATACTGAACCTTGAACTGTACCTTATGACTTAGCATGTCTATTAAATAAGCATAAATAAGCAAATCTATTTATAAATCACATCACGCAATGATTTGATCCTAATATATTACAAAGTTCAAGGATGTTGTTTTTAAAAATCTCCCAAAAGCTATAAAATGTATATTAGCTTCCCTAAAGTTTGAGAGAGCTCTGATAAAACATTTATACAAAGCAATCGGTTTACACTCTTAGCTGACAACTCTCTGCAAGTGTTTCTAGGCAAACGAAAAAGGTGGGCAAATGACAGAATGACGGCTACATGGAGTTGACGTTGTCAGATAATGGCAGGGCTGCATTTTTTTTTTAAGGACGTCCACCTTCCTTCCTTCTAAAGTCATCAGCAGCTATGACTGTTTTTTGGCTGCCCTTCATGTTGTGCATATTTCCTGTGATTATATTTAGTCCATTTTAACTTTTTAGAATTTAACTTTAAATTTTCAGGATGTGTGATTTTGCATTAACCTTTCAATAACCAGGTCCAGCAGATTATGAGGTAAAAAGCTCCAGGGAATTATTCAAGCACTTACAATGTTATATCATTGGAAAATCTCATTTTATCTGCAAGGAGCTTGGCTGCTCTTCATTGAGTTCTCACTGATTGTATGATGCAGTATCAATGAAAATATTAAACCATTTATCTCAGGTCAGAGATATCTCAGAGAAGTCTCAGGAGACTTTGTTAACATAGACTCAATCTTCCCCATAAAGCATTTCCAATATCCTATAACAACAGCACAAATAATAAATAAAAACAATGGTGAAAGGTAGACGGTAATAAACAATCAAGACTAGGAAAATATATAAATAAAAGTCAAGGTCAAGGAAGGATGAGGTTGAGATTAGAAAAGCAACCCAAAAGTCCATCCCATAAAGGCCTCCTACAAAGCTGGTATGTTTGACATTCAGACTTAACACCGTGCTTCCTACCTGCCCAAGGTCAAAGAGTCGCACCAGTAGCTGTATAGCTCTAATTGTGAGAAGGGTGAGGAGAGAAGGAAGGGAGGGAGGAAGGGAGGGAGGAAGCATGCGGGTTCTTTTAACATGTCCCACAGAAATTCTCTTTAAAAAACAAATTTTGCTTGACCTTTAAAGTAACAATTTAAAAACAACATTTTGGATAAAAACTTTTCTAATGAGCATTTCATATTCACTGTGTTTCTGTTTCTTTAAACATCATACACATAACATAATTTAATCTGATAATATAAGTAATCACTCTAATCTTGCTGCTGGTACCCAAGTATTGCTTGCTGGTACCCTTAGGTCTTTCAGACTATTTGCCCTTATATTTAATAAAATTTTATATTTGCATCTCTCCCACTAGTACTCTGCTCTCTGAGCTCTTTTTTATTTTTAGTAGTTTTTCGGTTTCCTCTGTTCTGGCCTATCTCCTCTCACTATTATTCCTATGCCTACCTCTAACATCCTTTTCTAAATCCACTACAGGCCAGGAAACTAGAAAACAAATTTGTTTCTATTGCAAGGCAAGTAGATCCAGCTCTACTCTGTGCTTTAAACAACCTATAAAATAAATATTTTCAACTGAAATAAATCATTCCTACTTTTCATGCCATTTGAGAAAGCTCATGGAAAAATTCTTACTTTTCTCATCCTCAATCTTTATTTGTAAGTGAAATTTTTCTTAGCATACTCTGCAAACTGCCCTTCCACCGTATTTTTATTGAGAGCATCCTCCATAACAACCTATCTTTTTATACTGTTTCGTGAGCCACTTCTGGCTGGCGCCTGCCTTTTTTTCATTTATTAGGTTGCCTTGTGTTCGTAGCCTGTGAAGCTCTTTGGAGAAAAAGTATTACATAAATCCAATTAGAAGCTATATATTCAAAGTGAGTGCAGGAATTACATTGTTGATTACGTGTAAGTTACCATATTCATTATTAAATTAACTTATTAAATGTTTCTCTGGGTCCTTTATAATCCATACAACAGAAGATTCTTTTTCTGCTTTCTATAAGCCTTTAGGGCAGATAAACATACATGCAAAGAGGCATTTTGAAACATACGGCATGAAACACTGGCAGTATATTTACAAAGGTTTAATACTTTAGTCACTGCAAGCCTACAATGGGGTAATTACTGTCCAAGTTACTATCTGCACATCGTAATTTAAGGAAAAAAGTGACCATTTTTATTCCATTGAGTCAGAAGAGAGCCTCAGTAGAGATGCACTTCAGGGGCCATCAGGGTGAAAGAGGAAAAAGCTTGGTGAATTGAAAGAATGTAAAGAGGATTTGAGTTTTGGACTTCTCCTGAGTTCATGTGTGAATTTCATAATTCATTAGGAAAGAATATAGCAACAATGTAATCATACATACATGCAGTGAATTGGTCTGAAACCTGAAAATTAAGATAAAGGTTTATAGGCTGGGTGCAGTGCTTCATGCCTGTAATCCGAACAATTTGGGAGGCCAAGGTGGGAGGATCACTTGAGGCCAGGAGTTTGAACCAGCCTGGCCAACTGAGTAAGAGACTATCTCTACAAGGAAAATAAATCTACTTTAAAAATTCGTAATTAATGGTCAGGCATGGTGGTTCATGCTTGTAATCCCAGCACTTTGGGAGGCCGAGGTGGGCGGATCACTTGAAGTCCGGAGTTCGAGGCCAGCCTGGCCAACATGGTGAAATCCTGTCTCTACTGAAAATACAAAAATATTAGCCGGGCATGGTGTACTGTGCCTGTAATCCCAACTACTTGGGAGGCCGAGGCAGGAAAGTTGCTTGAACCTGGGAGGCAGAGTTTGTAGTGAGCTGAGACTGCACCACTGTACTCCAGTCTGGGAAAAAGGGCAAGACTCCATCTCAAAAAAAAAAATAGTAATTAATTTTCAAAAGTATTTCTGAGTTAGGCCGGGCACGGTGGCTCACTCCTGTAATCCCAGCACGTTGGGAGGCCGAGGCAGGCGGATCACAAGGTCAGGAGATCGAGACCATCCTGGCTAACACGGTGAAACCCCGTCTCCACTAAAAATACAAAAAATTAGCCCGGTGTGGTGGTGGGCGCTTGTAGTCCCAGCTACTCGGGAGGCTGAGGCAGGAGAATGGCGTGAACCCGGGAGGCGGAGCTTGCGGTGAGCTGCGATCGCGTCACTGCACTCCAGCCTGGGCCACAGAGCGAGACTCCATCTCAAAAAAAAAAAAAAAAAAAAAAAAAAATATATATATATATATATATGTATATATCTGAGTTGTAAAATTATACCTTTTATTCAAAGTCATAAAAATAAACTAAAAATAGTAGACTACATGTTTGGAAAACAATACAATGTCATGAAATGAAGTACATATTTCAGCATAAAAAATATGCATCATTTAAGACAACACTGGAGAATTTGAAATCCGGATTAGAAAATCTGGACCTAGATTGTGTGTCTGTACATCACAGAGTTGTGGCACCCCCCGGACCCGGGAGATTTCCCCTCATCCTGGAAGATTTCCCTTCCCAGGTGCCAGGCAGTGATGGCAACTGAATAAGGCCACCCTGCAAGACGTTGCTAAGAGACAGCAGAAACACCGCAATGGGTTCTGTAAACTCGATCCAAGCCAGTGATTTGAAGCTGTTTGCTGGTCAGACCGTACTGGGAGTTGGGGAGCTGAGGTTGCTTTGGGGATACTGCTTTGGATGAGGATCCCAGCGCAAGACTGCAATCTTGAGGCAGCACATAAACAATTCTGGGCTGCGGGGCGCGGTGGCTCGGGCCTGTAATCTCGGCACTTTGGGAGGGCGAGGTGGGCGGATCACGAGGTCAGGAGATCGAGACCATCCTGGCTAACACGGTGAAACCTCGTCTCTACTAAAAATACAAAAAATTAGCCAGGCGTGGTGGCAGGCGCCTGTAGTCCCAGCTACTCGGGAAGCTGAGGCGGCAGAATGGCGTGAACCCGGGAGGCGGAGCTTGCAGTGAGCCGAGATCCTACCACTGCACTCCAGCCTGGGCGACAGAGCGAGATTCTGTCTCAAAAAAAAAAGAAAAAGAAAAAAACACAATTCTGATGTTTGAATAGCAAATCAGAGCAGGTGATTCAGTTGAGAATAAGCAGGCTGTGACCCCTGAACTAAAATGCCATTTAGAAATTTGTGACCCCTCTTATAATATGTCAGTTCACAACAGTCCTGTACAGATTGGCTTTTCTGCCTTTTTCCCTCTCAGACAAGACAATTATTAAGACCTCTTAGGCCTATCTTTTTTTTTTTTTTTTTTTTTTTTTTTTTTTTTGAGAGACAGTTTCACTCTGTCGCCCAGGCTGGAGTGCAGTGTCGTGATCTCGGCTCACTGCAACCTCCACCTCCTGAGTTCAAGCGATTCTTGTTCCTCAGCCTCCCAAGTAGCTGGGATTACATGGGTGTGCCACCATGCTGGGCTCATTTTTGTATTATTGGTAGAGATGGGCTTTCTCCATTTTGGCCAGGCTGGTCTCAAACTCCCAACCCCAAGTGATCCGCCCGCCTTGGCCTCCCAGAGTACTGGGATTACAGGTGTGAGCCACCGTGCCCTGCCAGGCCTGTCTTAATCATGAAGCCTGACCAAAGAATTTGTAGCATTAATTCCCCACCTCATCCCTTTTCAGGTTTGCTTGGCCTTTGCTGCAGGTGGAACAGTCTGTGCCTTATGGGAAAAAAAATGGGTTATCATTCTGTTAAGAGGCAAGAAAAAGAACAAAATAAGTTATTCATGAATTACAAGTATAGCAGGTATAAAAATCAACATTCTCAGATAATTAACCATTTTATTATCTTTAATAAAATCTAGCCCCAAATCCTCGTACTACTGGACCAGCAAGAAATTCAGTCTCGGATAGTCTCAGGGTTCCCCATCCTTTATAGTTGGGCCAAGGGTCAGGAAATTTCAACGGTACAAAAGTATTCATGCATTTTCACGTTCACTTGAGTCCTTCCACATGAACTCAGCACAGTACAGACTTCAGAGCCAGATGGAAAATAAGGATTATGTGAGTTATAATATGTAAAGAACTTGGAATTGAGCCTAGCACAGAATATGCAGACCCTGGAGAGCCTCCCTGCTTTGATTGCCAGTCCTCCATCCACCCGAATTTTGGCTCAACAGCCTCTCACCCTAGGCTGCATGCTTTCAGGTCCAACAGTTCCACTGCTTCTGTGTCCTGGTTGCATTTGAGCAGCTGGGAGCCCGTGGCCTGGGTTTTCTCTCTTTTCTCCATGTCTGAATAGAAATGATTTTTCTTACCCACCTCTCTCATCTTGAAATAGAAAGACGAAATGTATTATTTTCATCTAATCATAATTCTGTGTTCTGTATACCTAATGTCTTAATTCTCCATAAATTCATCATCCACTGCAGTTCAGAACAAGTGAGACTTTGAAAACAAGAGTATTATTGAGGCTTAGAAATGTTCAGAAAACCATCCGGGCTCCGTGGCTCAGTCCTATAATCCCAGCACTTTGGGAGGCCGAGGTGGGCGGATCACGTGAGCTCAGGAGTTCGAGACCAGCCTGACAAACATGGTGAAATCACTAGAAAGTTAGCTGGGCGTGGTGGCGGGCACCTGTAACCCAAGCTACTGGGGAGGCTGAGGGAGGAGAATTGCTTGAACCCAGGAGGTGGAGGCTGCAGTGAGCAGAGATCGTGCCACTGCACTCTAGCCTGGGCGACAGAGGGAGACTCCGTCACAAAAAAAAAAAAAAGAAGAAATATTCAGGAAACCAAAAGAGCTCTGTAGAGTTGGAAGAGTGAAGTTATGTGCATCAGGGTCCTCTAACAAGGTTAAAAAGTAGAAGGCAGACCAGGCATGGTGGCTTACGCCTGGAATCCCAGCACTTTGGGAGGCCGAGGCGAGTGGATTGCCTGAGGTCAGGAGTTCCAGACCAGCCTGACCAACATAGTGAAATCCCATCTCTACTAAAAATACAAAAATTAGCCGGGTGTGGTGGCAGGTGCCTGTAATCCCAGATACTCGGGAGGGTGAGGCAGGAGAATCTCTTGAACCTGGGAGGCGGAGGCTGCAGTGAGCCATTGCACTCCAGCCTGGGCAACAAGAGTGAAACTCCGTCTCAAAAATAAAAAGAAGAAGAAGAAGAAGTCGGAGGCAGACACGTGAAATCCTGTAAAATTCTGACTAACTCTATAAAAGTCATCTCATAAATGCACCCACCCTTCCCTTATTTCAGGGTGCTGCCTCTGGGCAGCTCCCCGGGTTCATCAGGGTTGTCTTTCTCCCCGCTTTCCAGGCTCAAGCCAAGGCCCTCTCTCCCCTCAGGATTCTCAACAGCCTTCCCGTTTCTCTTCTTCTACCCAGAACATTTCTAACCTCTTCTATGTCTTCTGCAGAAGGGAAGCATCTTGAGCCATAAACAGGGCAGAAGAGGGTTAGGCAGGAAGAAAGGGGAGCTGGTACCCCATAAACGTATATGATTATTATGTACCTACAGTAATTCATTAAGAAATAAAGAATAAAAAAAGATTAGGAGGCCGAGGTGGGAGGATCACTCGAGGTCAGGAGTTCAACACCAGCCTGGCCAACACGGCAAAACCCCATCTCTACTAAAAAATAAATAAATAAAAAATTAACCGGGCATGGTGGTGCACACCTGTAATCCCAGCTAATCGGGAGGCTGAGGCACGAGAATCACTTGAACCCAGGAGGCGGAGGTTGCAGTGAGCCGAGATTGCACCATTGCTCTCCAGCCTGGGCAACAGTACAAGACTCCAACCCCCCTACCCCCTTCCAAAAAAAAAAGAAAGAGAGAGGAGAGCTGAAAAAAATGATCAGGAGAAAATCCACAAGTTTGTAAGTTATCCTGACACTCAAGAACTCTTTGAAGAGGGTTTAAAAATAAAAATAAAACACTAAGCCAGGCCTGCCTAGCCTAACTAAAGAAAAGAGTTAAAGAAAATTTGAATTTTACAAAAATGGATGAATACACCTAGATTGATTATCTGGATACAATGTCCTGGATTCAACTTTGCTTGGTTAGTGCTGAGTTCCAGTGATTTAAAGAATCAGTCAAAGGGCTGTGGGTCAGCAGTGTGGAAAGTGAGGTGTACAAGACAATGTACTAGGTACTGAAAGAAAATAGTAGTGCTTCTGTTTATATATATATTTCTTATTTTTTGAGACAGAGTCTCACTTTCTCTCCCATGCTACAGTGCAGTGGCACGATCTCAGCTCACTGCAACCTCCGCCTCCCAGATTTAAGCGATTCTCCTGCCTCAGCCTCCCGTGTAGCTGGGTTTACAGACATGTGCCACCAAGCCTGGCTAATTTTTTTGTATTTTTAGTAGAGATAGCGTTTCACCATGTTGGTCAAGCTGGTCTTGAACTCCTGACCTCAGGTGATCTACCAACCTCGGCCTCCCAACTGTTTATATTTTTATATCTTGCCTCTCTAGCTTTATTTTTGTGGGTTTTTTTTTTTTTTTTGCACATGACATACTAATACAATAGTGTAAATACATCAGTCATAAATCAATATGTATATTTTGAAAGTGAATGCTCCAAATTTTTTTGCTGATGGAGTGCAGGAAAATAAAAGGTTTAAACCTTGCTAGGCGTATCACATTAAAAACGAATGCTATCTACAGGACAATTTTCTGTAAGTCTTTATGCCTCTCGTAGCCATAACAATTCATCTGAAATAGGGATTGAGTACCCCGAACTATGGGCAACAGTCTGTTTTGTGACACTGCTAACCAGAAGAAACCTCTCCTAATCCAGCTACTTGGGAGGCTGAGGCAGGAGAATCGCCTAAACTCTGGAGGCGGAGGTTGCAGTGAGCTGAGATCATGCCACTGCACGCCAGCCTGGTGACAGAGCAAGACTCTGTCTCAAAAAAAAAAAAAAGAAAAAAGAAAAGCTTTTTGAGATGAGAGTTTGTGCAGAACTGCCAGATTTCGCAACTAAAAATAGCAATATTGGGGAGATACTTAAGCTCACAAATGATTTGTTGTTTATCTGAAATTCACCAGATGTAACTGGTGTCCTGTATTTTATCTGACAACCTTAGTTTAGAGTCAGTTCTGGTTTTGAAGTCCAGCTAGCTGAGTGATTCAGGGCAAATTCCTTAACTTCTCTGAGCCTCACTTTCTTTGTACTCTTTAGTTGTAGTGAACATTCTTTTTACAAAAGATTCGAAGCCCTTAGCTACTTCCTGCACATCGTAGAAAACGTTCTCACTAAATCGTAGGTATTATCACGATGATGACCCTATCCCTTTCAACACCGTTTCAAGTATTTGTGTACAAATCTTATCTCCCTTACTAGAAAGGAAGATCCACGTTTGCACAGATGTACATGTAATGGGTGCATAATCTGCAAATTTTGCATAAATTCAGCTTCTGCCCAAGCACTTTTAGGGAGTCTAGTTGACTGTCAACTTGGCTGGCCCCCTCTTCCAATTCTATTCCTTTTCCTTTCCCTTCCCCCATTGGAAGAATGGTGTTTTGTTCTGAAGTTATTTCAAGCAAGCTAAGCCCTTGTGGAAACTGCCTTACTCAGCTTTTGTAGGCCAGGGGATCCCACAGCCCGAATAAGATTTATTGTTATATTAGATTTTAAAACTCCCCTGTGTCATTCTTTGAAACTGCAGATGAAAATGAATAGCATTTATGAGAACCATTGTAAAGATTTAATGACATTTGCATTCACGCTGCTGAAAGTAAATAATTACCGCACTGGGTGGCTATTTTTCTGCTGAATTTAGACAGTTTAAAACAACTTGCCCTATGTGAGCTTGACGTTAGTTTGAATAGCCCCATCAGAACTGTGAGTTGGGTGCGATGGAAGCTGAGGTATTATGAAGCATAATAAGGATTTGGGGGAGGGGAGCCCAAAGACAGTGACAGGGCATGGTAGAAGGGACTTGCTGGACTGTTCACCTTTCCAGGCCACCCCTTGAAAGGAAGCAGATGTGGGCAAAAAAGAGCAACTCCATTTTTCACACAGTCAGAGCCAGCCCAACTGCAGATGGCCTGTACATCGCAGCACCAAGCACATCCCTGGTCTAAAGTGTCAGTTCTTTTTTTTTTTTTTAATTAAACTTTAAGTTCTAGGGTACATGTGCACAACGTGCATGTTTGTGACATATGTATACATGTGCCATGTTGCTGTGCTGCACCCATTAACTCGTCATTCTCAGCAAACTATCGCAAGGACGTGTCAGTTCTTTGTCCTGCCACCCCTTGCTATCAAAAGGGAAGAGGAAGATGAGCATAATGGCTCACGCATGTAATCCCAGCACCTTGGGAGGCCGAGGGGGAAGGATTGCTTGAGGCCAGGACTTCAAGACCAGCTTAGACAACATAGTGAAACCTTGTCTCTACAAAAAACAAACAAAATTATCCAGACATTGTGGTGTACACCTGCAGTCCCAGCTTGTCAGGAGGCTGGGGCAGGAGGATCTCTCAAGCCCTGAAGATCGAGGCTACAGTGAGTCAGGATCATGCCATGGCACTCCAGCCTGGGCAACAGAGTGAACCCTGTCTCAAAAAGAAAAAAAAAAAAAGAGGAGGAAGAGTAGAGCGAGAAGAAAGGCCATCTGAATCTATTTTTTTTTAAAATCCTCAGCCTTAGCTTCCCCCATGTCAATTCCACCATCGCTAAGGATCTCAAGGGGCTGTATCCTCTTCTCATGTGTCCTGGGGACTCTGGCAGATATCACCTCTATGTAGGCTGCAGGGGAGCCAAAACCAAGGGATTGTGCAGCCAGTCCTGTATTCCCAGCACACAGACCTGAGCTGTGAACTGATGAGCTGGGTTGAACTTTCAGGCTTGTGGAAAATCACTCTCTTCCACATCTTGATCAGAAATCACTTCCCATGTGCCTGACTGATGGAGGGATTTTCCTTCGTACCCACAAGGGTCCCACGTTGGAAATTTAAAGGCAGATAGCTGCGGTCAGCTGAAAAGATAGAGTGCATGGGTAGATATGCCAGGAACATTCCTCCAAGGTGGCCAGAAAAAGGTCCAGAGGGCTGGGTTTGATAAGCCCAGTAGTCACCCAGTTGGCTCCAGTGGGAGGAAATGAGTCATGCAGACGCAACTGCTGTGGGTCTCTGGAGAACAGCTCCTGCCTGCTTCATTGACCCCTGCTGTGGCTCCCTGCAGTTCATAAGACAACAGCTTCCATCCTGAGCCTTGAGTGACACCCCTTGCTGCTGGCTTGTGACACCCTGGGAAGCCTCTGTGCCTGAACCACCCGACTGTGGTTCCACCTTCTGGTTCTACCAGCCCACTTATGTTGGATTTCCCATCCTTTCACAAGCTGTTCGAGTTATACTCAGAGAGTTATGATCCCGACTTTTTTGTTCAAAGAACACATGGTCAGAGTCCAAGGGCTGTTCTGGTGCCTTCTGTGGGAGGCATCCTGGAGAATGCAATGACTCTTGGTGCAATGATGTCTTTCCATTTTCTTATCCCTCAAATGAAGCCTTGGATGAGGTGATGCTTGAATTTCTTCCCAACTCTCAGATTCTGTGAGCCTGAGCTGGAATGATAGATATGAACATACTGTACCACGCAAGAGGGCATGGAAATTTCAGGTAGCACTACTGTAGTTACTATTAGTTACTATTACTATCATATTTTCCTCTGACTTGTCTCACAAACGAAGGCACAGCACAATACTGATTTCTCTCAGTTTACAGTTCCCGCAAACTGATCAATTTTTTTAAATGACAGTCTGCCCAAAGAACTCATCAGTCTTGCATCTTTGGTAAATAGCTTTCACTCATTTAATAAATATTCATTGTTATGCTCTGTGCTAGACCCTGTGATTATAACTAATAATAATAGTCATAAGGCTTTTCTTTGAGGTGTTTATAATCTGACTGAAAAGACAGTCATTGAATAAATAATAAAAAAATGATGAGTGTCCCCAAGAATGTCAAGATGCTATGGAAATGAATAATTGGGGCACCCAGCCTGGTTTTCATGGTTAGGAAAAGCTTCCGGCCAGAAGTGACTTCCAGGCTAATAGTATAAGCTAACATTTATTGAGCATTTATTATGGGTGGGTGGGCATGTTGTGTGCATTATTTCAGTTAATGTTTGAAAGAACAACATCAGATAGATTCTATTATTGTTTCTAGTTTATAGACAAAAGAAATCAAGGCATACGAAGTAAAAACATCCCCAAGGCTCACAACTAGTTGGAGATAACCTCTGAATATGAGTACAGGTAGCTGCACACCAGGTTCTGTATTGACTGTGGAGTAGAAGAGAAGTTGGATGAGTCTGGAGATAAAGACTGAGTCAGACTCTGCAGTACCTGATGTACTGTGCAAAAAGCACCCTGGAAGAAAGTGTCAACTGGTTGTGTAAACTTGGGAGGGCATTTATTGGTTGACCCTCTGCTCCCTAAGATAGTAGTGTGTTGGTGAAAGAAAAAACAAGCTACTTTCTAATTCAAAAAAGAGGGAGACAAAATGGCCTATATCCAGCCAGAGGTATAAGGGTTTGTTAGAATTAAAATTTCTTTAAAGAAAAATTTTCTCAGAACTGAGATGGATTGTGTAATCAAATTTTCTAATAAGCCTTAAGTTATAAAACTCTGTAATGATTTTAATGACGTTCTAACTAGTATCTACCAGTTGGTAGTACCTACCAGTTGGGAACTGCTTTTAAAAATTCAACAAATTTAGTTTAAAGATCCAGTTGGCTTTTATTAGCAATTCATGAATTGGGCAGCATCCCATCTAAGGATTTAGAAAGGTGCTGCCATGACTTGACCAAGGGAGGTGAGTTTTTGTGTTACTGTGAAATATTTATTTGGTATTCAAACCCATTTCCCAGCATAGAACTCTTAAAAAATCTTTAGAATTTCCAAAGTGGTCTTTTTGTATGCTAACAAGTTGATTCATGGCTGGTAGCTTCAGATTGGAGGCGGTCACCAGAAAGATCAAGGCAGGATTAGAGGGTTGGGACTTTCAGCCCCACCCCCTAGCCTCTGGGGATGGGAGAGGGGCTGAGGGTTAAAGTGATCATCAGTGACCAGTGTTTTAATCAATCATGCCATATAATGAAGCCTTCATAAAAACTCAAAAGGTTAGGGCTTGAGCAACTTCTGGATAGCTGAACCCATGGAGGTTCCTGAAGAGTGGCATGCCTGTGTAAGGGATGGGAGATCCATGCCCCTTACCACGTGCCTTGCCCTGCGCATCTCTTCCTATGTATAGGTTGTAATACCCTTTGTAATAAACCAGCGAACGTGTTTCCCTGAATTCTGTGAACTGTTCCAGCAAATTAATCAAACCCAAGGAGGGGATCATGGGAACCCTAACTTCAAGCTGATCTGTCAGAAATTCTGGAGGCCCAGACATAAAACTGGTGTCTTGTGACGAGGGTCAGGGGGTGCAGTCTTGTCAGACTGAGCCCTCAAGCTGTGGGATCTGACGCTATCTCCAGGTAGATAGTATCAGAATTTAATTGGAGGACACCCAGCTGATGTCCACCGCAGAGCTGATTGTTTACTTGGTGATGGAGAGAAAGAGGAGAAACTTCCCACCACACACACGTTTGGTCACAGAAATCTTCTGTATAGATTATTATTGTTATGGTAAGAGCAGAAAAAAACCTAATTTGTGTTTTTTCCCCTCAGAGTTTTATAGGCAGAAAAAGATGGAAGAAAGCAGACACAAGGAACAAAAAGCAGACTGGTCATTACAAAATTACTTTCCTTATAGGGTTAAAACAGAGGGGACTTCCTTATGCCGGCTCAGGTAACCTGCACCCCTTCCTAGTGGTTGCTGTGAATCTCCTGGTTTTTTTGGAAAACTAGCCCATTTTAAAGTTTAGTTTAATTATGTGGCACTTAGCATGAATGACTCCATTTTGGTTTGGTCTGTTCTGTTGGGACCTAGTGCAGGAGCTCAGTCCAAAACAATGGCCTCCTATGAAGTTTATTTAATACAATGGAAGTAAATGTTCACTGCTTTACTTCAAGCTAAAATCACAAAGGCATTGATTCTAGCAAGTTCTTGTTTTTAATTCCTGGCATTTCATGTTTGGACCAAATAATTCTAGCAAGTTCTTGTTTTTAATTCCTGGAATTTCATGTTTAGACCAAATAATGAAGCAATACTAGAATGCTGAGTGGGAAGAATTTTATTCCTAACGTTTTTAAAGCATAATTCAGAAAGGTTAATCTTGAACATTTTTTGCTAGGGGGGACCTCATCACATTCAGAAGATTAATCTGCTGAGCAGCGTTTAGATTATCTCGGTATTATTAGAATGTTTCTCCCTTTACTTGAAAAGAAGCCATTGGAATGTCCCTAACACAAAGAAATGATAAACGCTTGAGGCAACGACTACCCCAGTGACCCTCATTTGATCATTACACATCGTATGCTTGTATCAAAATATCGCATTTACCCCATAAATAGGTATAACTGTTGTGTAAATAACAGTTAAAAATAGATAATTAACATAGTTAATAATTAAAAATATTTTTTAAGAAACGAATCAAAAACGGAGAAAAAAGAAGCCATTTAAGCATTCTCATGTCTAATATTACTCTATTTAGGTACACACTAAAGGTGTCTTTAATTATTAGGAATTACATGCTGTTAAAGCTTAATTAACTAGAACTCAGGTACTTGGAGTTCTCGTTTAATTGAATTTCTTTTTGTTGTTGTTGCTTTTTCTTTTTTTTTGAGACAGAGTCTCACTTCGTCACTCAGGCTGGAGAGCAGTAGCACGATCTTGGCTCCCTGCGACCTCTGCCTCCCAGGTTCAAGTGATTCTCCAGCCTCAGTCTCCGGAGTAGCTGGGATTACAGGTGTGCACCACCACGCCTGGCTAATTTTGTATTTTTAGTAGAGATACGGTTTCACCATGTTGGTCAGGCTGGTCTCGAACTCCTGACCTCAAGTGATCCACCCACTTCGGCCTCCCAAAGTGCTGGAATTACAGGTCTGAGCCACTGTGCCCGGCCTTGAATTTCTTTTTTGTGCTGTATCTAAGGCTTCAAGGAAATTGCCGGATTATAAGATGCTAAAAATAAAAAAACAACTCTTATTTTAAGACTAAGGAATCCCTTTCTGACTATGCACCTTCAGGCCAGGATTCTGTGTCCTCCAGTTCTGACGCACTACCACACTTCTAGGGAAGAAGGACATGAACTTGGAAACCAGGTGGACCTGGGTAAAAGTCTTTACTATACTCGCTATTGATCTCCAGACATGCTATTAATATTTAATTTCTTGATAGCTACATTCATTCATCTGCCCAACAGGGATGGTAATACCTGTCTCACCACGATGTAGTGAGAATCAGATCGCGGGGTTGTGTAAGGAAAACAGAGGGCCAGTCCGTGATAGGCGCTAAGGAAATCGAAAGCATTTAAAAATCTAGATTTAGCCTGAGCCACCACAATTATCACAAATATCCAAAGAACTGTGGCATTACATTTGCTATTCTGTACTACCTCTGGCAGAAAATTATTCCTTCATATTTTCAAAAGATGATTTTAACAATGACAGTTAAAATTGAAATATTTTGGTTAGCTAATAAATTGGTTAACTCTTGGTAAGCTACTTTTAAAATCAGCTAACCAGTGTGCCCAATTTAGAAAATACCCAGGTTAATAAAAGATTGATTGTCCTGTATTCAGAAACTACAGTGTTTTCTCTACAGAGAACAGGTGCGTCTTACAGACTCAATGGAACTCTCAACTCTGATTTTAGCAAATTTGAAATAACAGTTAGAAACTAGTGCTGTTTTTCTCTACCTTTCTACACTAATTAAATCTGTATTCTTCAAGTCCAACTGTCTCACACATGACTTCTAATTAATTTCTTCTTTTTTTAATTAACAAATACCTATCGGCACCTTCACTTTTGGATAGACATTTTTTCTTGACTAGTTTTTAATGGCCCTGAGTTTTCTTTTCTTTTGCATTTGAGGTAAAACTGATCAAGTCAGCTAGATATGATTTCTGCAAAAAGATTGATATTTCATACGTGAGTGATCACATGTCTGTAGTAACATCTTACATGAAATGCATGCTAATCTACCTGATTTTGGTCAATATGGATTTTGATGTAATGTAGCGTTTCCCAAAAATGTGGACTTTAAGTGATAACACAACTTCTATTATTTTTATTTTAGAAGTTATGCATCTACTTTAAAGCATATTAGTATGTGTCTTTTACTTATAGAAAATAATACTGGTTTTCCCTTTATTAATAATAAATCTAAAGATTCTTTTTTAAATGATTTAAGTAGAAAAAGCATTAGGAATTGAATGGTTGTTATTCATATATGACAAAAATTGTGTAGATGGTCTGTCGTGGAGTTAACTGGGGAAACAGTGGTCTCTTGCTGTTCTTAACTGCATGACTTGAACAAGTCTCTACTCTTCTGAGTTTCAGTTTCCTCATCTGCAAAATGGGGTTTGGACTTGATGATCACCCCATCAACTGTAAGCATTCTAAGGTAACAGACAGCATTTTATTCATCTTTCTATCCCAACTGCAAAACACACTGAGAGGAACACCAGTCTGCCTCAATGTTTGACTGCCAGGATTCCATAAATTAACTGAGACCCCGCCGCTTCTGCTATTCAAACATCCCTCTAATTCTATGTCCTTAGTTAGCATTTTTGTTCAGTTGCTTATTGGTAGGAATACATTGTGTAGCCATCAGCTTGAATATTTAAACCATTGATTGAGTTTACTTGTGTTCTGGATGAACTAGGTGCCATAAAGGAAGTAAGAGAAGTCTAGAAAGTGAAGAATGGCCTCAAAGAGTTCACAGTTTCATTGGGAAGGCGCTTGGAGGACAAAGTAGCCAGACAGATAATCAGTACAATTGGGTGTAATAAATTTTACCCAGATGGGGAGGGAAAGTTGTTGGGAAGTTTATGTAGAATATAGGACATGACCTTGAAGGAAGATGAGCTAAAATAAGGATAAGAAGAAGAAGGAGAACATTCTAAGCTGGGTTCATCATGTGTGTAAAGTCTGGGAAGTGATTTTTTTTTTTTTTTTAGACGGAGTCTCACTCTGTCGCCCAGGCTGGAGTAGAGTGGCACAATCTTGGCTCATTGCAACCTCCGCCTCCTGGGGTCAAGCGATTCTCCTGCCTCAGACTTCTGAGTAGCTGGGATTACAGGCACACCCCACCACACCTGGCTAATTTTTGTATTTTTAGAGAGACAGGGTTTCACCACATTGGTCAGAGTGGTCTTGAACTCCTGACCTCTTGATCCGCCCACCTTGGCCTCCCAAAGTGCTGGGATTACAGGCGTGAGCCTCCGCACCTGGCCGGGAAGTGATTTTTTTTTTTAAATGCATGATTTAACAAGTTCACCAGCAAACAAACAAGATAGTAATACCTGTCCGCTCCTGATTCAAGCACAGTATTTGCAATCGACATACTTGTGGGTTGAGTCATTTTGTTAATAATAGCGTGTTTTGTTTTGTCTTGTCGCCAGTGATTAAATTTTTCACTATATCCTTTTTTAATTTCCCAAAATATTTTTATTTTTATTCTCTAATTATAAGGATCTTGACCAACTGAATGACTTCATCTTTTTTGTTTGTTTGTTTTCTCAATGTGGTGTGGCTGTGTGTGCATGTGCATGAGTGTTTGTGCTTATTTTCAAGGAGTCAACTACGATTTTATATATTTCTTTTTAAACTGTCTGTGTAGTTATAGGAAAATGGGAAGGGGTGAGGATAAATGAGGCACAAGCAGATGCTGCTGGTGGAGGCTGGCACCTGGCTGATGCCCATGGAGCATGCCAAGGCTGTGAAGGAAACCCTGGCTAATGAATGTGCCCCACTGTGTTTTGTGGCTGGCTGAAAGAAGTCAAAGGGCCAGTCAGAGAAGGTAGGAGCCAGGAGCCTTCAACAAGGGGGCTGTTGTTACCCTGCCAAAGAAGATGCCTAGATAACCAGGGATGGGCACCGTCAAAGCCACTTGCCAGTTTTAAAGCTCGTGCCCTTGCATGACTGGTTGCTTCCATGTCTCATCTTTCAGTTCCTTCTTTCCCCCTTCAGCTAACTTTATAATTGAGGGAATCATAAAGAAGAATTCCATCCTGTCAGTGGAAAACAGGTATAACAGTGGAAGAATTATTGATTAGACTTTGGCATGGAGGCATATTTCACACTGCCAAGATCTATTGACATTTGTTGCTGTTGTTGTTGTTGTTTGAGATGGGGTCTCACTCTGTTGCCCAGGCTGGAGTGCAGTGGTGCAATCATGGCTCACTGTAGCCTTGAACTCCTGGGCTCAAGCAATCCTCCTGTCTCAGCCTCCTGAGTAGCTGGGACTACAGGTGTGTGCCATCACATCTGGCTAGCTTTTTGTTTTTTGAAGAGTTGGGATCTTGCTATGTTGCCCAGACTGAGACATTAATATGTTAGAGTGGAGCTATATATAAGATCTATAGACCTCTGTGGTTACAGATATAAGGAAATCAGTAAACCTAAAAGTAAACTGTAGATACCTATATATTGGTAAATAGGAGGTATTGATAGCAAAATCTCTTCACAAATATTCCTAAAACTGTTTCTTGGAAACTCATTTCATTTTTAAAGTTTTTTTTCTCTTTTTCAATTTTCCTCTAGTCACCTGAATCCACATAATCCTTAAATTCCAAAACTTAAAAATGTATTCATTTCCTTCAGCTGATGTTATTCACAGGTGAGGAAGAAGAGAAACTGCATCTCAGCAAAAACCTGGATTTTCAGAGTTAGGGCCCTTCCTACATAATACGACATAAAAGCTGTCATTTGAAAGGTCAGTGACATTTAAGGGTGGACTTTTGTCAAAAGCACTTATTTCAAGCCCAGATTTGACAGCAGCCCGTGCAGGCTTGCTCATCCATTGATTTCCAAGTCCTGCCCCATTGCTGGGGATGCAGCTCTCTGCACAGAGCAAAGCCAGAAGTTCCAGTGGTTATAGAAGACAGAGCCTGGTAGGTGCCCTGGAGAGGAGGCTGGGCAGATAGAGCTGAAGGGCACCCTGGCAGGTTGGGAAAAAAGCAAATGATCCAAGAGAAAGGCCATGAACTTTCTGTGAATTGTTTATTTCCTGTCTCCTTTATCTTTACAATTTATTTTCTAACCTTTCTTCTTTTTCTTGTGGGAATGATTAAAGGTCTCAACTCAGTGCTTTACAGACGTAGAAATTTTTTAAATTTCTTGACTAACTGATAGCAAACTTTTGTTCTCATAATCTCCCTGTCTAGGCACAGGGGTAGGAGAAGGAGGGATCTGATGTTACCCAATAAAGTACTTTGGTCCCACCTGATACTGGCTTAAATCTTAGACTTTTCTAAAAGTTTAGATTGCTGGGGCTAGTTTCTTGTTCTGCACCAGCTGCTACTGGTGCTGCTGGAAATAGTGTGTTTCAGAGCTTGGTGTACCCTGCTTTCCTTGTGCTTCTCATGAGCTCTCCTTTTTTTCCTTTGAGTTCCATCATCCGCAGAAGTAGCAACAGAGATGGAGGCTAGAGGGACATCTTCCTACGCAGGTAAAGGGGGTCTAAGGAATTGAGAAGCTTGGGTGTGGTCCCTCCTCTGCTGGCCCCTGTTGTGGCACCATTTCCTGGTTTGATTCCTGGCACTGTGAAGCAGACTCACCCACAACTGGGTGTTATTTGGATGAGAGACTTTCCGATGACTTAGATTCTGGTGATTCTGCTTTTCATGTCTCTGCTAAAGTGGAGATTTCTGTGTGGATGGCATAAGGAATTTCCATGGGCAGCGTTCAGCCTCAATACAGCTAACCAGCCCAAAAGATCACTGGGGGACAGTCAATCTTTCCTGTGGCTCTTGCCAGCCATATATGCTATATCTCTTCAGGTTGGGTAGCTCTGCTTTGAAGAGTGAACGCGAGGGCCAGCTATGGGTGCCCATCCTTCAATTAACCTCACCTGGGTCACAGAAACCAGCTGAATATTTGCCTTGATTTCCAAAGCCATGGAGAACAATGACAACATCCTCACTTCCTCTTTCCAAGGTGCTCCACGTGATGGCTCCCTCTCACCCTACAGGCCTCGGTACTGATGAGCCACTAACCATCAAAAATAGCTAGATAAGGAGCTGGCACTGTTCTCTAATTTCCAGAAACATCTCCAAACTTCAAGAAACTTTTGTACAATGTGCTTAATCACCCAATTTAGGGAAAAGGAAGAGATACAGGTAGAATTTAAGTTGGGCCTAGCTGGTAGGGTAGACAACACTTTTTTAAAAAAATTATCATACAGTAAAATTGACTTGTGTCTGTGTGTGTGTATGTACAGTTCTATGAATTTTAACACACATATAATATAAATGTATATAAATTATATATAAATTTTATATACTTATATTGTATATGCTATTATATATTATATATTACAATGTAATATATCATATAATTTTACATTATAGATTATATTATAAATATATTTATATAAATTTGTACAACTATCACCAAAATCAGGAAACAGAACTGTTATATCACCCAAAACAACTCATTAATGCTATCCCTTTATACTTATACTTTCTCCCCACCCATAATCCCTGGAAACCATTGATCTGTTCCTCATCGCTGTAGTTTAGTGCTTTCAAGAATATCAAAACAAACGAAACCACAAAGTACGTAACCCACTGAGACTTGTTTCTTTCACTCAGCAAATCTCAATGATTTTGAGATTCAACCAAGTTATTTCATGTATCAACAGTTTGTTCCTTTCTGCTACTGAATATTCCACTTACAGGTGACCCTTAGTTTGTTTACTCATTCATCCTTTGAAAGACATGTTAGTTGTTTTCAAGTTTTGGTGATTATGAATAGAGGGGCTGTAAGTGGTCCTGTAGAGGTTTTTGTGTGAATAGAAGTTCTCAGTTCTCTAGGGAAAATAGGAGTGGGATAGCTGGGTCATATGATGAGCGTATGTTTAACTTTTATAAAAAGCTGCCAAACTGTTTTCTAGAGTGGCCCTGTCATTTTGCACGCCCACCAGCAATGTATGCGAGAGCTAGTTTCTCCACATCCTTGCCAGTATTTGATATTTTCTTTTTCTTTTTTGCCATTCTAATAAATGTGTAGTGGTATCTCATCATGGTTTTGGAATTTATTTCACTAATAGGTGTCCTTATAACCTATTTGGGGTCTTGGAGGCCCTCTTCTTTGGGGGCATAACTCTTTAGTTGCTAGATGAAGCAAATGTTTAGCAGGGTCCCAGAGAAGGGGCCAAGATAGGAGGAGAGGTGGGGTAAGGTGGCTAAGGATGGTAACTATTTACAACCAGTATGAAATATTTCAATATTTAACAACTGGTATAGCCAAACTAGTAGAGATCATTGAATGTAAGTCCTGGATCTTGCAAAGAACACAGAAGGCGTGACCAGAGTGGTGGGCAGAGGTTTTCGTGTCATAGAAAACTGAAGGGTTAATTGTGTTTCATGCTGCTGAGATGAGGCCATGTGGAGACCTTGACAAGAGGTCAAGAGAAACTTCCATGGAAAGATGGGGGTGAAACCAAATTCTAGTAGGCTGAAGAGCAGTATGTGTATACCACTCTTGGAGTGAACGAGAGTGGTTATGAACAAGAGTAGAGAAATTTCTTGTTCAAATTTGATTATGAACAAGAGTAGAGAAATGAGGCAGCGGGTGGAAGAATGCATAAAGAGATAGTCAAACATGTTCATATGCCAGTGAGAGCAGTACAGGGAGTATGTGCTGTTGATGCAGGATTGAGGGGTTAACCAAGGGGAACCAGTTTTAAGAAGGAAAGAGATGAAGTAGCATCAAGAGCTCATCAAAAGCTAGCTAGAGGCAAACCGGCGTATAGGTTTGGTGATAGCAAGATGAAAGTTCATACCCTTATCAGACAGCTTCTATTTTCTTAATAAAAGTGTAAGCTGAGCTCATCACCCACAGCTTGGGAGATTAGAGGGAATTTTTAGAGCAGAACAAGCTTCTACCTAACCTCTTGTGAATTCTTACACAGTGAATCCCTTTATTGTATTCTTTTTATCTCTATTTCTTTTTACTTTTGTCTTTGTTCACTTATTTTGAATTCCTGCCACTAAGGAAGGGGTCAGCAAGGGATATTTGGATATATTTGCACCAGACATGTAATCAGGGTTCACTTAGCTTCCCAATGTGGAACCTAGAAAACCAGCGACAGAGTTTGGAATAGTTGATGAAGGAGCCAAACTGATAATGGAAAATGTGCACAGACATAATATGTAGTTTGGAGCCTTAATGGAATGTTTGCTGCCTGTTGAAATTTGGAAATGATAGCAACTGCTTTGCTAATATGATTTCAACTTAGACATATCTTCATTTGCCCATGCATTTTTCATGCTAATTAGATTGTGTACATGGAATTTGTCCATGCTTTCCATCAGGAGCCTTCTTTTTTCTTTATAATTGTACAACGTGTCAAAACTCTGACTTCTCTTCTACTGAAAGGAACAGTTCCAAGAAATTTTTTTAAATTAAATCCACATATTCAGACCCAGTTTCTGACTGGCTCGATCAATTATGTTATAGGAGGGTCAGTTTTATTTGCAAAGCTGCAACCATTAACTGCCTGGAGGCCATGACAGGTTTCTTTTGTGGACTATTTTTTAAGTTATAGATTCTACATTGAAATAATATATTTTGTCTGCCTGTATTTGAAAACGATCAAAGAAAAGGAAGTTATCCCACGAAGACGTTACTGCAAGTGATCGCATTTCAATGAGATTAAAAGTCAAAGAATAGCAACAAGGGGCAGAGTATTTAACACTAAGGAGAAGAAAAGAAGTCAGACTGACATAAAGATTTTTCAAGATAATAGAGTTATGTTACAGCAGAATGTGTCTTTAAGGAGGTGTGTAGCAGCATTTTTAATAAGAGAACAGATAACCTGGGAAAGTAGTGTGTTCTCCTGACATATGCATCAGCAAGGCTGAGTGTTGAATTGCATTGATTTCTGTGTCTACCTTTGGTGAACAGCTTTCCAATCAAGTTTAATGTAATCTGAATACAGGAAAAGGAATCACTGCCAAGATGAAATCTCTGTCGCCACAGGTCACAGCAGGAGGTGTGAATTCAGTGAGGTTTGACATTTCAGTGCACTTGTCTTAATTGTGTAACTTTGCTTTGTCAACAGTCTGTATCATGAACACCAACTATACTTACCCTTTCTAAACCTTTTGCCTATTCTTGGTATCTTGACCTTAAAAACCATAGCTTAGTCCTTTCTCCCAAGGATTAATGATGCAGACCAGTGAAAAAAAAGTCTACAAATCGGCCGGGCACGGTGGCTCACGCCTGTAATCCCAGCACTTTGGGAGGCCGAGGCGGGTGAATCACCTGAGGTCAGGAGTTCGAGACCAGCCTGGCTAACCTGGTGAAATGCCATCTCTACTAAAAATACACAATTAGCTGAGCGTCGTGGCGGGCGCCTGTAACCCCAGCTACGTGGGAGGCTGAGGCAGGACAATCACTTGAACCTGGGAGGTGGAGACTGCAGTGAGCCGAGACTCTGCCATTGCACTCCAGCCTGGGCAAAAAGAGCAAAACTCTGTCCAAAAAAAAAGAGTCTATAAATCATCTAGGACGTAAACATGTCATTAGTTTTGTATGAACTGCCTCTTGGGTAACCATCCTAAATTAAGCTAGGCAAGACTATTCTATGGCAACATAGCAACATCTGGCTCTCAGTGGATTAATGCAACAAAGGCTTATTTCTTGCTCATGCAACTCAAGTAAAGAGAAGAGAGATCAAGTAGAGGAATCAGAGCTTTTCACTGCCTTGGCCCAGAAGTGACAAATGCATCTCACATTGTCTAGGAGAAGTCACAGTGCTTTGTCTACCTGTACAGGGGTGAACAGGTAGTCTTCCCTGTGCCCAGGTGAGCACTAGAAGTTTCTATCACAAATTTTCTTTCTGCTGGTAATAAATAATAACATATATGTCTATAGTGTATAATGTATATGATATTCTAATTTTCTAATTGACTTAGTTTAAAGGTTCTCCAAGCCTAGAATTTCAGGTCTATCAGGATTTAATATTGTTTGTGCTATCAGATGTTATCAAGCGATAAATTTGTTATTATGATTCTGTTTTGAGAATAGTTTCTTTAATCTCAGTTTTACAAAATAGTTTTACCTCACAGGTATTATTAATATGAAGTTTACCAAAAATATGAATTCCTTGGAATAAATCTGGCAGATATCCAAAGGTAGATTCTTTACTGCATTTTCAGCATATAAAAAATTACGGCAGATGTGGGGAAGAAAATGGAGATGGTAAAAATAAGTAAATAAGTTGAATCCATGACAAGATGATTATAGAGCTCTGGGAATATCATTTTCTCCTTCCCTTCCTCCTTTCCTTTCTTTTTTCTTTCCCTCAACAAACATTATTCAGTCTCTGACATATGCTACAAGTTCTTCCAGGCACCAAAAAGATGATCATAAACCAGGTAGCCATTGTCCCTGCATTAGTTTGGGTAACACGGGATACTCTCACAGATAAACTCCTGAATCTCAAGGGCTTAACAGAATGGCAGTTTCCTTTAAATTCCTGTACAGTCCAAAATGTGTGTTTCTGAGCTGTGGGAGGATGTTTTCAATCAGCAATTCAGGGGCTAGCCTCCCTCACTTACATGACTCCATCAATTCAACATGTAGCTTCCAAAGCACTGGATGGCAACAAGCCCGCGGCAGGAGAAAGGCCCTAGAGGATCCCATGAAGGGGAGTTTCAGGGACCTGGTCTAGCAGTGCTGTACATCAGGCCCAAGTACCAGTACAACTTACAGTCAGAGGAGAAGACACTTAAAGGACAGGAAGAAGTAAGCTCAAGGAGTCCTCTTTTGGCTTAACTAACCACTAAGGTGAAAGCCAACCAAGTAAGCAGTCTTGTAACTCCAAGACTGCAACCTTCCTTAGGTGAACAAAAATCAAAATTTCATTCATTCATTTGTACAAATAATTATTGAGTGCCTTCTCTTCCGGGCACTTTTCTAGGTATACAGAATACTGCAGTGAACAAAACAGAAAAAAATCCTTCCCTCACAGATCTAGTGATAAAGTTTAAGATACCATTAGCATGTCACTTTTTTTTTTTTCTTGAGACGAAGTCTCACTGCAATTCTCCTGCCTCAGCCTCCTGAGTAGCTGGGACTACAGGCGCCCACCACCACCCACCTAGCTAATTTTTGTATTTTTAGTAGAGACGGGGTTTCCTCATGTTGGTCTCGAACTCCTGGCCTCAAGTGATCCGGCTGCCTTGGCCTCCAAAAGTGCTGGGATTACAGGTGTGAGCCACCACACCCGGCCTGTGTTCCCTCTTGATTAGGCTTCAGATGTTTTTCCAAGTTCATCTTAAGTCTCTTTGTTTCCTTACTTCATCTCCTCATTTGATAAGAAATGAAGCTTTCTCTAAATCACTCTGTCCCAGCATTCTCTCCTGTGAGATTTCATTTTATTCTTTTTCTCTTTCAAGAAGAGAGGAGTGGGTGTGTGCAGCAGGGGGCAGGGGACGCAGTGCGGAGGGATGATTCTGTCCTCAGCACTTGTTCCAGAGCCACCACACATCCCCATTTGTTCCCACCACCTGCCTTTAAGACGTTACTCCAGTCATCCCCTGTGCGCCATAGACCCACTTTCACCTTCCTAAGATGACTTTAACACTTGGGATTTCTGTCTGATTGAATTTATAGTGAACCACTGTGGTGAAAGCCTGCCCAGTAAGTCACCTTGTCACTCCAAGACTACAACCTCCTAGCCACTCACCCTCCTAGGGAATTTCCCTAAATTTACCTGTGTGGCCAAAGCCCTGGCTCCAGGCTGCTCATCTCCTGCCTGACCTTCCACAGTGTGAAGGCTCGAGGTGGGGAATTTGTCATTGTCAGTAGGAAGTGACACAAGCAGGCCCTCTACAAGTAAGCCTGGGCAGCTTGGCTGGACTTCCTCTACCTACTCACATTCAAAGCTGCACCCAAGCACCTGTCCCTCCCCAGTGTGCCTGATTTTCAAGTCTTGGGGGCACCCAATGGACCCACCCACCCACAGCTTAGGGGGCTCAAGTCCTGACCTTCAGCCGTCACCAAGATTGGCAGCAACTAGACTCCTTCCCCCTTTGTGTAGACAATCTGACCCATTCTGATATTACCGAACTCCTTTCCCAACTTGGACTTCCGAATTAGCTGAATTAACAATGAAGCCTCCACCCCATTCCTCAAGATCTGAGTTTAGGTAATAAAGCACAGCTAGAGAAACTACAAGAAACAGTTTCCAGACTAAACCAATTCTCAGCTCTTGACACTTTGCTTTGCTCATTTTCTGTATTTCTTTTCTTTTTCTTTTTCTTTTTTTTTTTTTTTGAGACAGAGTCTCGCTCTGTCACCAGGCTGGAGTGCAGTGGTGCGATCTCGGCTCACTGCAACCTCTGCCTCCTGGGTTCAAGTGATTCTCCTGCCTCAGCCTCCTGAGTAGCTGGGACTACAGGCGCATGTCACCACACCTGGCTAATGTTTGTATTTTTAGTAGAGATGAGGTTTCACTGTGTTAGTCAGAATGATCTCAATCTCCTGACCTTGGGATCCGCCCACCCCGGCCTCCCAAAGTGCTGGGATTACAGGCGTGAGCCACCGTGCCCGGCCACTTTTCTGTATTTCTTTAATGAACTTTCTGACTTTCTCACCACAGTGGCTTTTCTGGACCATCCTTGCTCTCTTCCAGCCTCCACCTTTGCTTCCATCCAATCTTGCTCCTCCCTGCAGACCTTGCCATGGAAAGCCTGAAATTGGGCAAATTGTGGACCCTGGCACAAATGCCCCCTTCCTCATTCTCCATCACTTTGATCTAATTTTATTTCTACATCTGTCCTCTCTTTTTCTTGTAGTATCAGTGGAAGATATTTTCCTATTCCTTCCTGGAGTTAATTAATCTACCTGTGCTCTGAATTTCTTCACGCCTGAGCTAAGAGATCTTACTCCTGTAGACTGTAATTTTTCATTAGTTCTTTGTGTTTTTCTCCCTGAAACAGATGTGTGAGCTCTTGTACTATGCTAGGTACGGTGGATACAATGATGAACCAAATGTAACCCCTGCCAGCAGTCTAGTAGGGGAAGATGGTAACATGCTAATCCCCCAACTTTGTTATAAATCAGCATGACACAATGACAAATCGTTCTGCAGGTAGTTACTGGAAGGAGCAATTATTCTGATTGGGGATTTTTATTTCCTCTGCTGCCTCAGAGCCAATTTCCACACTCCAGGAGCAGAAAGAATAGAAAGGAAGAAAATTCATGCAAACACACTCATTAAAACATTCACCCATTCAGAAAATATTTATTGAGTGCCTAGTATGTGCCAGCACTATGTGGGGTGATGGAGACACCCTAAGAAACTGCATTCATGGAGTTTATAGATAACTAAAGATGACAAGTTTTGATAACACGAATAAGTATAAGCTAAAAAGGGGCAACACTGAGTCATATGAGAGTATGTAACAGAGAGTGTAGTCTGATCCCAGAAAGCAGGAAAGCCTTCTTAGGACCTGGATAATGGAACTGAAACTGAGAACTGAAGGACGAGCGCTGGTTATCGAGGCAAAGATGGGAAGGAATGAGCATCCCCCGATTGGGACCAGAGGGAGGAGGGTCTCTTGGACCAGCTTAAGAAGCTGTGTGTTTATTCTAAGAGCCATGGAGATGCTGAAGGTCTTTATGCAGAGGTGAGACATGATCAGATGTGCACCCTAGCTGCAGTGTGGAGAGGTTTGGATAGACTCTGAGGATGTTGGAAGAGCACTAGAATTGGAATCTGGAGTCATATGTCTTAACATCAAATCCTATGAGCCTACAGATCTTAAGCAAACTCTCTTTCCTTTCTGAGGCTCTGTTTCTGCCTCAGGACACCATGACAGTTGGGAGAGAATGTGAGTGACTAGCTCCTGGCTCACGGGAGGTTTTCAGCCCACTTGTTTAATTCCTTATCTTTTTCTGTATTTTTTTTTATACTTTAAGATTTAGGGTACATATGCACAATGTGCAGGTTAGTTACATATGTATACATGTGCCATGCTGGTGTGCTGCACCCATTAACTCGTCAATTAGCATTAGGTATATCTCCTAATGCTATCCCTCCCCCTTCCCACCACCCCACAACAGTCCCCAGAGTGTGATGTTCCCCTTCCTGTGTCCATGTGTTCTCATTGTTCACTTCCCACCTATGAGTGAGAATATGCGGTGTTTGGTTTTTTGTTCTTGCGATAGTTTACTGAGAATGATGATTTCCAATTTCATCCATGTCCCTACAAAGGATGTGAACTCATCATTTTTTATGGCTGCATAGTATTCCATGGTGTATATGTGCCACATTTTCTTAATCCAGTCTATCATTGTTGGGCATTTGGGTTGGTTCCAAGTCTTTGTTATTGTGAATAGTGCTGCAATAAACATACGTGTGCATGTGTCTTTATAGCAGCATGATTTTTCTGTATTTTCTAAGCCTCTTAGCCATTATATCCTTGACAGGCGGGGATATGGGCATGGGCGTAGATTGTGAAGCCCACTGCATTTTTGTGGCTAGTTCTTTTTCTGCTCAGAAAGGACATTCTGGCACACTTCCAAGGCCCAGAAATGACAGAGTCATTTTAATTAGAACACTTTCTTTTTTCTAATTTGCAAATTGCAGTCCTCAAAGACTAACTTAGCAGAGCTGACATGGCCTCCTTGACCTACATTATAAGTAATGAGCTCTTGATCTAAGAATTAATGCAGTCTCCATCACGAGTTGATTGGCATGTTTGAACAAAAGTGTTATGTTTTCAAAGCCCTGGCTTATTTGAGACTTTCAACTTTCTGTTGAAAAGTGGTTGGAACTAGGAATTTTAATTGCTCCATTCCTTCCCTTGTCATGATTGGTTTTTATTAATGGGTTTGTCAGTTAACAGGTTACACTGTAAGTGGCAGGGATGGGATTCCAGTCAGGGAATCTGGCTTCAGACTCGAATTTGCCATGCTGCTCTGTGTCTCACTAATCAATGCAGGCTCAGGAGGCCGAGGAGAGAAAATAACCTATGTTTTTACCTTTTCATTAGAGGAGAAAATAGAGACATCTTCACTATTGTCTTTTTTTTTTTTTTTTTTTTTTTTTTGAGACAGGGTCTTAGTCTGTCACCCAGGTTAGACTGCAGTGGAGCAATCGTGGCTCACAGCAGCCTCAAACTCCTGGGCTCAAGTGATCCTCCTGCCTTGGCCTCCCAAGTAGCTTGGACTACAGGTTTGCACCACTATGTCTGGCTAATTTTTTAAAAATTTTGCAGAGGTAGGGTCTTGCTATGTTGTCTGGGCTGGTCCTGAACTTCTGGCCTCAAGCATTTCTCCTGCCGTGGCCTCCCAGAGCACTGAGATTGCAGGTGTGGGCCACTGTGCCTGGCACATCATCCTTTCTCATAGATTGTAAAGGCACATGAAGGTCTTAGAAGCACAGGGAGCTCATTCAAACATATGGCTTAGATTTAAGGGATTTCTGACCTCTTCCTTGTGTGTAGGACTACGACGATGGGAGATAGTCTCTCCGCTCCACCTTGCAAGATATCACCTCCTTTTGGAGCCTATTATGGGATGACTTGTGTCCTCCTCAAAATTCGCGTATTAAATTCCTAACACTCAGTACCTCCAAATGTGACTGTATTTGGCGATAGGGCCTTTAAGGAGGTAATTAAGGTAAAATGAGGTCATTAGGTAAAATTAGATAGGGATTTAAAGAGGTAATTAAGGCAAAATGAGGTCATATTGGACCCTAATCCAGCATGACTGGTGTTCTTATAAAGAGATTAGGACACAGGCAACACAGAGACTGAGGGGTGACCCTGTGAGGATAGAGCAAGAAGGCAGCAAGCAAAGGAGAGAGGCTTTAGAAGAAACCAAACCTGCCAATGCCTTGATCTTGGCCTTCTAGTCTCCAGAGCTGTGAGAAAATCAACTTCTGTTGCTTAAGTCACCCAGTCTGTGGTGTTTTGTTATGGCAGCCCTAGCAAACAAATACAGAACCTAAGGAGCTCTACCAAATCCATGTAAAATGAGGAAGCTTCATTAAGATTCTTTGCTTCCCTGCTCATATAGAATCCATTGGATTCTAACAGTGACAGTTCTATTTTGTGAATGAGGCTGATTACTGCTTCACAGGCAAAGTGTATCTCTACGGCTGTCAACTCAGCATTTCACAGTTCTCATGTTTATTGGCCATCTTGATAACTTGGAGTCTCCATCTCCCTTACTTCTTTCTCATTTCTTTTCCACGGATATACAAGCTAGCACTTTGGCAGTTAAACTGCTTTGAGTACATAAAGGTATTAATTCAGCAGCTGAGCCCCCTTTCATTATTTTATCCATATATTTTTGCAAGCTTAATGGTTTTTACCATTTACCATGCTCAAGGCTGTAAACCATTTCTCCAGGAATCTGACTTTCAAAGGTGCAGGCTTTAAATGAGTTTTGCCCTTGTAAAAGGTCCCATAAAAAACATCTTTAGGTGCTCTTAACCACCGAGTTGATATGTCGGCCAGGACTCTGCAGCCTGTGGGAGAGGGTGGGGCCACCTCTCTTTAAAGAGCCAAAGAGGTTAGTTCCATTGTCCTACCAGGCTCCCTGGCATTCAGATTTATTTCAGCCCCAGAGGGCAGCCGTGAAGCTTGGCCTCACCCTGGCTGCCAACTGTGGCAGAGGCTTCAGGAGGATGACTTGAAAACTGTCTGCCCTGGCTCTTTGAAGTCTTTGGATGTGAACATACTCCTTGTTTCTAGGTTTGGGCGAGCCAGGAATGCCGACAAGTTGGTCATTGGAGTTGCTGAAGAGGCAAAGGTAGAAGGTGAATTTTCATGCTGCTTCATTAAAAAAAAAAGAAATCTAGCCAGGAGACACTCAATAGCCAAACCTAGCTGTGAGTAGGCATCATCTGACAGCAGGGGCTTCCGACTAAGAGGCCCACCTGGCCACTGCAACAGGCTCCCGTGCAGTGTGAGATGCTAGCTTCTGCCTGGAGGACAGACACCTTGTCGTCCTTGTTCTAATGCACACCCATTCTTAGGGAGGAGAGGGATAGGTGTCTGCTTTGTTCATTGACATCATTCAACACATCCCTACTGAGTGCCCGTGTTGTGCCAGGTATGACATAAGGTGTGGCAGAACAGCAATTAACAGAGAAACCTGGTCCCTGACCCTGGGGCTTGATGGTGTAGTTGTAAAGGAAGCAAAGATTGTGTTTCCCTCCCCCAAAACTCAAACTCTATAGCTCCCTCTTCTTTGTCCTTTCCTCCATTCATTTACCCCCTCCACATTCTTACCTCCCAGAGGTTTGCATCCTAGAAAGAAGGCTGCAGGAAGAGAGTGACATTTATCCTAGGGCATGAATCCTTAATGGTGGAATTTTATCATCTGACTAGAGGATATTTTATAATAAATGAGCATCTTGTGGCCTCTCCAAGGCAAGGATTCTGAATCCTTTACTTGCGGTGAAATCTATACAATGCATTACTGTACCCTGGAGGCCACAGGGAGGCCACATGAAGGCTGTCCCAGGGCACAGAGAACTGCAGAGTTAGAGAGGGACCTCCAGGCTTGCAAATCAGGAGTGCGTTTTATCATCAGCAAATCAACAGCTGAGTGGCACTGAATTTCTCTGCCGAGGCTCTTAAGCACCTAGTTTAGTTTCTGCTTCCTGCAAAGAGATTTATGTCCCTGTGTAGCAGAGGAATAAGAGGCCTGCTGGCAACGAGCCCCGGAGAGGGAGTGGGATATGCAGAGGATACACTGATAAATGTAATTGCTGGAAGCTGTTGGTCCCAGGGCTGCCAGCCCTAAGATTTAACCCCTAACTCTCCAGGTAGTATATGGTACAACCCACTCTTGATGAGAGACAAGTGTTCACCTGAGATGCAAACTTGAGAATTTTGCTGCTGTCACTACCCAGTTTAAGGCCTTTTTTTCACTGCAGGACAAACTATTTCACTTGCCAAGGCTTGAGTGATGTAAGCTTCATTATTAACTACTGTTCAGCAGTGTCGACAGTATTTCTTTGAAATTTCTTTTGTCAGCTTTAACAAAACCTCATCAGATCTTACTGAAAGGATTGGCATCTGGAGCTTTATTTGGTAATCCAACATTGCATCAACTCAGAAGACAAAGGAGCTTGAGCTTGTCTTGGAAACTCAAGGCAAAGTTATACTTGGGCATTTCAAAAGGCAGAAAGAAATGGTAAGGAATACAGTGCCAAGATTGAGTAAGAATAGGCATGGCCCTTTGTTGAGCCTGACCTCAGCCAGATGCATGATGCTGGGAACTTAACTCATTTGTTGAATGAATAAGTGATGGCCCAATAAAGGAAATCGGTTGCTGCTAAAATGATGAAAAGGTCAGAAGTATAAGATCTAGTTACCGGCCAGGCACGGTGGCTCAGCCTGTAATCCCAACACTTTGGGAGGCTGAGGCGGGCAGATCACGAGGTCAGGAGTTCGAGACTATCCTGGCCAATATGGTGAAACCCCGTCTCTACTAAAAATACAAAAATTACCCAGGTGTGGTGGCACGTGCCTGTAGTCCCAGCTACTCTGGAGGCTGAGGCAGAAGAATCGCTTGAACCTGGGAGGTAGAGGTTGCAGTGAGCCGAGATCAGGCCACAGCACTCTGGCCTGGGCAACAGAGTGAGACTCCATCTCAAAACACCACCAACAACAAAAGATCTAGTTACTTCACCCTTGTTCTATACAATGTTTTCTTGTTTCTTATTGTGTAATCCCTATAAGAGTTTGCTTCCCCAAACTTAACTTGAAATTAATTTCAACCATCCTTGGTAATCATCTTTTAGGGGCAGAGGATAAGGGATGATGGTTATAGCCAGAAAGGAGATTTAAAAGAAATGACTTGAGAATCTAGTGATGATTAGACGTAATGCAAGCCCTGAATTCAACTGGGAATAAAAACACTTACCTGACAGGTTATTGTGAGGATTTAATGAGAATGTTTATAAAGCATCTAGTGGAATGCTAGGACCTAGGAGGTGACCCACAAATGTTAACAGCATCTTCTCCACCCTCCCAACACTAGCTGGTTTTTGGCTAAATCAGATGGCTGGATTCTTTTCCTTCCTTCCATTTCTAGGATTTCCTTCCCCTTTAAATGGAGAAGGTGTTCCTGAAGTAAGGGATAATTACTTACTATCATTCTGTAAAGAGATCTAATCTTTGCCAGAGCAAAGAATTTCCTAATCACTTGGGTAAACTTCTGTAGAATCGGTCCTAGAAACCAGCTACTGAGCACTGCCGCTTTCAAGAGATCTGTGCTGTTGCTTAGAAATGCTTATTGTTTGTCCAGGAAAGAAGCTTGGCTGTGTTCAAGGGCGGCTGGCTACTGTCAGTCTCACCTCCCTTAACACTTTTGTTAAATTCAAAATGAGAGATATATGAGAGGGATATACAGGTCCCTTGTCAACTTTTTCTATTGTCTTGTGAATCTCTTGGTTTCATATCATATTCTCCTTAAAATTTTCCCTTTACTGACTGTAAGAAATAAAGTCCAAACATTCAAAGCTTTCACAATTCGGATATTACTTTTTTACTTTTCTTTTTCTTTTTCTTTCTTTCTGGGTTTTTGTTTTTTTGTTTTTGATGGAGTCTTGCTCCGTCACCCTGGCTGAAGTGCAATGGCATGATTTTGGTTCACTGCAACCTCTGCCTCCGGGGTTCAAGCAATTCTCCTGCCTTAGCCTCCCAAGTAGCTGGGACTACTGGTGTGCACCACCACACTCAGCTAATTTTTGTATTTTTAGTATAGACAGGGTTTCACGATGTTGGACTGGCTGGTCTTGAACTCCTGACCTCAGGTGATCCATCCACCTTGGCCTCCCAAAGTGCTGGGATTACAGGCATGATCCGCCATGCCCAGCCTGGACATTACTTTTCTTAAAAGTCTCATCTCCATCCCACCTTGGAACATGCTTAAGCCTTCACATTTTTCTATACAATCTTTCCCGTCTCTCCACCAAACTCCTATTCATCCTTGAAGAATCTCTTCTGTAAGGCTTTATGGTACCACTGAGCAAAGTTCTCATAGCACTTCCATAGTTCTTTCAATCTCACAGTACATTTGTGTTTTAATTATATTTGTATGTCGTTGTTCTCATTAGACAGCAAACTCCTAGAAACAATTACCTGGCGTTAAAAGTCTTAGTGACAAGATTAAGGACTATGGAATGACTTACAGTGAAAAAGAACAAAAGATACTTTACATTCATTTAATATCTGTAGTAGATGCTTTCTAGGATATAATTGATATAATATTATTTAATCTATTCAACAATCATGTAGGGATTAACACATTTACAGATTAGTCAATGGGCTTAAAGATAGAGTGATTTATTTAGACTAATTAAGGAAGAGCCTAGAATTGAATCCTATCTGACGCTCCAAAGCTCAGGCTCTTGCATTACACCAGGCTGGCTCAGGAAAGGGCAATTATATAATCAAAGGTACAGGCTGGCATTAGTAAATAGCGTGGATTGAGGAGAAAAAGCAGCTAGGAGACCGGAGCAGTAATTCAATAGTAAGGCAATGAGGGCCTAAATAAGATTAATAAATAGAGAACAATCAATGAAAGTGATAAATATTGATAAGCAGGAGCCAAATGGAAAGGTCCTGAAAACGAAAAGCAGATTCGTAGAGCTCATCAGTGTAGCACAGCATCTTACTTGCTTCTGACTGTGGCTGAACCAGAGTTGAGGTGGGTGGCTCTGAGGCCTGTGCAGTAGGGGCAGGCAGAGCACAGTCCTGAGGCTGGACTCCCAGAGGAAGGTGCTCTGGGCCCTGGGGCTGGGATTGCTGCTCAGCAGCTTGTTGAGCAGAAAACAAAGACTCAGATCCTGCAGAAAATATCAGAAAGCAGTTAAAGCCTGTCTTAGTCTATTTTGTGCTGCTATAACAAAATACCACAGACTAGGTAATTTATGTTGAACAGAAAAGTATTGTCTCACCATTCTGGAGGCTGGGAAGTCCAAGACCAAAGGACTGGCATCTGGTAAGGGCCTTCTTGCTGTGTCATCTGTGGCAAAAGGGGAAATGGCAAAAGAAGGAGCCTACTCTCAAAAGCCCTTTTATTAAGGCATTAAGCCCACTCATGAGTGTGGAGCTCTTAGTGCTTAACCACCTCTTAAAAACCCCATCTCCCAATACCATTCCATCGGCAATTTAACTTCAGCATAAGTTTTGGATGGGACAAACGCTCAAACCATAGAAATGCCTATTCAAGATTTCATACAATATGTGGTCATGTTATTTCCCCCAACAACTCTAAACCTAAAGGTAACCTGCAAAAGCAATAGATTGGACCCCAATCTACTAGTTTCTTTCCCAGCCAGAATTTGTTAAGTTCAAGGGGATATTGACAACTGTACAGAAACTGCAGCACATCAGCCCTCCAAAAACACTAACAGACGAGAGAGTTGTTTGTGAGCTCTGTTCAGCTGAGTATCATAGTATGTATGGAAAGGTTTTTGACCTTGAACTACCACTAAAACTGTTCCAAAATCTGTTTATATGGAGTCATTCTGCATGTACAAATTTTTACCACAGCCATTTTGGCCAAATATCCTATTTGCCAGTCTATCATATTTGGCAAGATATGGCCTGATGCTAAACATGGAATTGATCTCTTGGTTAGTAGGCTTCAAGTCTTGGGTCTTTACAGGAATTCTACTCTTTTCTGTTCTGCCCATTTTTTATAAGCCTCTTCTTTCTGTAAGGTCAAAGTAGTTTATGGATAAGAACCAGATTATTGGGGAGAGGAGGTAGGTTGAATTGAGGAACATTTCTTTTTGTCAGTACCTCCAGCCTATTCGTATTGTTGGCCAGCTCACTGGTACAATTAATCTTTTTGATTTTATAACGATGGAAGTTGTGTTTAACTGGAGATGAGAGCAATTAATTTTCTTCTTATAAGGTTGTGCTTTCTTTTTAGGAAGTACAGTTTTTTCATAAGTACTTCAATTAAAAAAGGGAGAGAATTGAACTTTTGGCAGCAAACTCAAACATTATAAGTGAAATTAAGATGCCCAAGTCTGTGCTCAATAGCATTGTATGGGTTTGTGATATGCCTTCAAGCTCTTCATGAATTCAGTTATTTTGAATTCAGTTGTATTTCAGCGACCAAGACAAAAGCATTTTTGTGAGGTGCTTTTTGTTTATATCCCAGGATTTTATTTAGAAAGAAAACTGCACAAATTTCACTGGTATCCAGACATGGTCAACTTTATTGAAAAACAAAACACAAAAACCCTACTTTGCTAGTGGAAAATGTAAGTTTTTTGATATTTCAATCACTAACGTTCTTCTGTTACATATCATTTTCTTTACTTTCTATATAATGGACCTAGATTTAGTGTATCTGTCACTTTGGTTTGAAACGTGTGCCTGAGTTTGCTTGGAGAACATGTTGGGGACTTATCCTCATGTGGAAGCCATCACCCCACATTTCACTGAGCCTCTGGAAGGGAAACAATTTTGCAGAATGTAATTCTAGAAGCTGGGTCACCTGTGAAATCACACTGGCATTTGATATCCTTAAGAAAACAAAAAGGAGCCTACAGGGACAAAATATCATATGTGCAATGTAGGACTCCAGACCTTTCCCTTCCCTTTTATTATGTAACGTTTTAAAAGCCACATGTTCATTCAGCTGTTTCTCATCAGTTTTGTTTTGTTCCCATATAAACACATACACACAAAATAAAAACAATTTTAATAAAGATAAATTGTTTTTTCTCTTAAAGTTTCTTTGATAGTGGAATTCATGTAAAACTCTGAATTATGAAAAAGTTAAAAAAAAATCCAAAATAGAATTTTTTAAAAAATGCAGTTCTGATTGTGTCTTTCGTCTTGTCTCCCCTTTTCAAATATGTTCCTTCATTCTTTTAACCCTCTGTAAAGCCACATAGGAAAGGCACAGTTTTGAAATAATATTAGCAATTAAGGTTTCTGGTTTATTTTTAACAAGGATAAATAATGCGTCAGAAAACTTTTGCAGATTATATCAAAACAGAGGAATGCTTGTTGTTCAGAACATGTCTGGACACATCCCTAGTCTTGTGTCATCTATTTGAAAGCTGCCTGGGCGTAGTCCAATGTGTTTACCTGATACATATTGACTTACAGTTATTTTAGCCGTCTTTGTGGATAACCCAGGTAAGTGCAAGAGATGTAGCATTTCCAGTAGTTACAGCTTTGAAAAGTGACATAGCACACTGGAAAACATTTGCTTGCACTATTTGCACTGAATTTTACTTAAACGAAGCATGGTCACTTGGATGTCCATAGAACTTTATAGCTTTGTGGTTTTCATACACATTCTCTCACTTAATCTTCACAAAGTGCATCCCTTTACCTTGAGTCTAAGGCCCAAGGAATTCTGACTACACATATAACTAAAATGAGTATCGTACAACATTCCCTATGGCACTCCCATAGATAGGATATTAGCTCAGCCAGCTCCAATTAACTTTGTTCTTCTCTGAGTTAATGCATTTCGCAGTTTGCCTCTGGTTTACAGGAGGTAGTGGGCCATAAAAGTAGATGAAGAAGGTTCTATATAAAATGGGATCAAGGTTGGGTGTGGTGGCTTACACCTGCAGTACCAGCACTTTGGGAGGCTGAGGCAGGAGGATTGCTTGAGCCCAGGAGTCGGAGACCAGCCTGGGCAACATAGTGAGACCATGTCTCTATAAAAAACACATTTAAAAATTAGCTGGATGTGGTGGCGTGCACCTATAGTCCCAGCTCTTTGAGAGGCTGAGGCAAGAGGATCACTTGAGCCTGGGCGTTCAAGGCTGCAATGTGCTATGATCGTGTCTCTGCACTCCAGCCTGGGTGACAGAGTGAGACCCTGTCTCAAATAAACAAATAAAATAAAAATAAAATGGGATCAAGCTTCGCAGTGTGTAGAATCTCAGAGTAAGAGACCTTGGATAACCTGTGGTCCAAGAACAACTCATGGACAACATTCCTGATTTCTTCCCTTTTCTAAAGGGATATTACACCTCATCAGTTAGCTTATTCAGTAAGCTCATCACTTGCACCAATATATTCTGGTCCAAGCCACTGTGATCTCTCACCTGGCTGATTGCAGCAGATTCTGAATCGTAAGCAGTCTTCCTGCTGTCACTGTTGTCCTGCCCCAACGCCCGTGCTTTATTCTCCACAGGGCAGAAAGTGATCTTTTAAAATGTAATCAGGCCAAGTTACTCGTGGGCTTAAAATCCTCTAAGGTATCTCATCACAGTTAAAATCTAACTCCAGGCCAAATGCAGTGGCTCACGCCTATAATCCCAACACTTTGGGAGGCAGAGGCATGTGGATCACTTGAGCGCAGGAGTTCGAGACCAGCCTGGGCAACATGGCAAGACCCCCGTCTCTACAAAACATACAAAAATTAGCCAGGGGTGGTGGCGCGTGCCTGTGGTAGCCCCAGCTGCTTGGAAGGCTGAGGTGGGAGATCACTTGAGCCCAAGAGGTTAAGGCTGCAGTGAGCGAAGATCATGCCGCTGCACTCCAGCCCGAGCAACAAAACGAGACCCTGTCTCAAAAAATAAATAAATAAAATAAAATTTAACTGCAAAAGCCTTACCATGGCCTCTGAGGCCTAGGGTCCTGGCTCTTGAGAGGAATCTTGAGATCGTTCCTGTTTCACAACCCATGCTGTCTTTTCCTTCTGCCTGAAAGGCTGTTTCCGTTCATGTTTGTGTGGTGCATTCCCTCATTCATTTAGGTTGGTGCCCAGATATCATCTCCTTACACCATCCTAACTAAAATAAATACCCCCCAACCCTTAAGTCACTGATAAACCCTTAACCTGCTTCATTTTTCTTCACAGTTCTTATTGTTCCTTGATACCATATAATACGTTTATTTGTGCAGATGTTTATTGTCAGCCTCCTGCACTAGACTGTAAGCCCCATGATGGAGGGGACTTTTCTCCTTCATTCTCCACTATTTCCCAGTGTTGTTGCATAGTAGGGTATTCTGTGAATATACATTAATGAGAGGAATAAATTAATTATTAGAAAAACTCTCTTTCCATTTGAAGGCTGTTTATGTGGGATGAGAGATGAATGTAAGACTTCATCCCTGGGTTATTGAAAGAATGATGCAAATGGGACATCAGGAGCCACAGGTGTGAAGGGTTGGGAGGGACATGATATTGTCCAGTAGACTCCCTTAGCCTAGAGAAAGGGTTTGATGAAGACCTCTAGGTCATATAGCAAGCATATCAGGGACTGGAGTCCATGTCTTCTGAGTTCCCTGGCTGGTGTTCTTTCCATGACATCATAGCATCTCTAAGAGTCAGGAGGAGGAGATGAAGTCAGGATACAGAAAAGTAGTTAATGGAAGATGATAAATTCAGCTTGGGACATGCTGAGCTTGAGATGTCACTGGGACATGCAGATACAGATATCATGTGCTGTTAGAATGAAAAACTGAAGCCCAGAAATGAGCACAGATACATGCACTGATTTTGTAATTGAAACTATGGAAAAAGATTTTCAAGGGCAAACAGGAAAAAGTAAGAAAAAGAAGAGTAGGGAAAAGAATGCAAAGGCTCTAACCTTTGCATATGAAAGATGTTTGCAGAGAAAAAAGGATTCCCATGGTCTCACAAAGCCAAGGGAAAAAAGGTCCGTCGAGGAAAAGTCAAGTAAGACAAGGACTAGCAGGTAGAAAGCAGTTTCAGCAGTGTGGAGTTAAAGGTCAAATTGCCGGGGATTAAGATAATGAAGATGAGGGGGCTTAGTGGTTAAGAGCTCTGGAGTTGAACTGCCTGGATTTGGACCCAGACTTCAGCATTTACTGTCTGTCCTTGGGCAAGATTTTAAATCTATCTATGCTTTATTGCCTCATATACTAAATAGGAATAAAACTAATACCCATCACAGAAAGGTGTTGTGAGAAATAAATGAGATAACCTATTTTAATTGCTTAGCCCAGTGTCTAACACATAATAACTACTCAATAAATTTAGGTATTATTTCTCTTGACAGAAGTGTGGGATCTAAGGGCCAGGCTCACACCTTCACAGCACCTTCGGAGGTCAAAATGGGAGGTTCACTTGAGCCCAGTAGTTTGACACCAGCCTGGGCAACATGGCGAGACCCTGTCTCTACAAAAAAATAAAAAAATTAGCTGGGCATGGTGGTACATGCTTGTGGTTTCAGCTATTCAGAAGGCTGAGACAGGGGGATCGCTTGAGCCCAGGAGGTTAAGACTGCAGTAAGTTGCACTACTGCACTGCAGTCTGGGCAACAGAAAGAGACCCTGTCTTAAATAAACAAATAGATAGACAAATAGATAAATAAATAAATGTGGGGTCTAGGGGGAATAGAAAGGTAAGACATAAATTTGAAAGATTAACAGGAAGAAGACTTCTCTTGAGTGATAAAAGTCCTGTAAAAGAAAGAAAAAGGGACCCCAAATTCAGGCAAAGTGGTTAGTTTTAAGGAAAAGAAATTAGACGGTAAGAGAGGAACATAAAACAGATTATGGGGATGAGAGGAGCTCTGGAAAGTTTGATAAAGAGACATGTATTCTAAAGTCGCCTTGTTAGATCAGTTCATAGCCCAGCTTATTAAGAGCTTTTGAGTCCCTCTTTCTGACATGCCACATGTTGGCTGATAATTACAACAATCTGAGGTGATATGGTTTGATAAGCACTGCACAGGGCTAAGGATAGATCAGGATTCAAGGATTAGTTAGGGTGTCCAAGAGGAACAGAACCAGCAGAATCAATAGGAGATTGTATATATAAATAATCTATAATATAAATTTTCTCCTAAAATTATATATATATACTTTTAATGTGTATATAACTTTAATATATATTAAAATCTATATGATTATATATATTAAATATATGTAGAGAGATTTATTATGGGAATTGTCTTATGTGATTATGGAGGCCAAAAAGTCTCATGATCCACTATCTGCAAACTGGAAAACCAAGAAAGCTGGTGGTATAATTCAGTCCAAGTCCGAAGGTCTGAGAATCAGGAACCCATGATGCAAGTTCTGTTCTGAGTGTGAAGGCCCAGAAACTAGAAGTACCAGTGTCCAAATGCAGCAGAAGAGGATGTGCCAGCCTAAATAGAGATGGAACTCACTCGTCCTTTGCCTTTTTGTTCTCTTCAGGCCCTCACCAAACTGGACGATGGCCATTCATATTGGTGAGGATGATTTTCTGTACTCAGTCTACCAATTTGAATATGAATCTCTTCTGGAAACACCCTCACAGACACCCAGAAATAATTTTTTACCAGCTTTGTGGCATCCCTTAGTCCTGTCTGTTTAATACATGAAATCGGCCATCACAAATCCTTCCAGTAACCATAGGAAAGCCCCTGTAAGTTGCCACGGATCTATCATTTGACACAGTCTGGAATCCCAGGGTTGGAGGGTGTCTGAAAGGCCATGTGGCCCAATGTCACCCAAATTCCCTGGACAGCATCTCCAGCAGCCAGTTTTGTATCAGCTGTATTTGGACAGTGTCCCCACTGGTGGCTCTCGGCATCTTGCAAGCAGACCTTTCTCAGGTCAGATTCTTCAGCACAGAAAGTTCTATCATTGATTTGCCATAGGGCCTGAAATTGCCATTTTCAATCATTCCTCAGGCTTAAGCGATCAAAATATCCCTTTAAACCACAAATACGTTACCTGGCAATAGAGTAAGGACTGTAAGAGAGTCCTTTGGCAGTCACATGGGATGATCCCAAGGATAGGTAAATTCTAATTAGTGGTGGGAGTAGGGGCTAGGACACAGGGGATGCTGAAGACAATAAGACACGGCTGAAAGGGTCAATCCTGGGGAGTTGCAACATGGATACACAGGATATTCAGAGGAAGATTAATGTTGAAGTCAAATTCATCCTTCTTCACATCTTTGGCCTCTTCTGGCCCTAGATGAGTATTGAGGTGAACTAGTGTCTAAAGAAGAGCCCTGGTCTGATTCATTACCACCACGTACAAGAGGACATTTCAATGACTGGCAATGAGATAGTCCATTTAATTCATTACATAGTATTCAGCCTGGGGTTCATGAATCTGGTCTAAGTGAGGATAGCTGAAGGCATTCTCAGTTTACGCATGGATAAGATTTCCAACCCAAGCCACATAACCCTACCACAATCCAGATGGAGTCCAGCCCATTCACTCCATCTGCAGCACTCTCTGAGCTCAACTGGTTTGCTTATCTTTGTGTTTCTTTAGTACTTTGTGTTTCCTTATCTGTAAAATACTTTACCTATTAGAAGGCAGAGAGCTGGATTAGAGGATCTCTGGTGGGTTTTTCTGCTTCTAAATTGTATGATATCAGCTATGGGACCTCCAAGACTTGAGAGGTCAATGACAGGAGGCGGGTCTAAAGGAGCTTCAAAATTTCAACCTAGGACAGACTTAGGGTTGGAGGAGAAGGGAGGGGACTGGGCATGGAACTGCACCTTCCTGGTAAGCAGCTGTTTTTATTGAGATTGCATAAGCATTGGGGGCCACTGGGGAAGTTGACAAGATTTGGGGAGATCTAAAGCTCTCCACAAGCAACTCCTTGAGCCATTCTGAAAATAGTTCCTGGTGGGTGATGTGGTTAATTCCTTCAGCTCTGCATTGCCGGCAATCTCCGTCCTCCTTTCTGTATTAGGAAACTAAAAGGCTCAGCAGTGGTGATTTGAACATTGCAACAGCCATTAGAAAATATATTTTTTTTGGCTGGGCATGGTGACTCATGCTTGTAATCCCAGCACTTTGGGAGGCTGAGGCATGCAGATCACTTGAGTCCAGGAGTTCAAGACTAGCCTGGGCAACATGGTGAAACCCTGTCTCTACTAAAAATACAAAAATTAGCCAGGCATAGTGGTATGCACCTGCAATCCCAGCTACTTGAGAGGATGAGGCAGAAGAATGGCTTGAACTCAGGAGGTGGAGGTTGCAGTGAGCTGAGATCGGGTCATAGCACTCCAGGCTGGGCAAAAGAGTGAAATCCAGTCACCCCCACACCCCCCCCAAAAAAAGTATACCTGTTTTCATTGGGATATTTTGGTCATCACTATATGCAGTCATATTCTCTTCTGCCTGAGTGTATAATGTTGGTTAAAATTTGGCCAAAAAAAACGTAACTTTGGGAGGCTGAGGTTGTAGGATTGCTTGAGGCCCAGAGTTTGATACCAGCCTGATCAACATAACAAGAACCTGCCTTTAAACACAAAAAACATAAAAGGGAGACTAGACAATTTTGTTGTTTTTTTTTAACAAATCCTTTTCCTAATTCAAAGATGAAATTATTACTATTAATGGAAAATAAATTGGTTTATTTTGTCCATAAACACTGTGCCATTTATGATAACACTAGCATTAACACTAAACACTGTGTATCCATTAATAGCAGTTTTCATGTTCATAGTGCTTTACCAACAACTAATTAAACGAAACTATTTTAATTTGTTGCCATGGCAGTAAATAGAGATACACAGAAATGGTTGTATCCATCAAATTCATTCTTAATTCCTGAAACATAATTCAGTTTGGGCAATAAATCATTATTATGTAGTGCTATAATATGTTTAAGATGATAATTACTATGTTCATAATGAAAAGATTTGCAAGTATACATAGACACATGCAATATCAAATATTTATGGATGACAATTTTTATATTTGTTACTCAGAAAAGATTTTCCTTTACTGAATCTGATAGTCAAAAATGAACATTTCATCTGCAATCATTACTCTGTTCATATCTTATCTATTATGTTTGCTCCTGAGCATCCATCTCTAGAAGAGTGGCATTAGAATGAAAGAGGCCTCAAAAAAATTTGCCTCTGAATTAACAGAGGGATCTGTTCGTGGTTAGTCTGTGAGGAGAGGGGATGCAGAGGGAGGGCAGGGAGAAGAGACAGTCACTATCTTCACGTATCTGGAGGGCTTTGAAGTGGAAGAACGGGAGTTTTGCTTTGTCCTCTGGGATCCAGACCAGAGTGAACGTGTGGAAGCTACAGGGAGGCAAGTGTGATTCAGCGTGATGTGAAGGCCTCGTCTGGAGTCAAAAAGACTGGGCCCAAATCCAGACTCTGTCCCTTCTGCAAGTCTGGCTACCTAACCACTCTAAGCCACAAGCCTGTTGCAGGGGGTCATCTGGGAACTTCCAAAATAACACACCCAGTAAAGCACTGAGGCCTTCACCTGGTACCTAGCGAGTGATGCATGACTGTCAGCTCTTTATGGGATAGTATTTGTCTTTAAAAGGATGTTAAATGTAGAATTACTGCTTTGCAAGGCAGTGACTCACTTCTCTGGCACGGGAAGTAATGAAGCAGAAACTGGATGACCACCTGTTAAAAATATTGTCTAAGGGTTTCCTGCTTTGAGGGTGAGGTTGAAATCAATGATTTCCAGGTCCATATGATTCCATGAATTTTGCAGAAGGAAGGGAGAAAGGACGTCTAGTTTAATCCTTTAACCTTTTCTATATTGTATTCTTGCTATAATGTGATACCTGGGGGATCTAGGCTGTAACACAATGTTATTGATGAAATGGTATTATAGAGAGCAAACTTTTCTCTTGTAGACTTTTATCCTGAACTAGCCTTAACTCTGGGAAAAAGAGCCACTAATTCTGACGCCCCAGTCTCTGCCAGGTTTTCCTCTGAGATCCATTAGATCCTTTACAAATAGAGATTTTTTTCTCAACTAGCTTTCCTAAGTCTGTGGCCCATTGTGTTTTCACATTACAAACTATTTCCTTTCATATTCAGAATGTTTTCTGTATATAATCACGTTTCCCTAGATATTTATTTATCTTTACCTTGTTGCTTAACCCCTCTATCAGTGAGAGGGCAATGAACCAATCTAGATTTAAATAACATGACCTTCCTTCTCATGTATCTTTCTTTTTCTTTAACAACATTGTATGATGACCAGCTTCTGCCCAGTTGCTGAACGTTTGTACAGAAACCACTAAAATCCATACAGTTATAGAGTTGTTTGTGGGGCTGTGGTGTCAATTCCATCCCAACCACTTATGAGACTTCAATTCCTGGGAGTGCTGCTATCACTAAGATAATTGGGTATGAATGGCAAGGAACCCACTAAAAACCTTCAAGCAAAGCTGAGAGAGAGCCAAGGGAAAAGGGAATGAGAAAATGAGTACTAGGGAGGTGAAAGGGCTAAACATAAATGGTACAAGGAAAGAAAAAAAAACAGATTTTAAAAAAAGAAAAAAAAAAGAGCTCAAAGCAGAGAAGGAAGGAAGAGACGTTTTAAATTGTCCTGATTTTCACATTACATCTACATAGTTCTTGGAAATGGAAGAGAAACACTATTCTTAGAGAGAATCAAAAGTAAACTTCGAAAAATAAAATAGGTAGTAAAAGACAAAAGAAAAATACCAGTTTGCTGTTAGCTGTTCTATAATCAATCATTTACTAGAGGAACTATAACAGTAGAGGCGGAATAAACTAGTATGTCCGGTATGTGCACTTTCCATGTGAAAAAAATTAAAGTAGAAAATCTCACATAAAAAAAATGTTGGTTGTGTATCTTTCTCTATCTATGAAATAACTTTTTAAAAATCACATAACATCTTTTTTTCTGAACCAAATGGATTCAGAATAGGCTCCTGGGTTTGTCTCTCTGTGTGTGGTTTTGTTCCGTTTGTTTGTTTGTTTGTTTGTTTGTTTTGAGATAGGGTCTTGCTATGTTCAGTCTTGCCCAGGCTGGTCTTGAAGTCCTGAGCTCAAGGGATCTTCCCACCTCCGCTTCCCAAGTAGGGATTATAGGCAGGTACCACCATGCCTAGTTAGTTTTTTGTTTTGTTTTTTACTGGTGACATTTATGTGGCATTTTCCTCAAATAAAACTTTTTTGACCATTAAACTAGCCTTCTTAATACTTTCAGAAGTTATTTAACAATAATATGAGCATATTCAACTTATATTCACAAAAAGTGAGATGTAATTTCTACACTCTAACATTAATGTTTAATGTTCATCAGCTATAAGTTACTAATATTTTCTTTGGAAATATTTTCCTACCTGAAAAACTTTAATAGCAGATGAATGTAGCTTACATTACAACATAAATCAACTTGGATTCCTTTCTTTTTTTTTTTTTTTTTTGAGACAGAGTCTTGCTCTGTCACTCAGGCTGGAGTACAGTGGCATGATCTCAGTTCATTGCAGCCTTGGCCTCCCGAGCTCAAGCAATACTCCCACATCAGCCTTCTGAGTAGCTGGGACTACAGGCATGTGCCACTGTGCCTGGCTAATTTTATTTATTTTCTGTAGAGATGGGGTCTCACTACCAGTTCAAGACCCAGGCTGACCTTGAACTACTGAGCACAAGCAATCCTCCCACCTTGGCCTCCCAAAGTGCTGGGATTACAGGAGTGAGCCACCACACCCAGCTGCTTTCAATTTTAATTTGTTTCTAAATATTTTATTTAACATATGAACACGAGTGATAGGCAGATAAACCACATCTCACTTACCATGTGTGTGTGTTTGTTGGGGGGTAGTGCAAGTGGATGAACTGTTGAACTTTTAAAAATAAAAATTCCTCAACAAACTTTATGTCTTTTATATAAAATAAAAGGAAATTATTTTTAACTGTTTGACAAATGAAGACAGTGTTTAGAGTAAAATGACCAGGTAGGGTCCATTGGTTTCAGATTAGCATCCTGTGTTGGTCCCCTCGCTCCAGGTGTTCAGAGGCCTGAGCATCCCATTCCCAAGTCATGTTCAGTGTGCAGAAAGGATTTCCCTAAGCAGGCTATCATTTCTCCAAAATAGAAGAGATTGTGGGATGCGTCTAATTAGGAAATTTTCAAAGTAAAATATTATGATGTTTCTATCCAAACAACTGTATCAGGAAGAGTCTTTAAAAGGGTTTTCTCATCTGTAAACTGAGATTGAGTTAGATAATGTCTAATGCCTCTTTTAGTTCTGTTTTAGTTCAGTTCTATGAGACTAAGTGTTTTGCTCGTGGGTTTATTTTTCTGCCCCTATTTAGTTAACATACATAAACAAATTGATCATCAGAATGTCACCCATTTTCCTCCCAAGTAGCACCCAGCAGCACTATGATGAGTCAAATATAGTTGTTGTTAATGGATTTGCATCCTAAGTCTCCTTATTAGAGAGCCTTTTAGTCCATTTGTTGGGAGGGAAGGGAACACCCTCACCTACATATGTGTTTGATACTTTTTTCAGATTGTTCTTGACTTTGTCATATCAAAAAGCAGAGGTCAGCTCAACAGAAAATATTATAGAAGGACTTTGCATTTACCGTATAGTACTCTGTTCCCTATGTGATTTTTCTCCACAAAGTAGTATGCCAAATGTTATTAAACTGATAAATGCTTTCAAGATACTTGATCCACATTTCTTTGAACAAAATAATTCTCTTCCAGCTTTCAAACGTATAATAAATAATATGCTTATTATTGATACTTGATTGAGTGTAGTTTGTGCTAGGTATTAGTCAACGGAAGTAATCATCCCACTTTAATAGAAACCCTTAAGTTTCAGTACATGAACACAATAGAAATTTATTTCTTGCTTACTTGACAAAATATGTTGGTGAATGTCCTGGTTTTGCTGGACACTGATAATCCTACAGTAGACAGAGAGGAGAATGCAGATGCTGTCTTGCAGATTGTAGGTGCTAGGCATGAAGTGGTATATCGTGCTGCTGGTACATAGTCCATTTGCCAGAACTGGTAGCATAGCCCCACATAGATACAATCAGACTGGGAAATGTAGTCTTCCTTTGTGCCTAGGAGGAAATTGAGATGGTTTGAGAAACACACAGGACTGTTTCTGCTATGATCTTCTATAGCAAGGAGTTACGTTTAGAAATGAGTTGAAGAAGAGGGACTTGAAAGAGAAAGCAGCTTATCCAGGTATATTTTTCATAACCAAAATTAGGATCGCTCTCAAAGGCTGTGACAAAGACCATATTGAATTCCTTGGATGATCTAGAAATGGAGTGGTAGAAGGTTAGAAATTAAGTTGATACGGGGATGGACAGGATAAATGATAATTCATAGATGATAAACGGTAATTAAAAAGAGGTTTAATTGGTTCACAGTTCTGTAGACTGTACAGGAAGCTGGTGCTGGCAGCTGCTTGGCTTCTAGGGAGGCCTCAGGAAGCTTACAATCGTGGTGGAAGGTGAAGGGGGAGAGGACAAGTCACATAGTGAAAGCAAGAGCAAGAGAGAAAGTGTGGTCGGCAGAGGTGCCACACACTTTTAAGTAACCATATCTCATGAGAACTCACTATCAGAAAGACAACACCAAGCCATGGATCATTCACCCCATGATCAAAACACCTCCCACTAGGCCCCACCTTCAATGCTGGGGATTACAATTCAACACGAGATTTGGGTGGGGACAAATATCCAAACTGTATCAGCAGACTAATACAATAGTACATTATGATCAAATAGGGTTTATCTCAAGATGTAAATTTGGTTTAACATTTGAAAACTAATCGTGTAATTCACCAAAATTACAGCATAAAAAAGAAAAATCATATGAGTATCTCAAAAGATGCAGAAACAGGATTTGGCAAAATTCAATACCCATTCATGATAAATAACTTTCAGCAAATTAGGCATGGACAGGAACTTCTTCAACTCGACAAAAGGCATGTACCAAAAGCTAACATTCTCCTTAATAGGGAAAGACTAAATGCTTTTCCCCTAAGATCAGAAACTAAGCAAGGATGTCTGTTCTTATCACTACTATTCCATATTGCATTAAAATTCCTGACCAGTGCAAAAAGGCTCTTTACAGAGAATAAAACTCTTTATTCACAAAAGTCATGATCAGCTATGTAGAAAATCATTATTAAGATTTTAATTTAGAAACTAGTAGAACTAATAAGTGAGTTTAGCAAGGTCACAGAATGCAAGATCGACATACAAAAATAAAATTTATTAGTGAAAATTTTGAAATAATAATTAATGAAATAATCCCATTTACAGTAGCATCAAAAAGCATGAAAATACTTGGGTATAAACTTAAAATATGTGTGATATGGTTTAGCTGTGTCCCCACCCAAATCTCATCTTGAATTGTAGTTCCCTGTGGTAAGAGGAACCCATTGGGAGGTAATTTAGTCATGGAGATGTTCACCCTCATGCTGTTCTCTTGATACTGAGTTCTCACAAGATCTGATGGTTTTATAAGGGGCTTTTCCCACTTTTGCTCTGCCCTTCTCCTTGCTGTCATCATATGAAGAAGGACATGTTTGCTTCCCCTTCCGCCATGATTGTAAGTTTCCTGAGGCCTCCCCAGTCATGCTGAACTGTGATTCAATGAAACCTCTTTCCTTTATAAATCACCCAGTCTCGGGTATGTCTTTATTAGCAGCATGAGAATGGACAAATACAATGTGCAAGTACTATACACTGAAAACTGTAGAACATTGCTTAAATAAATCAAAGGAAATATAAATAAATGGATATAGAGTGTTCATGTTTTAGAAGACAAATTGTTGAGATTTTCAATTCCCTCCAAGCTGACCTACAGATTCAGTGCCATCCCAATTGACATCATACTGGACATTTTTAATGAAACTAATATATTGATTCTCAATTTATTTGGACATACAAAGAACCTAGAGGAGTCAAAACAATTTTTAACTGGAGAACAAATTTAGAATACTTACACTACTTGATCTCAATATTACTATAAAGCTAGTAATGAAGACTTTGCATTATTGTAAGTATAGAGACATAGATCAATGAAATGGAAGAGAGAGTTCAAAAGTAGTTCACATATATAATGGTCAATTGATTTTCAATAAGGTAAATGCAAAAGGATAATCTTTTCAAGAATGGAATTAGAACAACAGGACATCTATCTGGGAAGAGAGGAAACTCCACCCTTAACTCATAGCACATGTGAAGATTAACACATAATGGCTCATAAATGTAAAGATAAGAGCTAAAACTATAACAATTCTAGAAGCAAACATAGAAGAAAATCTTTGTGGCATGACATTAGGGAAAGATATCTCAGGACACAACATAGCACAAACCATAAACAAAAATGGCAGATTGGCTTCATTTAAATTTAAAACATTTGTTCTTCAAAGACACCCAAGAAACTAAATGGCAAGCCAAAGCCAGGGAGAAAACATTTACAAAATACATATCTGATACATAAATTGTATCCAGGATGTATAAAGAATTCTTACAAATCAGTAATAGTATAAAAAATGCATCTTAAAAAATGGGAGTTGGGCACAATGGCTCACATCCATAATCCCAGCGCTTCGGGAAGCCAAGGCAGAAAGATTGCTTGAGCCCAGTGATAGCTTGAGGCTGCAGTGAGTTACAATCACGCCACTGCACTCCAGCCTGGACAACAGAGAGAGACTCCAACTCCAAAAAAAGGTAGATTGGCTTCACAATCTACACAATCTTCACAATCTTCCAACTCCAAAAAAAAAAAAAAAGGGTGGGCCGGGGGGGGGGGGTGGTGTGAGAGGTGGCAAAAGATTGAAACAGGCACTTTATGAAAGAAGACACACAAAGTGAAAATAAGTACATGAAAGGATGGATGCTCAGTATCATTTATCATGAAGATATGCCAGAGAAACTACAATGAAATGCTCAGAAAGCTAAATGTTTTTTTAAAAGTTGACAATACCAAATGTTGGCCACAATATAGAATGCTGGAACTCTCATACATTGCAGATGGGAATGCAACACAGTGTTAATAGCATAGCCACTTTGGAAAACTGGCAGATTTTTTAAAAAGTTAAGTTAAACATGCATTAACCATATGTCCCAGTAATATCACTCCAGGGTATTTATCCAAGAACAAACATGTACACACAAAAAATTAAACATAGATGTTCATAGCATTTTATTTGCAATAGCCAAAACTGGACAGTACTCAAATGTCCATCAACTGGTGAGTGGAAAAACAAATTATGTATCCATACAATGGAACACTGTCCAATAAAGAGGAATGACTAAAGATCCATGTGAAAATATGGATGAATCTCAAAAGCATTATGCTATATGAAAGAGGGCAGAAACAAAAGAGCTCATACCATAGGAATCTATTAATACAGAATTATAAAAAAGACAAAACTACGGAGAGCTAAAACTCTGTCAGCAGTTGCTCTGATCTCAGCATCCACAGGGATGGGATTGCTGACATAGGGGCGTGGAACTTTGCAGGGAGCATGAGGAGGGGGTGAAATATCCTCATTGTAGTGGAACTTACACAGCTCTATACATTTGTCAACTCTCATTGAATTGTACACAAAATTGTTGAGGTTTACACTATAGAAATTATATTTCAATAAAGCTGATTTTGAAGGCAAAAATTTTTCTCTGGGGTTTCTGACTGTGGATTAATACAAATCAAAAAACCAAACAGCTGGGTTCCCAGAACTTACAAGTGAAGTGGCTCAAAAAGCTCCACTCTGTCAGAATTCAGCCCTAGAAATGTGTTACCTCTTGCAGGTAACTCAGCAGTTATGTCCAGAATGAGAGTCTTTTTCTTTTTCTTTTTCTTTTTTGTTTTTTTCCCTTGGAGACCTCTGATCTGACAGAATGAGAGTCTTTAATAGGAAAATTGAGAGAGAGCTGATAGATTTCCTTCCTTTCAGAAACAAATGTACAGAGATTTTCCAATGTAAGGGTTCATAATGCGTGTATTGTGCAATGAGAATTCTATTTGCAGTCCTCTTACCAACTTTGTCGACAATGTTTACAACATTTCTCTCTTTAGAGCCACTGAAATCAAAGAAATTCTTAAACAACATACTATTCTTGCCCAAAATAAGAAGAGAGAATTCTTTCACTCACTCATTCATTCAGTAAACATTTTCCTTTCTTTCTTTGTATATATATATATTTTTGGGTGGGGGGGCAGGCTCTTGCTCTGTGGCCCAGGGCTAGAGTGCAGTGATGTAATCATGGCTCACTGCAGCTTCAAACTCCTGGACTCAAGCGATCCTCACAACTCAGCCTCCCAAGTAGCTGGGACTATAGGTGTGTGCTGCCACAGCCTGGCATTTTTTTTTTTTTTTTTTTTTTTGTAGAGATGTGGTCTTGCTATGTTGCTCAGGCTAGTCTCGAACTCCTGGCCTCAAGCTGTCTTCCCACCTCAGCCTCCCAGAGTGCTGGGATTATAGGCATGAGCCACCACACCTGGTCTCCTTTAGTGAATATTTATTAATTGCCTCCTGCATGATAGGCAATATACCCAGTGCTGGAAACTAAAAGTAAATATATAAATAAAGTGTTGTCTCTGTCTTCTGGAGAGCTCTAACTTCTCTTAGGTTTTTGCATTCACAATTCAGAACACTGAGAGACAGCTTCTGCGATTAGCCCTTGTCACTGAAAACTTACAAAAAAAAACCTCTGAGAGTTATGGAGATAAAGATTGCTTTTAATAAAGCTCTTTAAATCCTAGAATGTTGTAATTTGGCAGTCAAAAAGGCCATCCTTCCTATTCAGAGAAAAGAAATGAAAGCCTAAGAATATGACGGTCCTATGGGATATGGTTTGGCTGTGTCGCCACCCAAACCTCATCTCATCTTGAATTGTAGCTTCCATAATTCCCATATTTTGTGGGAGGGACCCAGTAGGAGGCAATTGAATCATGGGGGCAGGTCTTTCCCTTGCTGTTTTCCTGATAGTGAATAAGCCTCACAATATCTGATGGTTTTATAAAGGGTAGTTCTCCTGCACAGGTGCTCTTGCCTACTACCATGTAAGATGTGACTTTGTTTCTCCTTCGTCTTCTGCCATGATTGTGAGGTCTCCCCAGCCACGTGGAACTGTGAGTCCATTAAACCTCTTTCCTTTATAAATTACCCAGTCTCAGGTATGTCTTTATTGGTAGTGTGGGAACAGACTAACACACCATGGTAAAAGAAAACAGTTTCTCTATTCACACTACACTTCTGACACTAAATGTATGGGTTTTTACCACACCAAGTAATTGTCCAATTCTCTGAAGATGCCAACTGGGAATCCTGAAATTATGACATGATCTACCTGGAATTTGCGTCATACCCGCAAGTTAAAATCCCACAAGACTTTCCCCAATTCAGATGCCAACAGTAAGTCTGGGGTTGCCACCAGTACTTCTGACCAAGTGGCCATAAATCAGAGGTTCCCATTGATACTGGGGGGTAGGAGAGGTAACCCCAAATGATGGCAGGACCTCAACCCTGGCCAGTGCCCAGGCTCTTGACACCTGGACAAGTCAAGGAATTCACCATCAAGAAATTCAAGGACACCGTCAAGAAACTCAAGGACGAGTCAGAAAATAGTGAAAGTCTGGAGCTTTGTGGCAAAGTGAAAAGACACACTCAAGAAAGGGGAGTGTGAGTGTGTGTACTCAAGAGAGTGAGTCATGCCCAACGGGGTTTGGAGTTTCTACCTTTATGGGTTTCTTTAACCAAGGGGTGGATTATTCATGAAGATTTCTAGAAAAAGATAAAGATTTCTCAGAACTGTGGTGTCACCCATGTTTACACCAAATATGGGTGTTCCATGAACTATTATGGCACTAGTGGGTGTGTGATTTAGGGTGTTAATGAGTGTGTAATGAGATCCTAGGTGAAACCTACGCCAAATCCAGCACCATGTTGAGTCTGGTTGGTCTTAGTCAACTTGGCCCTCATCCTGCTTTTCAGGGTCTTATTGGTCCCTAGTATATGCAGCTCTTTCAACAGCTCCTTTTTGCTAGTCATGAGACTGCTGCTTGGAATTTTCTGTTCTGCTATGACTATCCTGTCTCACTGTGACCCCTTTCTCAGGATTGATAATTTACTAGAATAGCTCACAGAACTGAGGCTCACAGACACTTTACTTATGTTTACTGGTTTATTATAAAAGCTACAACTCGGGAACAGCCAAATGAAAGGAATGCATAGGACAGGGGACTGGGGATGCTTCAGGGTTTTCATGCCCTCTCTGGGCACACCACTCTCCCAGCACCTCAATGAATTCATCAACTCCTAAGCTCATAAGTCTCCCAGTTCAAGACCTTCTATAGAGCTTAATCTCCAGACCCCCTCTCCCCTTCCTGGAGGTCGGTTGTGTGGCTGAAAGTTCTACCCCTCTAATCATGTCGTCTTTCTGATAACCAACTCCATCCTTGGGCAGTCTAGGGGCTCCATCCTAAGTCACCTCATTAACATAAGCTCAGGTGTCATCGTAAGTGGCTTCTTTATGAATAAAAAATGAAGGACTCAGGAAATTCCAAGGGTTTTAGAAACCAGGACAAAGACCAAATATATTTTGTTTTATCCCACACAGTTAGACAATGAGTTAGTGGGACCCCTTCTGTCTTCTGACTCTGATTCAACATTTCAGAGGCCCCTGGCATGGTCTTCATTATCTCCCTTCATCACTCCCTGCAGAGCAGCAGTGTCTCTAAGCCCTGCTGTCCTCTTGGAGACATTCCAGGGTACTTTTACAATCTAAAAACATGCAAGCATAGGTAATTTCCACAGGTTATACGTGAAATAACGTATCTTTGGGAAAAAAGATTATAAGTGAAATGCTTAGTTCAGCAAAGGAATGTTTTCTATGGAATCCCCCTTTGATAGAAATATTGCTTTTGAAAACATTTTATTATTGGAATAATTTGGAAAAAGTGATTTATTTGTGCTCCGAGGGAAATGGGGACTTTCTTCTCAAATGTTTACAGGAATTATTTTGATAATAAAGCATTTTCTGATTGGGAGGATGCAGATAATTTTTCAGGCATGAAACAGAAAAGCAGCTGCAGCTATGTACTTAGGAAAAGGTTTGGTTTTTGTTTTTAATGGTCAAGTCAGTACAGTACAGTGCATAGTGCTGTGCTAAAAAGCTTTACACTCACAGAAAATTAAATCAGGGCAATCATGTATGTGATACCTTGGGACCAAACTTTCATTTGTCGTTTATCCGGTGTATCCTATGTGCCAAAGACTGTGAAGCAGTGCTGTCAATAGAATTCTTTGTATTCATGGAAACGTTCTAGAGCTGCAATGTCTAAATACAGTAGCCATTCTCAGTGGCTCATGCCTGGAATCCTAACTCTTTAGGAGGCTGAGACTGGAGGATCACTTGAGGCCGGGAGTTCCAGACCAGCCTGGGCAACATAGTGAGAACCTTTATCTACAAAAAAATTAAAATAATATTCAGTGGGGTGCGGTAATGCATGTCTGTAGTCTCCAGCTACTCAGGAGGCTGAGGTGGGAGGATTGCTTGAGTCCACAGGAGGTCAAGGCTGCAGTGATCTATGACTGCACCACAGCCCTACAGCCTGGGTGACAGAGCAAGACCCTGTCTCTAAAGAAATAATAAATAAATAAATAAATAAATAAATAAATAAATAAATAAATAGTGGCTATATTCAGTAGCCACTAACTACCTATGGCTACTGAACACTTGAAATACGGCTAGTGAGACTGAGAAATGAATTTTAAGTTTAATTTTCTTTCAATCCATTTAAATTTGGCTGGCCACGTAGTCTACTAGCTATGGAATTAGACAGCATAGCTGTGAGAAATAGGAAATACAAAGTGCCTGAATATTCACAATGTGGTTGTAAATGATTGAGCTAGATGTGGATGGAGGATTGTTTCCAGCAATATCTATCCACAAAGGACATCTCTCCCATCTTTCAGAATTATTACCTTCAAATATAAGACTCTATGATGGAGGTGATTAACTTGATATCCTATGAGCACATATATCTACAGTGAGTAAACAAAATGCTATGACTCTTTCAAGCTAAGAAGTATGAGAAGATGGTAGAGTGGGACCCCTTCTGTCTTGGGTGCTACTGAGGTGACAGTGTAATACACAGCAAAGTACGTCCAAGTGGATTTGGGACAACATCTACCCCATGCACAGATTAAAAAAAAAAAAAGGGTCCTGAGACTTTGTTCTACAATCTTGGATCCCTTGTCAGTCAAATCAAAACTATAAAAATAAGTGCTAATGAGAGAAGAACATGAGGAGATGGTGATGACAGCTGTTGCCTGGCTCTACTCTCCACTGGAAGAGAGCTGGGTGCTACTCTCCAGCCCCAAGCCTAGTAAAAGGAGTTCAAAGAGACCTGTTGGAGAAATCCCAAATGGTTCCTGGAAAACACTGAAGATGGTGGCCTCGCTCATGCTCCAGAAAACCAATGGAGGTTGCTTCTTCCCACGAAACCTAGAGTGAGAGGGTTGACCAACCGCTTTGGGATAGGGACTAGGGAAGCCCTTGCTATGTGGATGGGATCAGCCCACACTCCCAGAGTTGCTGAGGCAAGGGGCATGTGTGAGTGTCTCTTGTGGAAGAGATGTGGGCCACATGCAATAGAGTTGGCATGGAGTCTATCTTCTTGGGGTCCACCCAGTAGGGTGGGTGAGAGAGGGCAAGGCTCAGCAGGAAGAAATGTTCCAGTGGGTACATAGGACTGAGGAACTGGAATAGAGGACCCCACTTAATATGGTTTGGATGTTTGTCCCCTCCAAATCTCATGTTGAAATGTGATTCCCAATGTCAGAGGTGTGGCCTGGTGGGAGGTGATTGAATCATGGGGACAGATCCCTCATGGATGGCTTAGCACTATCCTCCTGGTGATAAGTGAGTTCTTGCTCTGAGTTCACATGAGATCTGGTTGTTTTAAAAAGTGGGGTACCTCCCCCCAACCCTTCTCCTGCTCTCACAATGTGACATGCCTGTCCCTGCTTCACCTTCTGCAATAGTTATAAGCTTCCTGAGTCTCGCCAGAAGCTGAGCAGATGTTGGTGCTCTGCTTATACAGCTTGCAGAACCTTGATCCAATTAAACCTCTTTTCTTTATAAAGTAACTAGTCTCAGGTATTCCTTTATAGTAACACAAATAGATTAATATATCATCCACCCTCCCTTTCACAACTGCACTCTTCCAGTTGAAGCAGAGGAGAAGATTTAATGCTAAGTCAAGTTTAGACTAAGGACTGCATAGTTTAATTATTGAATTGACACTATGCTTAGAGGACCTACAAGTAAGCTGAATAACTGGGCCTGCAAAGTTTTTACATAATGCCAGGGGAAAGTTTCTCCCACTGAATAAAAGGATCACAGCAGATAGTTTTGGTCAACCAGGAATGGAACTTATTCAAAATCCTGGTTATGATACTTACATGGATTTCATTAGATTTTCTCTTTACAATTCCAAGAAGCTATGGGTTTTTTTTTTTTTTGTAACAAAAAAGCAAATAAAATATAAATCAATTTCTGTCAGCTTGGAAACCTGTATATTGACCAAATCTGTCTTTTTAGTTAATTCCAGACGTCATTATTTATGCAAAAAAAAAATTGGGAGTGAGTATTAGTAACACCGGGTTGGGCATAAAACATAGCTTGAGACAAACTGAGATTGCTAGAATTACAGGCATATAGCACTATCTCTTTCATTCTTCCTGAAAATAATAGAACAGTTTTGGTAAAAAGAGAAGTGATGATTGCAGGAGGTAGGGAGAGAGCAGAACGCAGACACTGCTGATTGAAAACTGTAGAAAGGAAAAGGTTTCATGTAAAAATAATCTGAACATATTCCATTAAAGAACATTCTTTTGTTTTCCTCCTACTTCACTGACTGCTCGTTTCAGATTCCTCTGCATGTTCTTACTCATCTCCCTAATTTCTGAGCATTGGAGTGCATTAGGCTCTCCTCTTTTCTCTTTACCATCCACTCCTTTGGTGATCTCATTCAGTTTCATGGATGTAAATATCATCTCTGTTACAGCTCCCACTCCTACCTGTCCCCTGAATTCTGGTTTTGTATATCCAGTGGCTTGCCTGGCACTCCTCTGCTGAATGTTGAAAAGTTAACTCTAACTTAACATGTCCAAAAATTACAGCCTGATCTCCCATCCTAAATCTTGTTACTTCCACAGTCTTCCCCAGTTAGTTAATGTAACTCCATTTTTCTGGTAGTTCAGTCCCAAACCCTTGAGTCATCTTTGACTCTCTTTTATAATGTACATTCATGCATCAGCAAATTCTGTGAGCTCAATCTTCAAAATATGACCAGAATCTCAACATTTCTTACCTCCTTCTTTGCCACCACCCTGGCCCAAGCCACCATCATCTCCTGCTTGAATTGTTGTAGTAGCCTCCTAATTTACCTCCTTGCTTCCAATACATAATACCGGGTGATTCTGGCAAAATCTAAGTCGATCATCCTACCCCTCTGCTCAAAATCTACCAAGGGCAGTTAAGGGTCTTTACAACAACCTATAAGGTCCCACTTACGACATCTCTGAATACCTTTCACCTGGCTCACTCAGCCCTAGGCACACTGACCCCTTGCTGTGCTCAAAACACGCCAGGCAAGACCTCAGGGCCTTTGCACTTATAGTTACATATTTGCATGGCTTTCCCCCTCACCTCCTTTAGGTGTTTACTCAAATTTCACCTCTCAGTGAAGTCTTCTCTCAATATCCTTTGCAATCATCTACTCTCCTGACGCTGTACTGCTTATGCCTTATCCCTTTCCTTGTTTTGTTTTTCTCCAAGACACTCAGCATCATATAACATCACATATATTTACTTATCTTGCTTATTTTCTGTCTTCCCAAGCTCCATGAGGGAAGGGATGCTTTGTGCTCCGCTAGAGTCAGTAAACTATACCTAGCACATGGTAGATGTTGGATAAATATTTGTCACATGAATGAATGAAAGAATAACTACCCATAAGAAGGATAATAAAAAATAAACTGAACCTTTATTATAGAGACTTAACCTCAGTTATTCGGGTCTTGGGGGAAAGGTGAGCTGAGTCTACCCTATGCCCCGGACCACCCTCTGGTCTAACATTTCTTGTGCACTTACTATACTCCCTCCTCAGTTTTCCTCTTTTCTCCATTCTCTTCCGACCCCTAAGGACATGAACCACATTTCTGCTCTTTCCTTCTTGTCTCCCATCCCTCTCACCCACCCAGCATACACTCAGCATTCAGTCGAGTCCCACCAGGCAAGTACCGTGGTGAATTTTGTGTCAGACGTATTCTCTCAGCTTCATCTTGAGCTTTTGAAATCCAAGCATATCATGATTTTAGGTATGTTGACTATTTCTGCATTGGGTAGTGGCAAATTTTAATTGAAAAATTTTTTTGTTGAGCCTCGACTACAGACCAGGCACAGTTCTGGAAGCTAGGAATACAATAACAAATAAATAAGACTGGCACTTATGTTCTGTATTCTAATATATCAGTGGTTTGTATGCAGTTATTATATGATCTATAAGGCATCCTATCTGTGCACTTAAGCAGTTGTAGGCAGCCCGCTTATTGAAAATACTGTAGAGGTTAGAGTTGCTTATGTATTTAAAATAAAAACCCTTTCCTTTAAATGCATATTTTAAGACTCTTGGATTGCTTGAGAATTGATAATAAAGAGGAGTGAGCCATAGATCACAATGGAAAAATACTTAGTTTTTTTCTTTTTTGACGTGCAATGACTCACATCTGTGAAATGGCAAAACTCATAATAGAGATAAAAAAAAATGAGTTGATGAGTTTTAAGTTTAAAGCATTAACCTGAAGCCTGGGGAACTCATCTGTTTTCATGATTCCTTCCATCTCTGTTTTTTTTGCTTGGCATTTATTTCCAGAGCTAAGTAAATTACCTAAGCTTTCACCAGGAATAAGAAACTTATCTTCTGGCTGGGCGCAGTGGCTCACGCTTGTAATCCCAGCCTTTTGGGAGACCGAGGTGGGCAGATCATAAGGTCAGGAGATCAAGACTATCCTGTCCAACATGGTGAAACACCATCTCTACTGAAAATATCAAAATTAGCCTGGTGTGGCTGTGTGCGCCTGTAGTCCCAGCTACTCAGGAGGCTGAGGCAGAAGAACTGCTTGAACACGGGAGGCGGAGGCTGCAGTGAGCTGAGATTGAGCCACTGCACTCCAGACTGGGCGACAGAGCAAGACTCTGTCTCAAAACAGAAAAGAAACTTATCTTCTGACTCTCATGAGGATAGACTTGGGTAGTCAAATTTTTGATGTTCAGACACACTTGATTCAAGAAAAAGTATTTTCTCTGGTTTTGGATCAACACCTCTATCTTTAATGCCCAAACAAATTCCAAGTGGCTCTCCACCTCTACCTTTTGCAAGATGTTCTCAGCTTCAGATTTATTAGCGCATGCGTGCTTTCATGTACACACACATCTACATATCTCTTAAGCTTTCAGTCTAAAACAATGAATTGACTATTGGAACATTTCTCTTGATTCAAAATTATATGTTTTTTCTTTTATTGAAGTAAAATTTATATACGAGCAATGCACAGCTTTTAAGTGTAAAATTCTATGAGTTTTGACAAATGTAACATCACCCAAATAGAACACCTGCATCACCTTAGGAAGATCCCTTATGCCTCATTTTTTTTTTTTAAAAAGAGCATTTAATATTAATCATTGCATAAAAAATGAAATGCCTTGAAATCCTACAGTTATATATGAAAGAAACTTGAGAGGTCTTCCAAAATTTGAAAACATATTAAAAGTGTAAATGTTATTATCAGTAATAAATGCGAGGGTGGGATTTTCCTAAATTGTCAATAATAAAATTGTGATCAACCATGCTAGAGAAAAGACTGGGCTATCTATTCAACCCATAGAAAATGTCACACAATCAATCTACCACTTCACACCCACTAAGATGGCTGTAATCAAACACAAAAACAATAATGAGTGTGGGTGAGGATGTGGAGAAATTAGAACCTTCATACATTGCTCTGGTAGGAATGTAGAGTGGTGCGGCCACTGTGGAAAACAGATTGGAAATAAAGTTATACAGTCACGATATAACCCACAATTTCTACTCTAGGTAGAATGGAAAAGAGAAATGGAAACATAACAGCTACATGAAAACTTGTACATAAATTTTTATAGTAGTGTTATTCCTAACAGCCAAAAAGTAGAAACAACTGAAATGTCCATGAACTCATAAATGGATCAATAAAATGTGGCCTATCCACACAATGGAATATTATTTAGCAATAAAAAATGAAGTTCTGATATATGCTACAATATGGATGAGCATTGAAAACATTATGATAAGTGCAAGAAGCCAGTCACAAAGACCACATATTTTATGATTCCATTTATATGAAATGTCCAGAATAGGCAAATCTGTAGAAACAGAAAGTAAATTAGTGTTTGCCAGGGACTGAGGGGTTTGGAGGGAAAAGAGGAGCGACCGCCAATGGGGATAGGGTTTCTTTAGGGGATGATGAAAAGTTTCCAGAGTTGACTGTGGTGATGATTGCACAAATCTGTGAATATAGTAAACACATTGATTTGTACTCTTTAAATGGGTGAGTTGTGTGGTATGTGAATTGGATCTTGATAAAGCTGTTTTAAAAAAATCTTTCCAATGAGATTATCAAGAGTATGTAGCCAGGCTGGGCACGGTCACTCATGCCTGTAATCCCAACACTTTGGGAGGCTGAGGCAGAAGGACTGTTTGAGGCCAGGAGTTGGACACTAGCCTAGCCATATAGGGAGACCCCATCTTAAATAAATGTAAAGTTAGCTGGGTCTGGTGGTGTGTGCCTGTAGTCCCAGATACTTGGGTGGCTGAGGTGGGAGGATTACTTGAGTCTGGGAGGTAGAGGCTGCAGTGAGCTGTGATTGCACCACTGTACTCCAGCCTGGTCAATGGAGTGAGATACTGTCTCAAAAAAAAAAAAAAAAAAAAGTATGTAGCCAAAATACTTGAGGAAAAAGTATTGCTATGGCTTGAATGTCCCTGCCAACATTCATGTTGAAATTTAATTGCCATTGTAATAGGACTAAGAGGTGGGGCCTTTAAGAGGTGATTGGGTCATAAGGGCTCTGCTCTCATGAATGCTGTTATTAAGAGAGTGAGTCAGTTATCTAGAGAATGGGCTTCTGACAAAAGGATAAGTTTGGACCCCATTTGCTTCCCGTCTCTTGTGCTTGCTTGCTATGTGATGCTTTCCACCATGGAACCACCCTCACCATGTGCTGTTGCTGTGCTCTTGGACTTCCAGCCTCCAGAACTGTGAGAGATTCATTTCTTTTCTTTATTAATTACCTAGTCTGTGGTATTCTCTTATAGCAGCAGAAAACAGGTGAAGACAAATATTACTGAAGTGTTTTAGGAAGTTTATTACTACAAAATATTATGTAGGTGGTAGATAAAACTATTGTGTGATTTTTCTGGATTTGGTAATGTTTGTGGGATTTGTCAACTCTTAGAAATTTGTATTTGAGATTTTTGTCATTCTAAATAAACGTTCATGTTGTACTAAAAAATAAATATTCAATAATCTGGGCTTTTCAGTGACCTTCAGAAATAGGAAGGATTAACTGTATGCATGAATAATACATGATGGAATTTCATCTTCCTTTTCTTCTTTTGACCTGCAGTATATAATGTCTTGCCTACTATATAGTCTCTCCACACCACATACATTAGGGCTCATGGGAAGAGGTGGGGGAGGAATATGTTATTGGATAAATATACACTAGCCCATGCCTAGGTGGTCTGCGTGCCTCCTTTCTTTTTTTACCAAGGCGGGTGCTTGTGTATTCTGACACTGAACTTGAGCACTGGGGGCTATGGTAGCAGAAATGGGGATTCTTACTTCATTTTTAATATTTCCAAAAGCCTAACAAAATATTTACACACAAAATACATGCTGGCAAAAATGAAATGTCAATGTTTATTTGATTTGCTTTAGGCTTCATTGACTTAGTAGTGGTAACACTGGCTAATTTATGCTGATCAGAACCTCTAACCATTTTATCTTTGATTATTTATAACTGGACGAATGAATGATTATTTAATAGATGTGATCAGCTTTATAAGTACAATCTTAAAATATTTTGGCTTCAGGGATAAAACCAATTAAAAATTTCCTTTGCGATGGAAATTGGAAACACATTTCTGTGGCTTCACTTATGAAATGCTCCTCTATTGAACATTCACTATAGGCCAGGAGCTTTCCTTAATTTATCATGCTAATAACACTTCTGTATGGCATTATTAACCCAATTTTATAAATGAGGAAACAGAGGCTCAGATTATAGATGTCTATGCCCAAGTCCCTTAACTAGAAATATCAAGTAAATCTATGTCCACCCTGCCTCCTATATGATTACTTTTTTTTGTTTGTTTATGAGTTGGTTAATTTCCCAGGTAAAGGCCAGTAGGCCAGTGGTCAAGCCTCAGGGTAGCAACTACATTTTGTACTGGGTCTTACTTTTGATGCTTTGCCAACAAAACCGTCAAGGAAGGCAGGAGTTGACTGGGAATAGGCACACTGGGACTGTCTCTGTAGGGTATGTACGCAAGGGTAAAGGGAGATCACAAACGAGAAATATGCCTGTATTCGTCCATTTTCACACTGCTGATAAAGACACACCGGAGACTGGGCAGTTTACAAATGAAAGAGGTTTATTGGACTTGCAGTTCCACATGGTTGGGAGGCCTCACAATCATGGCGTAAAGCAAGGAGGAGCATGTCACATCTTAAGCGGATGGCAGTAGGCCAAGAGAGAGCTTGTGCAACAAGCGCTCCCATTTTTAAAATCTTCAGATCTCGTGAGACTCATTCACTATGACGAGAACAGCCCAGGAAAGACCCGCCCCCATAATTCAATCACCTCCCACAAGGTTCCTCCCACACACCTGGGAACTGCGGGACTTACAATTCAAGATGAGATTTGGGTGGGGATACAGCCAAACCATATCAATGCCCAAGTGACTGGGGTGCTTCCAAACCTACACAGCTGCTCACACTGCTGCTCTGGCAGGGGGAGCATGAGCTGCGGACGTTTTTCTGAAGTTGGAGTGAATTTGTATAAAGGCATACACTCCCTCATGCTGGCTCCTCTGGTGGGTGTCCAAGGCTTCCTTTGATAGATGCAGATGGGGCAGCCAAGGCAAAGTAGGTGACTTATGTGGCCTTGGTGCATCTCAGCTATGCTCACCGGGCAGCCCATGCTGACATGGTGGGCGAGATCGTGGGGCCACCAGGGAACCTGACTCCACTCCCATCTCTAAGCTTGGCCAAGTCAGTCACTTCTCGTTATTGGGGCGTCTTCTACCTGTCACTTGAAAAAGACTGTTCTTTGGAACAATAAGGCGGTAACACATACACAGGACCACCCTGTAGCCGGCCACACAGGTTCCGCCTCCAGGTGCTTGGATCTACTTAACGGACCTCCCAGGGGGAAAGATTTGCGGTCTCTCCGTCCCTCTACCAGGGGAGGGCGCCGTTCCAGCCCTTGCCTCTGCGGCACAGATCAAAGGACGGAGGAAAAAAGGTGCGGGTCCGGGGCACTAATGTTCGAAAATGCAGTTTTAAGTGACCTCTCCCCGCGCACGCACTGTCGGTGGGGGCAGTCCCGAGGCCAGGCTGCGGGGCGCCTGGGGGGACTCGCCTCAGGGGGAAATGGCCCTTTCAGGGCTCGACGGGTCCCCGGGACTAAACGCTCCGGCCGCGGATCGGTGCCGGGGGAGCCCGGTCAGAGAGGCCGGGACCCCGAGGGACGCCTAGGTGCGTGTCCCGAAGCCCGCGTACCTCCAGCCCCGGCGAGACGGCGCCCAACTCGCGGCTCCAGTCACACGGCCCTTCCTGAGAGGAAACACCAGGGAAAGCACCTCTCACTTTTCTCAGGGTGGGAAAACTGTGAAGGAAGAAGACAAAGCAACAGGCAGGTTTTCGCTCGCGGGCTGGAGGCTGGGCCCAGGGCGGGCGCGCGGCTGCGGGAGGCAGCGGACGGTCCGGGCCGCTCGAGGGCTGCACTGCGAGGGTCTGGATCGCCTCCAGCCTCCCCCGGAGGCCCCGCCCCTGCCCTGGAGACCCCGCCCCCGCCTCGGAGGCCCAGCCACCTCCCCCCTCCCCGAGGCGTCGGCCCCGCCTCTCCGCCCTCCGCCCTCCGCCCCCGGGGCCCGCCACCGCCGGCCCGCCTGCGCCGCCTTCGCTTTGACGTTACTGGGGGCCGGGCGGGCGGCTGCCGCGGGCTCGCAGCCTCGCCAGCCTCCGCCAGGGTGCGCGCGGGCCGCCGCCTCTCGGCAGTCCCGGGAGCTCAACAAAGAGCACGCGGCGCTGGCCGCCGGCACTCGCGCCCTGAGGCTGCGGCCCCGGAGCGCCCGGCGGCGGTTTCGGCGCGCGGCCGGGCTGGCGATGGAAGATGGAAGGAAGGAGCGCAGCGGTGAGCTCCGGGGCCGGGGCGCGGGCGCGGGGTGCGCACGCGGCGCCGCTGTTCGACGTGGGGTTTGTGTTGCTTTGTCGCCGCTCTGTCCCCCAGGATCCCGGGGCCACCTGGGTTTGTGCTGTCTGGATAGGTGCAGGGTGCGATTTTTCTCTTCGCGCTTGCTTGCTTTGTGTTTTTTAGGAGCCCAGCAGGGTCAACTTTGTGGTGTTAAGGTTTAGGGGTTTTAGTTCATACCTCGGCTTTGAAAACCTCAGACTTTGGAGAAAAGCTATCAAAAGAAGGCAACATGAAAGAGGACCTCGTATGCCGATCTTTCTTTGCCCGGTCAGCTTGTATTTAGGGACTATCACGTTTCTGTCAGAAAGAAAGAAAAAAAGACTAAACTAAACAAACTTGAATTGAGCGAGCAAACGGACAAGGGAAGATTATTCGGTGCAATTCCCAGGAGCTTTTACAGATGTTTAAGTCATTCTGTTTTACATGCATTTAACTTTATCCGCCGTTTTCAGCTTTCCGTTCTGGCGAATGATGTTCTGAATTTTTTTTTTAAACACATTAACACCGATTAGAGGACGTGGGTTTAGAATGTTGTTGGTGACCTAAATAATAAATGTTTCGTTTTGCCATTCCCCTCGATGTCAAAGGATGTTAAACGCCCACTAGGCAGAGGATGGAATGGGCACCACGATTTCATTTTCTAGACACTGGTTCTCCCGATAGCGGGATCCAGGATTTCCGCTCCAGAATAACTCTTGAGTGGGTCCAGGTGTTGGTGTAGGGAAGACGGAGATCTGGAAAATTACTGTAAGTGGGATTCTGGCAACAAATGCCTCAATGCGTTCGTTGTAATTGAGTATGTGCAAAGGATTTTGCAAAGCCCGGTAGCTAGGTAAGTAGGATAGGATTTCTGCTTTCAAGAAGCGTGCTTGAGAGCTTGCCTGGGAGAGACTTATGCGTAGGCTACCATGGAGGATCTCAGAGGAAGCTTCTGGCCTCCGGGCTTGGAAGTTCTCAGAGAGGAGCTGGCAGTTATGCTGGACCTTGAAAGGGAGGGGTTGATTGGATTTTTGTGAGATGTGAGGGAAAGGATGTCCCCTGCTAAAGGAAAGGGAATTCACTTTCTACCCTTTTCCAAGAAATGATCCTTTCTTTTCTGAGAGTATTTACAAACCAAGAGGTTTTCTTTTCAAAAAGTCATGAAATTCCTCTTCAGCAGTTAAAAGTGCAACATGCTCAACATCACCAGTTAAGCAAATGCAAAATAAATTAGCACCTTTTCAACCAGTTTTTAGTGGCTGGCTGGATGTCCTTCCACAACCTTTTTATATCCATCCACAAGTGATTTGTCTTGTAAGATATTTCATTAATAGAAGCTTTTTGTACTAAAAGGAGTAGAGTGGTATCAAGAAAGGGACTTGGATCTGTAGGTAGGACACCTAGCTTAGAGGCTTTGCCACTGACTGGGTGAGTTTTTGCCACCGTCTTGGGCAAATTATTTAACTTCTGTCGCTACAGTTTCCTGGTAGGGTGAGGGGATTAGGTAGATGCTCTTTCAGAGCCTTCTAGCCCTACCATTTGATATTTCCATGCCTAGACACGTTTTATGCATTACTTATTCAGTGATGTACTCTTAATTTCACATTCTAAATATCTGTTTGTGTGTTCTGTGAATGGATCAGCACTCTTATCCTGACCATTGAATGTGGGAGAGTGATTAGAGCTACAAAGCTAAAATAACCTTATTACGGCCAAATTCCGTGGTTGAATGTTGTTGTTGTTTTTTTTTTTTTAAATGCGAGCATAAGAAGCTTGATTTGCCAATCTTAATGTGTGTTTTCTTTAAAGAAAGTTTTGTTGACACTGTTCATTTGTGACCAAAGAATAACATATACCTTATTATGTACATTGCACTTAAGCAATTCAATTCTGCTTTTAATCAGATACTAGTAATTTAAAAAATTGAGTAACCTTGGAAATTCTTACAGGCTAGTAAATCTTGGGAATTTGGAAATAAAAAAATAAAGTAAGATGGAAGTAGCTCATTGAAAAAGAAAAATTTAAAGGTACTTTCAGTCAATGGCTCTGCCCTCTTTCTAAAACCTTGATATTTACATATTTGTTTGCCAGCCCTGATGGAAAATTATTTGAGTGGAATTTAGCGTGGCATTACATTGAAAAAACATGTCCATGGTACTACTACTTTTGGAGGTGATTTTTTTTCTTTTATAGAAATTCAGGTGTGATTTGTCATGCATTATTCATAAACTAAGACACCAGTGTGGTGATAGGTTAATTGCAGTCTTGGTTAAGAGATGCTGAGGCAAAACCATGTGAATATTAAAATGTGTATCTGCTTTGGCTTAAAGACTGGTTTGTTTGAGGTTTACATGGGGTAATGTCATTTGGACATTATGAAAAGAGTGTCTTTGGGTTTGGGTTGGATTGGGAGGTGAGTTATGGATAGTGATCGTTTCCAATTTTTGGAAAGGAATTCAGACATGATTGAAGTTGGGTCAGACTGTAAAAAATAATCTGGTGACCAAAGTCTGTGGAGTTTAGTATGTGAATCAGGCTTATAGGAGGCTGGGGATCTAGTGTGACCTTGAATTACTGCTGTTGTGATTCTCACCATTTAGGGGTTCTTCCCGGACCGTCTGGGCCAAGCACAGAGGTCCTTGGCTTCCCTTTGCTAAGAGTGGAAGTGTTTTCACTTTGAATATTGCCTCTCAGTTCTTCCTAGTTCTTTTACAGTTAAACCAGCCTGGCTTTCATTTAGGAGAGTACAGGATCCATGTGAAATTCTCCAGAGCATTTGTTCGGAGTGCCCATATCTTGACAGCTTGTGTTGTTTGTGATATTGTATGCAGACTCAGGGATTTGCTGGAAAGAATTTAAGTGGTGGCATTATTTTTTCAAAGAGTGTTTCTGAGTTACGTTGACCATCTTTCAAGGACATTTTTCACAAGCTCCAAATTAAGTAGTGTTGTAGTGGCTGTTGCAATTTACAATGGAGAAAAAGGATAATTTGCAGCATATAGTTAACAAGTTATTCTTAAATCCAAATTACCAAATGTCCATGCCTCATTTGAAAATAAGGCATAACTCAACATTAATAATGAATCTTTGCGTGTGCTATCTTATTTATATAAAAACAGTGCATGTCCCTGCAGTGCTTGTTTGCTCTACCAAAAGAAAGGTTTTTCACTGCGCCCAGAAGGTCAACAAACTTGGGCCCAGTTGGTGCCTAGTGGGGAGGGACTTTGTTGACACATCAGGGCACAGAGGTGGCAGAGCATTTTCTCTCTTGGTGACACCGGTGGTGTGAGGGATCCGCCCGCTCTTCTCCCCTTCCTGCATGTCAGGCTGCGGCCATGGCAGACCACTCACTCCTTGAGGCTTACTTGAGGACCACTCACTCCTGAGCCATCTGGTTTGAAATTCCCTTTCCTCTGAGTGTACATCAGTGAGATGAATCAGAATAATTTATACATGTTGAAGGATATTTTTAAAAGATTATTATTGGAGTTAGGGATTTAGGATAACTGGGAAAATTAACATTTTGACCTAAGCTGGTGTTCTTTTCTTACATGGTATTTTCACACGGGTCTTCTGAGAAAGCAGCATTTTCTAAGTTTCTTGTTAAGTCCTGATTTTTCTGTTGTTGTTGTTGACACAAGATCTCACTCTGTCACCCAGGCTGGAGTGCAATGGTGCGATCTCAGCTCACTGCAACCCCTGCCTCTCAGACTCAAGCAATTCTCCTGTCTCAGCCTCCCGAGTGGCTGGGACCACAGGTACACGCCACTGCGCCCAGCTTAATTTTTGTATTTTTAGTATAGACGGGGTTTCATCGTGTTGCCCAGGCTGGTCTCAAACTCCTGAGCTCAGGTGATCTGCCTTCCTTGGCCTCCCAAAGTGCTGGAATTACAGGCATGAGCCACCAGGCCCGGCCAAGTCCTAACTTTTGGAAAACGCTTATTTCGAGTGATATTTTCCTGGCATGGGGCGTTTTTACAATCACAGCTAATGTTTATTGAGTTCTTACTTGGGTTGTCTCCCTTATTCCCCATGACAACCCATGAGGTCAGTAGTGTCATTATTTCCATTCTGAAGTCAGGAGAGGTTAAGGAACCTGCTCAAGATCCCACAGTGAGTAAGTGGCAGAGCTGAGACTTTAAACTCAGGTCATCCAATTTTCTTAACCACCATTCTGTTTTTATGTCTCAAAGTTAGCATTGCGTGTTGCAGAAACTGAGCTCTTTGGCTCTAATATTTAGATTATTCGAGTCTTGGAATCTGAATATTGGATGACTAATTCATCACCGACCATTATACATTTGTTGGCTTAATAGTGGGACCAGATTTGTTGTTTGGCTCAAGAGATAGAAATGGTGTAATTAAACAACAACAACAAAACCCCTGGGGTGTCTAAAAGGATCTCTGTAGGACCACATGTAAGGAGTTCCACGTAGTTATGTGTCATTAATTGGAATTCACAATAAAGCAGATTAACAAATTAAAATGGAATGTATTTTAATTTCTTTTTAATTTCTAATTTAATTTCTAATTGCATCACCTCAGAGAAGTGATCTAGATGCTTCAACCACAGAGGGTGTTGACACAGTGAAGGCTGCTTTTCCTTGTTATTTCTTCCCATGAGCTGGGGCTTAGAGATTGTTAAGAAAAGGAGCTTGAAACAATGAGGAGGAGGATGGGGAATGAGCCGAGGGCATTCATAAGACCAGGCGGCAGCTGCTCCCTGTTTCCCTGGCCTTCTGTTCTCAGACCTTTGCTAAGAAAAAGTGAATTATAGAAATCGAGCAGCTTGGTTTTCTTATGCCTGTTTGGTCTGTGGACAAGAGAAGTAGAAAATTTTAATAGAAGCAGCTGTAGCTTCTTTTGTTTGGCCTCTAGGAGATTACTGGTTAAGGGCCAGTGGAACTGCTTTTCTCTGTATATGGAAACTTACATGCTTTTTTGAATGTAGATTTTCAAAAACTTGTACTTTCAAGAAGTTATTTGATAGGCACAGTTTTGATTGAGTCATAGGACACTAGGAGAGTGGAAATTTAGGTATAAGAGTGATGGCACAGACGATGCCATTAGATGGCTGCTGTCTTCGTGACTGTGTTATTTTCTGGCGAAGTTATATTGGAAAAATGCTTGGAAATTGACAGCAGGCTTTGTGATCTTCCAGAGTGTCTCCTCTGACTCTGCCTTCATGTCCCTACAAGGTGCAAGTAGTGAGTGTTTGAAGAGGCAAGATATTTCTTGCATCTGAAACTTTGTTTGAATAGCAAAGTTACTTTTGGGCAGATTTTTATGTTTCGCCGATTCATTTCTAGTGGCTACAAAAGGTCTGTCAGCCACCTTCCCCACCCGCTGATGCTTATATCTCCCTATAAAAATCTCCCTTGGCCGGGCGCCATGGCTCACGCCTGTAATCCCAGCACTTTGGGAGCCCGAGGCGGGTGGATCGCCTGAGGTCAGCGGAGTTGAGACCAGCCTGGCTGTCATGGTGAAGCCTTGTTTTTACTAAAAATACAAAAATTAGCTGGGCATGGTGGCAGGTGCCTGTAATCCCAGCTACTTGGGAAGCTGAGGCAGGAGAATCACTTGAACCCAGGAGGCGGAGGTTGCAGTGAGCAGAGATTGTGCCATTGCACTCCAGCCAGGCAACAGAGCGAGACTCCCTCTCAAAAATAAAAATAAAAATAAAAATAAAAAATCTCCCTTGAAGAAAAATTAACCATTGCTTTCCATGAGCTAATATCTGAAAGTATCAAGGCAGAGTCTGAAGTACAGATATTATTATGCTGTTGATTTAAGCATTCAGCAAATATTAAGTGCTTACCTCGTGCTGAGCTCAGTGTACACTCCAAAAAACCTTGTCCACTGACCTAGGCAAACCTCACTTGGATCGTACTAGTGCGAGTCAAACTTCACAATCAGCAAATACTGAAACTACAGTACCTAAGAACTCAGAACTTGTGAACTTTATAGAATCGATGCAGTTACTGCCTGAATCAGCATTGTTCAATAGAGCTTTTACTATGATGGAAATGTCCCATATTTGCCCTGTCCAATAAGATAGTCAGTAGCTACATGTGGCTGCTAAGCATGTGAAATGTGGCTAGTGAGATTTAAGAACTGAATTTTAAATTTTATTTAATTTCGATAATTTAAATAGCTTCAGGCCGCTAGTAACTACTATATTAGGGCAACTTTACAGCAAAAGTGCTTTTTTAATAGATGGCATTATCTGTCCTGGGCTGTCATTTCTCACTCTCTCTCTATTTATTTTTTTTGAGACAGGGTCTCACTCTGTCGCCAAGGCTGGAGTGCAGTGGCAAGATCTCGGCTCACTGCAACCTCTGCCTCGGGCTCAAGCGATTCTCCTGCCTCAGCCTCCAGAGGAGCTGGGACTGCAGGTGTGCACCAATCATGCCTGGCTGTTTCGTATTTTTAGTAGATACGGGGTTTCGCCATGTTAGCCAGGCTGGTCTCAAACTCCTGACCTCAGGTGATCTGTCCCCCTCAGCCTCCCAAATTGCTGGGATTACAGGTGTGAGCCACTGGGCCCAGCTGGCTGCAGTTGACTTTTTGTTGCAAGCTGTAGGTGGTTCCCTAATTTCTAGCCCTCTTTGAATCTGCCTAGTATCACAGTGAATAATCAGGTGGGCAGTGCTATATATCAAAGCTAAGGTGTTTTGGGGACACCTGCAGAGCTGTCTTGGAGGCCCAGTTGATTTTCATTGTAGATGAAATTGACAGGAAAAATGTCTGAATAGCATCTGTATTGGCAAGGATTGTGCTGAGTTTTAAAGATAGGTAAGTGAAGGTGCCCGTGTCCAGTGGTTAGAAATAAGGAACATTCTAATAAGGCAGTGGAACAGAGGAAAAAGGTCTTACTCTTTATCCCCAAATACTCTGTAGTGACAAGTCTGGAAGGTAGACAGTCACATTCGCAGGCTCCAGGATTTCTTCAGAGTTAGCCATGTAGGAGTAGTCTTGAGGATAGCAGTGTGAAATTCTCATGGTTAGACCTCTGTTGAAATACATTTTAATTTTGAGTTTTGTAATTTGTGGTGGAACCACAGTATCAAGGCATAACAATACAAAAGCGTGGGGATAGGAAGAGGAGAAAGAATGACATCTATTTAGTATTTATTATGGGCTAGGTACTATGTGAAACATAGTATGTGTGAGTGTGTACATGCATGCATCTGTATGTATTTATATATTCTTTTTTTTTTTTTTTTTTTGAGATGGAGTTTCGCTCTTGTCACCCAGGCCGGGGGTGCAATGGCGTGATCTCGGCTCACTGCAACCCCCGCCTCCCGGGTTCAAGTGATTCTCCTCCCTCCACCTCCCGAGTAGCTGAGATTACAGGCACGTGCCACCACACCCAGCTAATTTTTGTATTTTTAATAGAGACGGGTTTCACCATTTTGGCCCAGGATGATCTGAATCTCTTGACGTCATGATTCGCCTGCCTCGGCCTCCCAGAGTGCTGGGAGCCACCGCACCTGGCCTATATATCCTTTATAGTATTGAAAGGTAGGTGGTGTCTCCATTTTCAGAGGGTGAAATTGAGGCTCATGGAGATTAAATGGGATCCTTTTTTTAAACAACTTTATTGAGATATTCACATACTATACGATTCACCCATTTAAAGTGTACACTCATTGATTTTTAGTATGTTCATGGAGTTGTGCACCCATCACCATAGTCAATTTTAGAGCATATTCATCACTTCAAAAACAGCCCAGGCCAGGCACAGTGGCTCACACCTGTAATCTCAGCACTTTGGGAAGCCAAGGTAGGAGGATCTCTTGAGCTCAGGAGTTTGAGACCAGTCTGGGCAACATAGAGTGAGACCCCTTTAATAGCAAAAAAATTTAAAAATTAGCTGAGCATGGTGATGTGTGCCTGTAATCGCAGCCACTCAGGAGGCTGAGGCAGGAGGATTGCTTGAGCCCAGGAGGTTGAGGCTGCATGCAGTGTGTCGTGATTGCATCGCTGTGCTCTAGTCTGAGTGACAGAATGAGACCCTGTCTCAAAAGAAAACAAAAAAACCCCAAAAATTCCAGACCCATGAGTTGCCACCTCTCCCCATTGCTCCTATCCCTCATCACAGGCAACCACTAATCTATTTTCTGAGTCTGGATTTTGCTGTTCTGCACATATCATGTAAATGAAACAATACAAAATGTGGCCTTTTGTAGCTGGCTTTTTCCTCATGTTTTCAGTGCTCATCCATGAAGTAGCATGTGTTAGTACTTCATTCCTTGTTATTGCTGAATAGTATGCCATTGACTAGATGGGTCACATTTTATTTATCCGTTCATCAGTTGATGGGTTGTTTCCACTTTTGACAGTTAGGAATAATGCCATTCTGAACACAAGCATACAAGTTTTGTAGCCATTCTAGTGGGTGTGAGGTGGTATCTCATTGTGGTTTTGCTTTTCGTTTCTCTAATGACTAATGATGATGAATATATTTTCACGTGCTTATTGGCTCGTATTCGTCCATTTTCACACTGCTGATAAAGACGTTCCTGAGACTGGGCAATTTGCAAAAGAAAGAGGTTTAATGGAATTACAGTTCCACATGGCTGGGGAGGCCTCACAATCATGGTGGAAGGCAAGAAGGATCAAGTCATGTCTTACATGTATGGCAGCAGGCAAAGAGACAGCTTGTGTGGGCAAACTCCCATTTTTAAAGCCATCAGATCTCTTGAGACTTATTACAATCAAGAGAACAGCATTGGAAAGACTCACCCCGGTAATTCAATTACCTTCCACCGGCTTCCTCACACGACACATGGGAATTGTGGGAGTTCCGATTCAAGATGAGTTTTGGGTGGGGACAAAGCCAAACCATATCATTGGCCATCTGTATATTTTCTTTGGAGAAGTGTCTATTCAGATCCTTTGACCGTTTTTAAATTATATTATTTGTCTATTTACTCTTACATTTTAAGCATTGTTTTTATATTCTGGGTTGAAGTCTCCTATCAGATATATGCTTTGCAAATAGCTTCTCTCATTCTGTGGGTTGTCTTTTCTGTTTCTTCTTCCTGACCTTTGAAATAAGTGAAGTTCTTTATCTTAAACAGAGCACCAGAGGGCTTAGCACAGTTCTAGGCCCTCACGTATTTTCCAAAGTGAGTTAACAAAACTTTCAGTATGATGACTTGTGTAACAAATATTGTTTTTTAAATATCTGGTTGGAAGAAGGATGGAGATTTAACCTTTGCCTGAGCTATTTGAGAGGGACCACAAAGCTCTGCAGACTTGAGACTCTTATGTATACTGAAAGGAAATTTTGGAAGCCAGTTCTCTGGAGACTTTTATGTATAGAAAATAGTCTTCTCCTCCTGGATTAGACAGAGAATTGCTTGAAAGGAGGACACCCTACCTAGAAGACCCTTCTTGATCTTTTTAGATACTGTAATGTCATGATCTAAATAGTGTTTCCCAAACTTGTCTGTCAAGAATTACCTGGTTTCAGATTTCTAGGGCTGCCTGAAGATTCTGGTACAGTGGTTCTGAAGGAGCAGTCTTCCTAATCACCCCATGCAAGTCTTAAGATCGGAATGTTTGGGAAACTGATCTCACCTGGTAATAATGATGACCTTAGTGGTTGCCCCTAGAACCTAATTAGTTCTCTTTAGTGGGTGTGGTCTCCAGTTGACAAACATCCCTCGCCAGGGAGATTACAAGGAGCTGATCAAGCCAGTCTGGCTACATTGCTTACCTCAGCACTGGGTCTTGATCCAAGACAACCCAAGTCCCCAACCCCCCACCCCCTGCCAGTGTGGTAGAGATGTGTCATAAAAATTTAAGCCAGGCTCACAGACATTTTCAAGTTGTAAAGTTGCCACCACTCTCTTGGGAGGAATCCTCCCTCCTTCTTCCCTCCTCTTTTAAAATGTGCTCATATTTTCTTACCATTGCTGAATCTCTGGAGGCCTCCCATAGTCACACAGATCTCCATGAAACTCAATGGGGAGAAAAGGGCATGGAAAGAAAAATAAACATTTTACATAATCTCTACACTTTGCTTGTTTTATGTGGTTGATTAGGATCTCCTGAAGAATTTCAGGAGAGTGAGAAGTGTGAAGTTGGGAGGGGGAGACTCACTTACCTGACCTCTTTATTTTTGTTTTTTAAAGACGGGGTCTTGCTCAGTTGCCCAGGCTGGAGTGTAGTGACTACTCCCAGGCGCCATCATAGCTCACTGCAGCCTTCAACTCCTGGCCTCAAACAATCCTCCTCCCTCAGCCTCCCAAATAGCTGGAACTACAGGGGTGCCATTGTACTTGGCCCTGTTCTTCTCTTAAAGGATATTCTGTGTTACCAGAGGCAGTGCAGCATAGTGGTTGGAGTGTGCCCTTGAATTGGATAGTCTGATTTGCTTCTATCTGTGTCACCTTGGGCAAGTTATTTTAACATCTCTGTGCCTCACTGCATCATTACCTCATGGAATACCTCACCAACATTTAGTGGTTAGAAGGGGCTTAGACAGTTTTGGAAAGACAGTAAGTAGGCAGTAAATGTGACCTGGATGGTAGGTTATACTTAGCTGAGTGGGAACTGGAATTATTATTGCCCTTCTTAAAGTCACACACCTATTAAACGGCAAAACTGGACTTTCTTGTACCCTAGACTGTGATTGCCTACAGGTGTGCTTTATGGAAGCCAGGAGAAAAATTCTAATACACTTAGCTCTCTGTTTCTATGGGTTCTGCATCATGCATTCAATCAACCTCAGATCAAAATATGTGGAAGAATGTTGTGTCTGAACATGTATGGACATCTGTTTCTTGTCATTATTTATTCATGTAGTATAACAACTATTTACATAGCATTTACATTGTATTAGGTATTATACGAAACCTAGAGATGACTTAAAGTATATGGGAAGATGTAAATATGTTATGTGCAAATGCTACATGGTTTTATTTTTTTCAACTTTTAACTTTCAGTGTTTTTCTATAGAAAAACTGCACATAAAAGAATAAAGAATTCATGCAGTCATGCCAAATGACCATCACAATCAATCTTGATGGTACTCTTCAGTAGATACTAGAACTACTAAGTTGATATATGCTTGTTCCTTAAAAAGTATACCTCATCAAGGTGAAATAAATGCGATAATAGGAACGGTAAGAACCATGTGTTTATAAGTGCCTCAGGGTCAAGCTCTTACAGTAAGACCAGAAAGTTACACACCCTAGAACACCAGCAACTCACAAGGAAGACGGGGGAGTTGTCGCCTTCCTTCCTTGGAGGTCTTTAGGCTGGGAAAGTTCCATGTAGGTGTGATTTTGCTTGAAGATAGAGATATAAACTTTATGACCTCTCAAAGTCACTTTCTGGCCAACAGCTTTAGCAGTTCTAAGAAGGAACAGTTTCATTTTGCCTTCAAGGGATGTTCCTTTTCTGTGTCCTAAGGCAGGGTGATCAGTTAGTGAGAGAGGATGATATGTTTGCACCAAGCTGCTAGCAGAAATGAGTGTGGCTCAGCTCCAGTCCTGGCCCTTCTCCCCTTGTCTAGTCAACCTCAGCCAGTGCAGGGTACCCGGGGAGGGTCACCGTTAGTCGGCCTCAAAGGCGCTGTTGCTGGCTTTCACATATTCAGACTTCTTCTTGTGCCTTGTCCACAGTTTCTGGGGGATGCTGGGGACACCGCAGGAAGTACTGTCTGTCAGTGATAGGGAAGCTTCTGCTCCTTGGTGAATGGTTGGATACTCTTTGGTCATCCTGAGATGTCTGAATCCTGTCATCTGAATACCTTCCTTCTCTGAGCCCGGGGCTGCTGCCTCCACCAAGGCTGAGGCTGGAGCTTTCCTTGAGATCCAAGACACTGGAGGAATCAAAGATTTTTCCATGTGCTTGATTCCTATACAGATTCGATGCTTCGGGTACAAATCTCCACTTGTTAGCCAGTCAGTCAAAGCAGAGAATTTCTAAAGGCCTTTGCACCGAGCAGCGAGACCAGGCAATAGGGTCAGCCAATGAGAAAACTGCCACTCTTCCAGAGACGCTGGAACTAAGGTCTAAATAAGATCAGTGTGTCAGTGTAGGTGCATTGACTGCAACAAATGTACCGCTCTGGTGGGGGTTGATAATAATGGGGGAAACTGTGCATGTGTTGGGGGCAGGAGGTGTATCGAAAATTTCCTCACCTTCAGCTTAATTTTACTGTGAACCTAGAACTACTCTAATAAATAAAGTCTACGGGCCTGGGCAACATAGTGAGACCCCACCTCTACAAAAAAGAAAAAATTTAGCCAGATGTGATGGTGCGAGCCTGTAGTCCCAGCTACCTGGAAGACTGAGGAGGGAGGATTGCTTGAGCCTAGGAGGTCAAGGCTGCAGTGAGTTGTGATCACATCACTGCATTCCAGTCTGGGTGACAGAGCAAGATCTTATCTAAAAAAAAAAGTCATTTTAAAAAGATAATACATGTGGAAGCATTTAGCACTGTGTTTGCGCGTGGCAGGTGCTCAGAGAATGTGTGCGCTTAGTTCCTTCTTACTCATTACATCACTTTGTATAAGAGATTTGAGCACCTTTGAATCCCCAAATCTATGACCAATCCCCACTTATGCCCCACTTTACCGATGGACGACTATATGTGGTGCTTTGGCCCAGGGTCCTCATTCAATATGTTTCTTTAGCGAATGAGTTAAACCCCATAGGCTGTTACATAGCTAAGTACAGGAACCCTATTAAGAATATACGGCAGAGTAGGTGCTCTGATATTTAGCTTCGTCTAACGGCAGAATAGAATTTCCTGAGTCAGCAGGATTTCTGGCCTGATCACTTTTTTGCTATTGGCTTCACAGTGGCTTCATCTCCTGTTTTGGAGACAGGGAATTTTCCCCATTCCCTGGGCTGCTTTTAGAGCTTCAGGTGTGTGACTTTCATTAATAGCTCTCTTGCAAATGGCAATCTAGGACATAAAAGATAAGAGTAATGTGTTACTATGGATTTCCTCACCCAGCTCTTTCCCTTCTGGCAGAGACTTCTGATAGAAGTAGATAAAGGCTTAGGCTGTGTTCACCGGGTGTGATGTAGCAGTCTCAGAGATCTGTTTCATTCATTCTTTTGATTGTATCAGGTTTTTTTTCTCTCTCTTTTTTTTTTTTCAGACAGAGCCTTGCTCTGTCAGCAAGGCCGGAATGCAGGGGCATGATTCTAGCTCACTGCAGCCTCGAACTCCTGGGCTCAAGTTATCCTCCCACCTCAGCCTCCCAAGTAGCTGGGACCACAGGCACACACTAACATGCCTGGCTAATTTTTGTATTTTAACTTTTTGTAGGGATGGGGTCCCACCATCTTGCCCAGGCTGGTCTCAAACCACTGGCTTGAAGTGATCCTCTCACCTTGGCCTCCCAAAGTGCTGGGATTACAGGTGTGAGTCACTGTGCCAAGTCATATTTTTTCATTTTGGGTGCAATTCTTCCTACCTTCTCGGTGTGGCTTGTATATCAGTTGTTGGCCTCTCATATTGCTGTGTCCTGCTTGGGAAAGAAAGTCTAATAAAATACAATATCATATTCTAAAACTGGAGCTTATGTAAAGATAATATAGTTTATAGATTTAAAAGAACTTGACAGGCCTAGAGGAATTAAAGCCGAAATTTTAGAAGCGTTACTAAAACAAATGTATCTGTGATTAGTCAGTGAGAAAATATTATCATTTATAAAATCATTAAGTAATGATTCAGAGGGAAGTTCAGTAAGATTCAGAGGGGAGTTAGAAAGATAATGGTAATTCCATTTTTTAAAAAACTTGGGTGGTGTAGTTAGTATACAGAGGTATTTCCTTCATGAATATTTGTATTTTATAAATATTTTGTAAAGTTTTATTTTGCCTCTGTTTAGTAAAAAATAATTTTAAAATAAAAAATTTGTCAGTAGAATTCTCTTGTGGCCATTTAATGGCTTCTTTCTAAAGCATTCCATTTAGCAATACACCTCTCTCTCTCATTATGCTTATGTTTGTTTTACATAATATTTAAGTTACATAATTTTGGTAGCAAGTACAACCAGGACAAATCCATTCAGGTGCAAACACAACTGATTCTTGGTAATCGCCACCTCAGTCATGTGGGCAGAATTTCATGAGCTTGCTGTAGTCTTAAGACCACAGCCTGAGCGCCAGGTACTGATTTTTTCATTCTGTTTCTTTATCTGTCACCAGCTGTGAGCAGCAGGTATGAATGGGCATCAGCCAGCATGTCTTCCCGGGTAACTTGTGTCACCTTGTGAGACATCCTGGAGTTGGTTAATTGGAGGGTGGTTAAGAATTTCTGCTGTATACATAACTTCAGAAACAAAAGCAAACCTGTTATGGTCTAAGGAATGAAAAGGGTTATTATAAGGTAGAGACATTAGGACATTCTTTCCATTTTGTTCTAAAATCACTTTTGGCATTTGTCTGCCTCACATCACTTATGTTGTGTACAAAGCTGCTTCCCTCCTGAATAATTTATTTCTACATCTAAAATGTTTGCTGAGATTATTTTGCTTTCCTTTCACCTGGAAGATAATTTTAGGTTTTTAAGAAATGTGGTTTATAAAAATGGGACCCACCATGTCCATCTACAGAGTGAGTGAGTTACTAAAGTATAACAAAAACGTTTTTTTCTGTCTTGTACTTGAGTCCAGAAGTTCACTGAAAATGGGTTACACCTGGAATTTATGTATCATAACTATAAAGTGCTTTGTACTTTGCATCATAATTTCTCTTTCATCTAAAGAAATCAAAGTCCATTATATTAGCCTGGCTACATTCACCTGCTTGCAGAAAGGGTGGACCTTTTGGGACCCATTTTTTTGTTTTTTGTTTTTGTGGAGATGGAATCTCGCTCTGTTGCTCGGGCTGGAGTGCAGTGGCAAGATCTTGGCTCACTGCAACCTCCGCCTCCCGCGTTCAAGCGATTCTTCTGCCTCAGCCTCCTGAGTAGCTGGGACTACAGGTGCATGCCACCACACCCAGCTAATTTTTCGTATTTTTAGTAGAGACGGGGTTTCACCGTGTTAGCCAGGATGGTCTCAATCTCCCGACCTTGTGATCCACCCGCCTCGGCCTCCCAAAGTGCTGGGATTACAGGCGTGAGCCACCGCACCCGGCCCAGGACCCATCTTTTAAATGAGCTCTGGTGAAGCAAGGTCCAGGGTTTTGAGAAAGCCTAGCACCCTTGGAGTGTTTCAGGGCATCTCTCAGTTAAGAGAGCTTTTTCTTTACAATGGGCCAGATTTTGTATGTGGTTAATTTAATTATCAAATTGGCGCAGCTTTGTCTTTTCCACGGTATCTGAATATATGTGCATACCAAGTGACTTATTTAAAATACAACTCTTTTAAAAGGCTACAGGGCGTACTGTAATAGGTCATATGCAGTTCTGTGTCACAGTCACTTTTCCTTCATTCATACATTCATTCAACAGATGGTGTTTGAGTGTCTCCTATGAGGCAGGCATTATTTTAGGTTCCAGGGATACAGTGGTCAACAAAACAGACAAAAAAATAAGTAAAATAAAAATTAAAAAAGAAAAAAATCCTTGTTCTTACAAGGTAAGACAGACAGTGTATGAGTTGTGTCTGCATGTGCGTGTGTGTAGTATGTTGACAGTGTGAAGCCCTTCAGGGAAAAATAAGGCAGAGGAGGGAGTTTGGGAGGGGGTGGAGTTGCAGTTACAAATGGGTGGTCAAGGATGACCTTGTTGAGGTGACGCATGAGGAAAGACCTGAAGAAGGAAGGTAAGTGCACCGGGAAGAGGGCACAGCAGGTGCAGAGCCCTGAGGCAGAGCCATACTTCCTGCCTTCCAGGAACAGGGACACCAGTGTGACTGGAGCACAGTGAGCAGTGGGGTCGGACCGGACACCGTCGCCAGGTCCTGTGGGGCCTTGTTGCTATTGCAAGGGCTTCGGTTTGGACTGAGAGTGAGCAGAGAAGCCTGTTAGAGAGTTTCAAATAAAGATGGGACATGATCTGGCTGATGTTCTTGGAGGACATGCTGCTGCTGTGTCTCATGAGAATAGACTGAAGCGGGGAAGAGTGGAAGTAGGAAAACCAGTTGGGAGGCTGTTGTAACCTAGGTGAGTGAGGGTGGTGGCTTGGACCACCATGGTATGTTTTGAAGGTTGAGTGGGAAGGATATTCTCATTGTCTGAATGTGGGATGTGAGTGGGAGAAAGCATGGGTGACTTGCAAAATACTGGCCTGTGCATCTTGAAGGATGGAGGTGCATTAACTGAGATAGGGAGAAGCTGATTTTGGAAAGGATCAGGAGCTCAGTCAGGGAGCTGTCTGGTAGGCAGGTGGATATATTTATCTGGATTACAGAGGAAGGGGCTGGGTTAGAGGTGAACATTTGAGAGTTGTCAGAATATACAAACTGGATGAAATCCACAGGGAGCGAATGTCAATAGAAAGGAAAAGAAGTTGAGGGCCAAAACCTGGGCTGCTTCCACACTGAGATTGAAGAGATGAGAAGGCACCAATAAAGGAGAATGAAGGAAAGCAGCGAATGAGGGGAATCGAGAGTGCGAGGTCTTGCCAGCCATGTGAAAAAACCACTTCAAGCAAGATGAGTCAGATTCTCCCGGGAAGTAAAGTAAAATGAGGGGCAAATGAGATTTGACCCAGGGATTTAGCAATGGAGATGTCATTGCTGAGGTTGATAACCAACTGGGATTATAGTGTAGTAGTGGGGACCAAATGTTGATCAGTGGGTATGTAAGAGAGCGCAGAAGTAGAGAAACGGAAACATCAAATGTAGAAAAATATTGCAAAGATTTTTGCTGTAAAGAGAATGTGAGAAATGTAGCTGCAGGGAGAAATGAGGTCAAGAGATGTTTTAAAAATGCAGGAAGTAACAGCATGTTCGAATACCAATGGGAAAGACAGTAAAGAGGAAAAAAATATGATGCTTCATGTAGTAGCATAATTCCCAAAGGACCTTTGGTGTAATTTAAAACAGCCCAAATCATCTAGCTTACTGTTGTAAACACTAATTTTTGTTAATGCTGTTGATTTTTTTCAACATAAAGTCCTTATCTTCCCATCTCCATCAAAAATCAAAACTGTTTCTTTTGTCTGAGCCGTTAAATAAATGTCTTTTGGGTATGAATTGTGTCTGCTCATCTTGTTCAACCTCAGGGAGTCCCTAGTTCTGTTAATAGTTATGCAATATGCATGGATCTGAGGTACACTCTGTCCACATGTTTTCAGTAACTGATGACTTCTTTAGCTCTCATCTGAGGCACAGATTCCCCACCGTCCATTAAGCATGTATAAGATCACATTTTCCAAGAATTTATTCAGTCAACTAAATGTTCATTGCATGCATTAAACACAAAAGGCCCCATGTTTCCAGGTAGCAACCACAGGGCAACAGATGGGTAATAAGAGTAAGAATTTAAAGAAACCGGTGTCCTTGGATCTTGTGTGGATGACCAGTTGTTTCCCAGACATTACTGTGGAAATCACCTGGGGACATTGTTGAAGTGAAGATTCTGATTCTTTAGTTCTGGAGTGGGGCCTGAGATCTGCATGTTTAACAAGCTACTAGGTGATGCTACGGATGCTGGCTGATATGGTTTGGCTGTGTCCCCACCCAAATCTGGTCTTGAGTTGTAGCTCCCATAATCCCCACGTGTCATGGGAGGGACCTGGTGGGAGGTAATTGAATCATGGGGGTGGGTTTTTCCCTGCTGTTTCTATTGATGGTGAATAAGTCTCACGAGATCTGATGGTTTTATAAAAGGCAGTTCCCCTGCACATGCTCTCTTGCCTGCCACTATGTAAGATGTGCCTTTGGCCGTTTGCTTTCCTCCATGGTTGTGAGGCCTTCCTAGTCAAGCTGAGCTGTGCATCAATTAAACCTCTTTCCTTTAGAAATTACTGAGTCCCGGGCATGTCTTTAATAGCAGCCTGAGAACAGACTAATACACTGGTGCACCTCATTTTGAGTAGAAAGAGATCTTAGGGTAATACTTCCTGGTTTATTTTTCCTCCTTAGATTTTGCTTCTGCTCTTCCTCTACTTCTCTATTATTGCCACATTGGGCCTTTTCCAGCTGGAACTTTCAGACTCAGAACAACAATATATTGTTGTAGCATTTGTTGATAGCATTTCAGTATCTCCGCTTTCCACTCTGCATTTTTATTGATCTTTGCAAAAAAGCTACTGGCGTCTGGGAGTTTTGTTTAGTAATTAGATAGCTGAAGAGACTAGGCCAAGTTTCATTTGCATTATGTAGGGAAGGCCAGACTTCTGGGTCTCATTCACATCCCAAGGCCATATTTGTCCTAGACCTCTGAGTACATGCTTTGGAGCTATAGGCAAAGTCCCAGTACTGGGGCCAATTTGCCAGTTCAGTTGTCAGCTTTTAAATTCTCTGGATTCCTACTTGCTAAGGCCAAATCTCTTCAGTAAACAGCTCCCTTGCTGGAAAGCAGTCCTTTGGCTTTGTTATAAATAAATTTTGTCAGCTTGTGGAAAATAGAATAAACCTTTGAAAGTCACCACTGGCTAATGAAAGCTTCTTAGATGGCTCTAGACTGGACGCGGTACTTAAAAAGTACCTATAAAAGGATATGTCTCGGTGGGGGTTGGAGAAGAGTTTGAAATTAATTATCTGAACTCTGAAAATTCCTGTAAATTCTACATTTAGTTTCTGCTATACTTTAGACCATAGATCTTGTCCTGATTTTAATGAGGCATACTTTTTAGGATCTTCTGTATGGGTGCTATTCAATAGAAATATGATGAGAATTTCACAAGTAAGTTTAAATTTTCTAGTAGCCACATTAAAAAAAAGTAAAAAGAAATCAATGGAAGTAATGTAGGTAATATATTTTATTTAACCTACTGTGTCCGAAATATTGTCATTTTGACAAAAGCTTAGTGATAATTTATATTCTTTGCTTGTACTTAGAAATCTGGCCTATATTTTACACTCACAGCACATCTGCCATATTTCAGGTGCTAAATGGCCCCATGTGACTGTCGTATTAGACAGCACAGGTGTATATGCAGAGCAGCTGCAGGTATGACAAGCACAGTTTTATTTGTTTCTTTATCTCATAATTCTCTGTTAATACCAACACATGATTTGCTGTAGTGAGGCATATATGGTTAGTTAAGTATTAAAATAAAGATGGATTTTTTTACAGTAATCTTAAAATCTACCGTAAAAACAAATGGATGTTTCAGAAAATAGATAATTATAAATATGCAGAGAATACAAACATGTTGATTGACTTCAGCAATGGCTAACAGAGATGAGGACCTATAAAAATTGAAAATGTCTGAGACTTCCAGATAATACATTTTTAGCAATGTTGTTTAGGATAATTTACTGCCCCTCATAAGGTAGATAGGTCCTGTCATGACTCACATTTTATAGATGTGAAGCCTGAGACCAGAGAGGTTAAGTAATTTGCCTTAGATCACACAGTGGGTAAGTGGTAGATCTAGGATACGGAACTCTAGTCAGTCCGGTTCCAGAGCTCACTCCCTTCAACTCTGTGCCAGACTGCCTTCTCAGCACATGTCAGTGATACATACATTTGCTTCATCTTTTAAATGGTATGATTGAGGGATAGTGCTCTTTAGCTGAAAAAAGTGATTGATATAATCAAATTATATTGATATAATCAAATTGTTTGATATAATCAAATTGTTCTGGAAAACAGAGGATAAATTAACTCCTTAAATAAATCATACCCTGTTTGCCATTAATTTAAGTCTTAATTTCAGAGTTACTTTATCTTGGTTTCTGATTGATCTTCGATTTAAATTGAGCCTCAGCATTTTTTCTACCTATCCCTGATGTGGGGAAAAACAGCTAATAATGTATAAGGCAAACTTTCAGTGTTATTGAGAGCTAAAGCATACAACTGAATTGGGGGGATAAGCTCTAATACTCATGAAATAGTATTACAATTTATTGTTACTAGCAATCACAGCAGCAGTAGCCATTTATTGAGAGGTTACTATCTGCCAAACCTTGTGTTAAGACTTTACACTCATTATCTTATTTAACTGTTAAAGCAATGCTGTCAAGTTGGTTTTATCTTCATCAATAAATAAGTGCCAGAAACAGTGCCACTATACTCTGAAACAATGAGACTCTGAGAATTATTTTATTGGATTCTGGGTGTCACATTTAAAGGGGGACATTAACAGTGAACAGGTATGTGAGTGGTGAAAAAATCATGTGATGTCAGGAGAGGTCATAGAACTGTGATCTTTAACCTAAGGAGAGAAGACTTAGTGGACGTAATAGTTACCAGTAAGTGTTTGGAATAAAGAATATGATCTAAAGAGAAAACTGACTCTGGCAAAAGGAGTACACTCACTCTGTCTTTCTCTGAGGACTACAGAAAAGACATTTACAAGATTTTCTTATTTTGGATTTTAATCCAATTTTAATGGGACAGAGGCTATGTCACTCCCTAGATATTCTGGATTAAATTATTGCATTTGGAAGATTTGGATTATACAAGAAATTAGGAATTGACCTTTGGATGAGGTGTCTATTTCTGATTTTGTAATAAATTGCGTCCTTTAATCAGATTATTTTTATGATAGAAATAATTATTGAGTTGTTTTGTCAATTAAGTTGGAGATTGTGATTAATAATACAATATCAGAGCTCAGACGGACCTTAGAAATCTTGGAGTCTCATGTCATTTTGCAAATGAGGAAACAGAAAGAAAATGAATTAAGGACAAAGTTGGACAAGTACTCAGGTGTTGACTTCAAGTCCACTACTTAAAAAAAATTATGGTTTCTAATGTATGGATGAAGAAGACTGAATCATTTCTAGTACATTTTTAAAGGTCCTGTTGAATCTTCTTCAGAGTTAACAAAATGAAGTAGCCTGAAGTTCATTTGTTCTAATTAGGGCACACTTGAGTCCTTTTTGGTTATCTTATCTGAACTTGGAGTTCAGTGATTTTCCTAAAGAAAAGCTTTCAGTTCGTCAACTTCTTTTATTGTTAGTGTTTTATTTCCCTGGAAACTTGTGCATCTTTTTATTGAAAGGATAAGAAAGGATATAGTGGCTCTCTGAATTTATCCATTCATTCAACAAGTATTTATTGAGGTGTGTGCCAGACACTTCCAAGCACAACTGTAGGGTCATTAGCTTTTACTGTGAGATGAGAAACCATCAAATTGTTTTGAACAGAAGATTAGAAGATTTTTTTTTTTTTTAAGTATCACTAACAAATTAAAAGGATTCCCTGGGAGTTTCAGCAAGCTATAGTCCCACTTGCCTTGATTTAATGAGACATACCTTTTGATCTCAGCACACAATTGGGATTAACTGCAGTTTGAGGTCTGATCCTTATTAGTTATATAACTGAATTCACAATAAAGCCTGAAACTTTTTCATAAAAACAGGGTATAAACCTGTTAAAAATGTTCTACCATAGACTGGTTTGGAAACCATTATGAATTCATGATGGAATTTGACCGACCTAGGTTTGATGGACATTTTCACTGATGATTCAATTTTGGGCAAACGTATTAGTTTTTCTGAGCCTCAGTTTCTTCATTAGTACAATGAGGGTAAAACTTGTTACGTAGGAGTGTTTTTGAGGGTTGAATGATTTAAGGGAAATCGTGATTGTGAAATGCTCAGCCCCATGTCTGGCGCATTGTAAATATTCAATAAAAGCACAGCCATTATTTTGATAATTTAGTCAAGGGGATTTTAAACATGGATAAAAGTTGTTTTGAAGCTAGATTGAGGGTGCTAATTCAGACCCTTAATTTATTTTTACTTTAGAGCTCAGACAAAATGTCTTTAATGCCTTTGTCTAAAGGTCCTGACATTGAAACAAGCATTAAAATGACACCTCTAACTTAATTAACACTGTTTGTTTTGCATGTATATGAATTAGTCTTTTTAAGTGTCACTGGCTGTTTTGGTGGTGTCCCAAATTGACAAATGCTCCCTCCCTCATTCCACAGGTATTACCAATTTTGGACCAATTCTGGTGGTTCAGCTATCAATAAAAGCAGTCAGAGAAGGCCCTGCCTGTAGGTCACAGTTGACCCTAGCCACAGGACACCCAGGGAAGTGGTGTACTGTGAAACCTCCCCAGGGAGTTTCAGGAGTGTGTGTGTGTGTGTGTGTGTGTGTGTATGTGTGTGTGTGTGTGTGTATGTGTGTGTGTGTGTTTTCTGTTGCCCAAGATTATTGTCCGAGAGAGTAAACACATCACCTTATGACTCTGTAGCCAAGTTCACTTCTGTAGTAATTTTTTGTTTGTGTATTTTTACCACTGAAATTCAGTCTGACTTAGTTCAATACTGCATCTAAACCAGTGTGTGGTCAAAAGTATTAAATTTGACTTGCTAATCTCCACGCGGGATGAGGGAGAGACCCTATGTAAAACTGAATTGGGCCCATGTAAAACCCGTGTTTCTGGTGCCCCATTTTCCTTGGGCTCTGGCCGGCAGCTTCTTCTACCCCAGTTATGTATTTCACTTTCCTGGGGCTGAAGTATCAGCTAGCTGAGCTGATAAATTTATCTGGGTTAATAGGAGAGAGTAAGAGGATCATCTGGTCCTTTTAACTGTCTTTGGAGGCAGGATTTTGCTTCCCCCACTCCTCAGTTATTTGAAAGCACTTTGGCAAAACTGAGATCACTGCATGACTGTTAGTGTAACACTGCAGCTTGGTTGATCTGTTCGTGAATGTGATCATCAGGGGAATTACAGATCATGGAAAGGTAGGTGGAGGACAGGCCTCTGGAGAAGGTATTCATAGGCACAGGCAACCTTTTCTGATTGTGTAATTACTTTAAAATATTCTGTTTTAAAAAATTTCAATTAAAATTTGTTTCCTTATTACCAGAAATATCCTGGTAATTGTAGATTGCCCGGGTGGGGATGAGGAGAAGTTGCCAGTTTAAGCCAAACCACATGGAGTGAGAATGAGGGAAAGGTGACTTCAAGAAGAAAAAAGGTGTTCTGTTACCAGGAGAAGGATTGCTGGCCAGGCAGGAACAGCAGATGTCCCTGGCAGATGAAATGGCGCTGGCCAGAGGAAGCATATGCCGTACAGAGGAATATCAAGCACAATGGCCATGGGCAGAAAAGAGCGTCGCATATGAAGAACTGAGAGAAGGCCAGGCGGCGGAGCCAAGTGAGGAAGAGTGGGTGGAGCGGTAGGAATGAAGGCATGGGATTGCAAAGATAAGCTAGGGCCAGACCATGCAGGGCCTTACGGCTAAAGGAGGGTACCTGGATTTTATCCTGTGAACATGGAAGGTCACTGAAGAGGTTTAAGCAGTTTAGCCTTTTAAAAAAATCACTCTGGATGCCCTGTGAAGAACGGATTGAAGAGGGCAAGAAAGGAAGCAGAGGGATTAATCAGTGAGCTTTTGTAGGTGAGAGATGAAGATTTCTTGGACAGGGATGGTGGCAGCTGTGATACAGACAAGTGGAAAGATAAATGAGCCACATTTTGTGTAGATCAACAGAACCTGATGATTGATGGGGTGTAAGGAAAGGAAGAATGACATAGATTTCTGCCTCAATTAATGGGGATTCTTGGAGTTGCCATTTATTGAGATGTAGCACTCTTGTTGGATATTGCTTTGTGTTACATCCTTCCACCTAGACTATAAGCTTCTTAGATCAAAGATAAGGCAGCATTTCATCTTTCTTCACCATTGATTCTAGCACAGTGCTGAGGCATTAGAATAGCCACTTGGTTGGGCATATGTCAGGTGGGAAGTTGATCCAAACCCCACTTGCAGGGTGGCTCTTGAGAGGCAGCTTAAAGGAATAAAAAGTGCCATTTGTTAGGATATTTATTGTTGTTGGTTTTTAGATTTGTTTGAGATGATGCAAGTTATGTAAGAAGAAGGTACTATGAGCATAGAAAATGTAATCAGACCTCAGAACTAAGGAGATTTGCCCAAGATAATTTATTAATAGAGCTGGGACATTCTCTAATCCCTAGTATTCTCATTAAATCATCTAACCTATACTTGCTATTTTGAGTAATTTTTGTTTCCTGACTAAAATCTGTGTTTCTTTTTTCTTTGATGCTCTTCTACATGTTAAAAATAAAACCAAATACCAAATTTATTCACCTTTGATGCTTTGAGCTTCTCAGTTCCTTCTGGTCTCTTTTTGTTTTTCTCCTTTCCAAAACTCATTCTGAAGGACCCATGAAAAGAGACTGAAAGCAGAAGAAATCTGTCCAGTCACTCAGCAACACCTATCTGAGGTAATAAGGCAAATGAAACCACTTCAAAAATTGTCCTAGAACAAAAAATGGCTTCTAGAACATTGTGCAGTGTCTAGCTCCAGTGCACAGGAGGTGCTCACTGGTTATTGAGACTCAGCCCCGCTACCTTGTGTTTTTACATTCATGGCCTTTGTCATCTCTGGCATGCTATTTATTTCTTCATAAGAGAATTTTAAAACTGGAGGAATTGAATAGAGGCCGTCTGAAAAAAGAATACCTACGGAACCCAATTTATCTTTACCTGGAGTCCCGACCATGCAGGCTGCTGTTTATTAGAACACAGTGACAGTCACATGGTGGGCTCGGCCCTGGCTTGCAGTCAGCTTTGAAGCCCCCATGGCAAAATGGCAAGCGCTTACATTCCCGGACAAACACACGCTTTTTATTCCATGTCATTTTTCCATTGCTGTAGACTTGTAAAACAATGGTTAAGAGAATTTCAGAAACCAAAGTTATTTTCCCTGCTCTTATTTGCATATTTCTGTTCCTTAAAAGTTTCTAAGGTAAAAAAGTCCCCAAGTTTGGGGACTCTCTTCCACACCTTCAAATCAACACTTTTTAAACATGTGATAGTGTCATTAATGTTCTTGTGAACAATGGCTTAAGTAGTGTGATTGGAAATAGAGCTCTGGAGGAGCTTGGCATTGGGGGTTGGGTGAGCATTTTTGAGTTGGGTAATTAGTCAGCTACAACCATGTAGAACAGAAGTGATGATTAGACTAATTAGGAAAACCATTTCCTAAGTGCTGTGGTAGACCCAAGGGCAATGGCCTAGAAATGCCGCCTTCCCTGATTTATTTGATTGATGAAAAGCAGGTTTTCCACTTGCGGGCTTATTTATTTTTTAAATTAGAGATTTGTTTGTCTCATTTTCATCTGTTACAGTTTTATTTCCAAGATAACAGAGAGGCAGGAGTGTCTTATTCGCAGTTTGGGAATAGGGCTTTCGTGCTTTTCCTTTCATTCCCTTTACTACACGATTCTAGTGGAGCAGATTTATCAGGGCACTTTTAGTCAAATCTTTGCAAAGGACTCACATGTTTTATGTATTCAGAATTCAATTCAAGCAGCTTTTCTAGTGACAGGCTGCTTTCTGGTCTCCTTTATACACCTAACTTATTCATGTGTATATATATATATGTATTTATTTATTTATTTTTTCTAACATTCATTGGTGCTTACTTTGTGCCAAGCACTATTAAATGCAAGGGATTCAAGTATATCTAGCAATTAAGGGCTTTGTTTTGTTCGGTGTTATTGCCCCATTGCTAGCATGGTGCTTGGCTTATGGTAGGTACTATGTAAATATTTGTTGAAAGAATGAAAAACTTAAAGCCTAGGCCCTTGTTTTGTATTTTTTGTGTACACTCAGATTTAGATTATGTAATTGCAGCTCATTTTGCAAAACGGATTTATTATTTTCTTTCTTTTTCTTTTTTTTTGAGACAGGGTCTTGCTCTGTTGCCTAGGCCGGAGTGCAGTGATGCAGTCACGGCTCACTGCTGCCTCTTGGGCTCAGGTGATTCTCTCACCTCAGCCTCCTATGTAGCTAGGACTATAGCACGTGCCACCACACCTGGCTGACTTTTAAAAATTATCTGTAGAGATGGGGTTTCACTGTGTTGCCCAGGGTGGTCTTGAACTCCTGGCTTCAAATGATCCTCTGCCTTGTCCTTTCAAAGTACTGGGATTACAGGCAGAGATTTTTGGGAGGCCGAGGCGGGTGGATCACGAGGTCAGGAGATCAAGACCATCTTGGCTAACACAGTGAAACCCCATCTCTACTAAAAATACAAAAAATTAGCCAGGCGTGGTGGCGGGTGCCTGTAGTTCCAGCTACTTGGGAGGCTGAGGCAGGAGAATGGCGTGAGCCTGGAAGGCAGAGCTTGCAGTGAGCCGAGATTGCGCCACTGCACTCTAGCCTGGGCGAAAGTGCGAGACTCCGTCTTAAAAAAATATATATAAAAAAAAAAATAAAAAAGAAAATAAATTTCTCTAAAATAAATCTCATTTATTTCCTGGTAGTTTTAAAATTTAAGCTAAACCTCAAAAAATTTTCTTCTAAAACATAATAAATAATACCGTGAGTGTTGTATATCTTTTAAAAACAAAAGGGTGGAGTGAAAATGTTTTACCAAATTATTAGGTATAGTTTGCAAAGCACTATTATGCATAGTATGTTGTTCGCCTCCCTGTGACGGCACCATTAACCCATTTGTGCCGGAGGTTGCAAATTTTTTTTGTGAAAAGATCAGACCTTGGCGATGACCTTGAGCAGTAGGATATACATAACTCCCACAAGCTTAGCGTTCCATTAATGGAACACTAAGCATAAATGGGTTAAAGTAGGCCCACGGTGTGTGAGGTCCAGAAAAGTGAGTTGATTTTTTTCCTCAAGTCCTCATGGATTAGGCGTGGGAAGAAGTTCCTTATCTGCCCACTGCTGGCTCTTTGTTCTGCCTCATCTTGGTCTTCCCTTAATGGAGTACTCTCTTTTGTACCCAGTTTGCAAATGGCTACGTTAGCCCGTTGGGTTTAAAGAATACTTTAGGGGCATTCAGCGATAAGTGAAGTGTCTAACTCTTCAAAAAGAGCCATAGTAATATATCTGCTGACCGGATAAGGAAATACAGCACCATTAATAAAATGCTTGTGAGATTTTTTTTTTCAAACATTGAACTTTTTTTTTTTTTTTGCTGAGACCATTTTATCTCAAGAAAGAGCTTATGGACTTCCTGAGAATGTGTAGTGAAGCAGAAAAAGCCAGAGAGACCTTACTGAATTCCCTGATCCTTGAGTGTATCTTTCGGATACAAAATGGGGTAATAATACCAACCTTGCAAGCGTGTTCTGGGAATTAAATCAGAAACACAGTGCAACTCATATGAGGTACCCAGTATTTGACAGTAAAGGCAAAATAAAAGCACTAACAAAAACAAGTGAAAAACTTAACACCAAGGGGCGAAAACAATTTATGTGCCTTTGAAAACTTGATAACTGAAGTTCTAATGACAGTCATTTATATCTATTCATTAATGCAGTTTCTCCAGGGACCTCTACTGTTAATCCAATTTCAGTTATTCTCTGTATGTGAAAGCATCAAAATTATTTTCTTTTTAAGATAAAACTCCTAAATTCATTTTGACCTTGCACAATTAATCTAAGTTAATGAGGTTTTGTTACATCATTATCCAATGTGTATTTTAAGGTTCTACTGCTGTGCTACCCTACATTTTGTGACCTAGGAATTTTAGATACAACTGTAATCTTGGTCTTTAAATAGAACTTTGAGTAACAAAGTGAGGTAGGATATTGACAGCAAACTATAATAATAAAATGTAATTATAATATAATACTATTAATTTAGAGTTAGAAAGTATCCATTAAAAAAAGTATCCATGAATGTCCAAACTAAATAGGAAATATTTATTTGGCTTCTAGGAAAATGAAATACATCATTCTAATATTTTAATATTTAGAAAGAAAAGATCTCATTACAACTTAAAAAATGATTTTTTACTGATAAGTGCCATTGACTTCATTGAAATGCCTGCTTTTAGTAGTCAAATCCCAGAAGAAAATGCTATTTTTAGGAGTATGTTTAACTGAAAAAGCTCATATTTCTATTCAAGTTTAGGCAATTACTCTTGACAAAAGACAAGTAAACTAATGTTTCATGATAAAGTCCCCAAGTATCTCAGACTTAAGCAAAGACCCCAAATCATAGTTTGTAGCTTTATTGCAGCTTTCATTCAAAATATGTTTTATATCATCTCTTAACTAGGGAATTCCTGGTGCCTTCCTATTAGGATAAATAAGCAAGAAACACAATAGGACAGTGATTGTATTCTTAAGTATTAGGGAATTTAGGGCCCCAGATATTCTATATGCAGACCTCTGTGCTTGTGTTTGTTCATTTTAATGAGACTCCAAAGGCTCATAATTTTACAGGAGGTATAGTGTTTCAGTTCCAGAACCAGGTAAAGACAGGGCAGCCCTCCACTCTATAAAAGCAAAGGATGACCGGGCGCGGTGACTCACGCCTGTAATCCCAGCACTTTGGGAGGTCAAGGCGGGCAGATCATTTGAGCTCAGGAATTCGAGACCAACCTGGCCAACATGGCGAAACCCCATCTCCACTAAAAATATAAAAATTAGCCGGGTGTGGTGGCGGGCACCTGCAATCCCAGCTACTCCGGAGACTGAGACACGAGAATCGCTTGAACCTGGAGGGCAGAGGTTGTAGTGATCCAAGATGACGCTACCGTACTCCAGCCTGGGCAACAGAGTGAGACTCTGTCCCCCCACCGCCAAAACAAAAAAGCGAAGCGTGATGGGTCAGGGTTAGGACCATTTCCTGGTGACATTGAGCTGGTTAAGTTGGTGGATCTATGAGGGGAAACTGGCTGCCTTCACAGCCTCCAAGGTCTTTGCCTTGTGCACTGCAGCTTGGCCGTACTACCCCACAGTCAGGTTGGCAGAAGTATGATCTTTTTTGTCTGTCTTATGGGATAATAGTGAATATTTACTTTTATTATTTGGAAAATTTCAAATGTGAAAAAATTTAAAAACCTCAACATTTTTGTAGCTACAATTAAGGAATTATAATACAATTTGGTAAGACTACAAAATTCACAAAATTATATTGTGGCCTCATTTTAAAAACTGAAAGTTGTTCCTTCAAATGCTCAAATAGTTTCTTTGATAACATTTTTTGAGAGCATTCTTTAAAAAATGTATTACTGCCCCATTTTTTTGGTATTTTTAATGTATGCACTTAATACTGTTTAACTTTTTAAAATAATTCTGGTTGATTGTTTTCAAATATTTTAATGCAGTGATGTTGTCTTCATGGGCTATAAATTTGTACCATAATGTAAAGACATTATGTTAGGATCATTTTAATGTATGAATACCTGGGCTTTAAGTAAGGATCTGTTGAGAATTGTGTAGTTCAGTTATGTGGTTTAACAACTAGAGAGTCAGCTCTATTGTAAACATGTAGGCATAGCTTGTTTTATTGTGCTTTGTAGATATTATTATTATTATTATTATTATTATTTTAATTGAAGGGTTGTGGCAACTTTGTGTGGAGCAAGTCTTTCAGCATCATTTTCCCACTGTGCTCACTTTGTGTCTCTCTGTCACCTTTTTGTAATTCTTGCGATATTTTAAACTTTCTCATTATTATTATTATACCTATTGTTATGATCTGCGATCAGTGATTTTTTTTTTTTTTTTTTAAATAATGAGATAGTGTCTCACTTTGTTGCCCAGGCTGGAGTATGGTAGCACAATCATATTTCACTGCAATCTTGAACTTTTTTGGGCTCAGATGATCCTCCTGTCTCAGCCTCCTTAGTAGCTGGGACTACAGCACATGCCACCATATCCAGCCGGTTAAAACATTTTTTTTTTTGTAGAGACGGCGTCTGGCTATGTTGCCCTGGCTAGTCTCCAGCTCCTGGACTCAAGCAATCCTCTTGCCTCAGCGTCCCAAAATGGTAGGATTACAGGCATGAGCCACTGCACCAGTCAGTGATTTTTGATGTTACTCTTGTAATTGCTTTGGGACACCAAGAACTGTGTCCATGTAAGATGGAGAACTTAAAAATTGTCGTATGTTTTGGCTGCTCCACGACTGGTCCTTCCCCTGTCCCGCTATTCCCTGAGACACAACAATATGAAATTAATCCAATTCATAACTATATAATGGCCTCTAAGTGTTCACGTGGAAGGAACAGTTGCATGTTTTTCACTTGAAATCAAATAAATGATTAAGCTTAGTGAGAAGGGCGTGTTGAAGCCAGGCCAAAAGCTAGGTCTCTTGCACCAACAGTTAGCCAAGTTGTGGATATAAAAGAAAAGTTCTGGAAGGAAATTCAAAGTGCTTCTTCAGTGAATATGTGAAAGATAAGAAAGCAGAAGCCTTATTGCTGATATGGAGCAAATCTGAGTCATCTGAATGGAAGATCAAATCACTACAACATTCACGTAAAACAAAACCTAATTCAGAGCAAGCCTCCAATTCTTGGCTGAGAGAGGTAGAGGTAAGGAAGCTGCAGAAGAAAAATTGGAAGCTAGCAGACATTGGTTCATAAGGTTTAAGGAAGGAGGCCATCTTTATAACATAAAGGTGAAGCAGCAATTGCTCATGTAGAAGCTGCATCAAGTTATTCAGAAGATCTAGCTAAGACCATTGATGACTGAGGCTATGCTAAACATCACAGTTTCAATGTAGACAAAACAGCCTTCTATTGGGAAAAGATGCCGTCTGGAACTTACATAGCTACAGAGAAGTCAATGCCTGGCTTCAAAGCTTCAAAAGACAGGCTGACTCTTGTTAGGGGCTAATGCAGCTGGTGACTTGAAGTTGAAGCCATTGCTCATTTACCATTCTAAAAATCCTAGGGCCCTTCAGAATTATGCTAGATCTACTCTACTTGTGCTCTATAAATGTAACTACCAAGCCTGTATGACAGGACGTCTATTAGCAGCATGGTTTACTGAATATTTGAAGCCAACTGTTGAGGCCTGCTGCTTAGAAGAATATTTATTTCAGAATATCACTGCTCTTCAGCCATGCACCTAGTCACCCAAGAGCGCTTATGTAAATCTACAAGGAGATGTATGTTGTTTTCATGCCTGTTAACTCAGCATTCATTCTGCAACCAATGACTCAAGGAGTAATTTTGACTTTTGAGTCTTATTATTTAAGAAATATATTTCATAAGTCTGTAGCTGCTATAGATAGTAATTTATCTGATGGATGTGGGCAAAGTCAATTGAAAGCCTTCTGAAAAGAATTCACCATTCTAGATGCCATTAAGAACATTTGTGATTCATTGGAGGACATCAAAATACTAACATGAACAGGAGTTTAGAAGAAGTTGATTCCAACCCTCATGGATAACTTTAGGGGTGAGTTCAAGACTGCAGTGGAGAAAGTAGCTACAGATTTGATGGAAATAGCAAGAGAACTAGAATTAAAAATGGAGCCTGATGATATGACTGAATTACTACAATTCCAGGATGCACCATTAGTGGATGAGGAGTAGCTTCTTATGAATGAACAAACAAAGTGGTTTCTTGAGATGGGATTTACTCCTGGTGAAGATGCTGTGAACATTGTTCAGATGATAACAAAGGATTTAGAATATTCCATAAACTTAGTTGATAAAGTAGTGTAGGGTTTGAGAGGATTGACTTCAGATTTGAAAGAAGCTCTACTGTGGGTAAGATGCTGTCAAACAACATTGTATGCTACAGAGAAATCTTTTGTCTTAAGAGACCATTGATGTGACAAACTTCATTTTTGTCTTATTTTTTAAGTTGCCACAGCCACCTCAGCCTTCAGCAGCTACCACCCTGATCAGTCAGCAGCCATCAGTAATGAGGAAAGACCTTCCATCAGCAAAAAGATTACAACTTACTGAAGCCTCAGATGATTGTCAGTATTTTTTTTAGCAATAAAGTATTTTTTAATCAAGATGTGTACATTGACATTGTTTTCTTTTTAGACAGAATGCTCTTCCACAGTTAATAGACTGCAGTATAGTGTCAACAACTTTTATATTCACAGTGAATCACTGGAGTGATTCACTTTATTGTGATGTTTGCTTTATTGTGATATTCACTGTATTGTTGTGGTCTGGAATTGAACCCACACAATCTCCAGAGTATGCCTGTATATACAGAATCTTAACAGGAAGTCTTCTAAATACTTTTCAAGTGCTAGCTTACTTGTTCCTTATAACAACCTGATGAGTTTGTTTTATGGTTATCTCTATTTTCCAAAGACACAGGGATGTTGAGTACCTTATCCAAGGTCACCCACTAGTAAGTGATAGAATCTGGGCTTCAATTCATTTAGTCTGGCACTGGAGCCTGCACTCTTTAAATCACCATAGTAGTCTTTCTGCTTCAATAATGAGTGGACTTTTTTTGTATGTGTGTTGGGGGGTGACCTGTGACTTTTCTTGCGTCTTTCCTGATTTTTACATGTCTTGAAACCACTATATTTCATTCATCTGTTCATTCAACAAATATTTATTGAGTATCCATTATGTGGTGCTGAGGGCTAGCAGTGTCCTGGTGGACCCTTATGTTACAGCCTAGGTGCCCAGCAGTCATTGACTGTTTTAACTTAATGTCTAGGAGGGAAGACAGACATAACAAAGGGAAACTCACGGGGGAGGGGAGCAGGGACAGGGGAGCCAGGGTGCAAATAACTCTGAAACTAGGACCTGAGAGGTGTAAAAGATTTAGCCAGGTTGGGAAGAGGGTGTGAGGAGAAGAGGGTGGTATTCCAGTTGGGGGAGTAGCTAAGTGCGAAGACCAGCGATCAGAAGCTGTGAAAAGAGTTCAGGGAACTGAAAGAGGTTCACTGTGGCGGAAGCACTCAGTGTTCCGAATTAGGAGTGGGGATGGTGAAGGGTGTAAATAGTATTCAGGTGTTTTAAGATCAGGCAGAAGCGTCAAATAACTGATTAACTTTACACTTTGATCAGTTGGATATGTTTATTGTAATTTCTAGGATAATGAAAGCCCAAAAGCAGCATATAGCATCTAAACTTGAGCGTGTGTGGAGGGAGAGAGGGAAAAATAAAAACAAAACTAAGTCAAAAAGAGGCAAGAAAGGAGAGAAGGATAAAATAGATGAGATGAATAGCACAAATAAGATGGTAGATGTAAACCCTAATGTATTTGTAATTATATTAAATGTGTATGTTCTAAATGTACCAATTAAAAGATAAAAGATTGTCAGACTGATAAAACCCAACCAACCAACCAACCAACGAACCAACCAACCAACCCAACTAGGTGCTACTTTCACTTGACAGAGAGGGAATACCTCCAGGAGATGAGAAATGACAAGAGGTGACCATAAGATAAGCTACCTCCATCTCCTTCCCTGTCTGTCTACCCTGGAAGCCACCACATTCTTAGGAAAGCCACTGGACTTCCCACTCTAAGTGCAGCGGAGGTGATCCTGGGAGATTAGCACTGTCTGGGTTACTCAGGTCTGGCTTTCTCACCAGCTTGTGAGGAACTTTTTGGCAGAGGTGGAGTCTCACTCACATACCTCGTGCCTTCCATAGTGTTTGGCAGACAGTAGGTCTTTAAGTAGCATTTATCATGTGTGTACATTTGATTTCCATATGAGATTGTAAACTCTTTGCAGGGCAGAGAACCTGTTACACCTTTGAGTTTTCCATAATATCTGCTAAAACATAGATCAGTGTATAATTGCCAAAACATAGATCAGTGTATAATGAGTGATTCTTATTTAATTCTGTCAAGATTAAATCTGATTTCTGTAGAAGGATACTGTTCCACCTTTCAATGATTTGGAGGTTTGTTTCCACAGCAGAGAAGAAATAAAAACCACTTTCTGCAATAAAGACCTGATAACCTACTTTTTCTTAAGTAGATTTTACAGTAGGAGAGTATATTCTTTTATTTGTTCTTTTCTTTCTTTTAGTTGTAGCAAGAATTTCTATTAAACTCCTCTCATTGGGCCAGAGACTCTTGTGGTGTTAGTGAAAAACTTGTCCCTTGCGTAACACCCTGTCTACACTTGTGAGTTCATTGGCCAGTCACTGGCCTCAACTCCGAGCTCTAACAAGAAGAATATATTCATTTTTATTTTAAAGAGCATGATTTATTTAATATAAAAATAAATGCTTCACTCATGTATAAGCTGTAAGGAGATATTAGTAGTAAAATAATAAAAATATTTTCCTTGGAAGAACTGTGGGCAGACCATATCAAAACAGCAATTTCTGGTTTTGGAATGAAAGATACTATTGATTCTATTAATCCAAATGCCAACAGTTCTCTGGTTGAGTAAGAATGTGCTCCCTAAGAGAAAACTCACTTGGCATCATGTAAGAGCTGCTCATTATGAATAGAAAGAAATTACATAATCCAAAGTGAAAGCAAGTCATTCTGCTTTTAATTACAGTGTATAAAAATTAAAACATGGGCCGAGGGTCTAGTTGGATATACTTCTTGGCAACAGACATTTTGGAAGCCTGCAATGAAAAATACAACAAAGATGGCTATGTGCTGGCCGCCCCCCAGTGTCTTGGTGGTTTCCCGTTTAGTGACTGTATTCAGTTATTGTGAAATCACAGAATTTTAAAGCAGGAAAAAGACCTCAGAAGTCTCTTCTTACCCATTCGTCCTCCAGATGAGAAAATAAGCCCACAGTGGTAAAGGGATTATAGTGAGGTCATATAGCGAACTCCAGAAGGAACACAGGCATCTGGACTCCTGTCTGGCTTTCTTTGAGACTGAACTGCTTCACTGCTGCCTGGAAGCTCTTCTGTGGTTGTGGCTTCTTGCTGGCCTTAGTGTAGTGATAAGGGGGTGGGAATGAGGGTAGAGGGTAGGAGAGAGGAAGGGAGAGAGGTTGAAAGAGAGAATGAGTCATTGTCATTGAGAGGGATTGAGAGACAGAGAAGATGATAGAGAAAGACGTATGTCTGCTTTGCTGCTTCTCAGAAGTGGTACCAATAAAGCAGTGCTCTGAAGCAGTGTCTGCTGCATCAGTGAGCTGCGGAGCCTGGCAGTGGTTGAGGTGTGGGAACATTCTATACCTGCCACTGGCTCCTCCTCATTCCTGCGCTGTAAACCCCATGTTGAGGTTACTGTGTCTGTGTTTATTGCCTCTAGTCCAGTCCAACCATAGATGTAGCCATCTCAGGTTATGGAGAGATGTTAAGGAGAGGAGGGGCAAATTGAAAGGTGCATGTTTTAGAATTTGTTAATTTTCAGATTTTTTGAATCTTAGCAAAAGGATTTCCTGAGTATAACCTCACGTTTCCCTTTCTACTTCCAAATCTGAACAAAATCCTGTGACCTTCCTTGCTTACTCAGAGCTGGACATAGTAAGAGAAGTCATCATGCAAAATGATTTTCTGGAAGTATTTTGAATGTTTTAGTTATTCTTTCCCAGTTCACTCAGAGTCCGTTATGGATTTGCTGCTGTGAAAAAAGTGTTGAAACCCAGCGTGTGGACGTGCAGTGTTGCTTTTAGCCTTGCAGGCAGTGCCCTCTGGCCTTTTCAGCAAACTTCAGCTCTGAGCTGTGTTACCTGCTTTGGCTCCTATTGCATTTACCTGGGGCGAGATTCTGGCTTTCAAATTCCTCCCTAAAGTCAGGTGGGAGCCTGGCCCAATGGAGAATGGCAGTCTTAGGTACTGATGATCAATTGCTGTTTTCCTTGCTAGCGTCATGATATCGAACGTATGGGTTCTCAGTAAATCATGTATTGTTCACTTGTTTTTGCTCAAAAGTCCATCTCTGGTTACATCATTGGAAGCCTCTCAGTTTAACCTCTTCCTTTGTGACTTCTATGCTTGGAAATAAATTACGACAGTTAAAATCTTATTGCATAAGTAATGTGTGTTGATTTTAGGAAAATCAGAAAATAGGGATAAGTAAAAAGAAGAAAATATAAATAATTTATAATCCATCTCCCAGAGAGACCACTGGTAATATTTTAGTGCATGTCTAAATTTTTAATGTACACTTATTTACATAACATTAAATATATTTTAATAAAAATGACTTTGGGCTGTATATACTGTTTTTTACTAACATTTCTCATATGACATGTTCTATACATCTCTCATATCAGAATACAATTTTGTATTTTCAAAAGACAAATCTCTCTATCTTTTTAAATACAGATAAGCATAAAGAAAATAAAAAGGCCCATTATCTCTCAGTCCATGTGACATGTTAAAATGATTAGTAATAAAGCAAATAACATTAGTTGGCTGCTGACTATATGCCAGGGGGACTGTTTTATCTGTTAGCTCCTTTAATCCCCACAAAAGCCATCAGAAGTAGTTGCTATTATTAATCCTGTTTTACAGATGAGGATACTGAGGCTAAGTGTTTAATTCCCAAAGCCATACAGCTAGTAGGAAATGAGCTCAGATAGTCTGGCTCAAGAACCCAATTTTTTTTTTTTTTTTTTTTTGAGATAGGGTGTTGTTCTGTTGCCCAGGCTAGAGTGCAGTGGTGCAGTCTCAGCTCACTGCAACCTCCGCCTTCTGTGTTCAAGCGATTCTCCTGCCTCAGCCTCCCAAGTAGCTGGGATTACAGGCATGTACCAGCACACCTGGCTAATTTTTGTATTTTTAGTAGAAATGGGGTTTCACCATGTTGGCCAGCCTGGTCTCCAACTCCTGACCTCAGATGATCCACCCACCATTTCTTAACCACACTCATACCGTTAGACTTTAAAAACAAAGTCAAACAATAGTCTTTCTCTATTTTTTAAAAAATCTTTCTCTATCAGCATGTACAGAACTACCTCATTCTCTATAACAGCCACATATACGTCCTTTGTATACTTTGGTTTAACTGTCCCCTTAACTATTGATGGACAATTTGATTGTTTTCAGATATTTGCAATTACAAGCAATGCGGCAATATTGTCATACTAATGGTACTGTTTATTGAGTGATAAAATCAGCTACTATGGATAAATGCATAGAACAGTGCCTGCTACATAGTACGATCTGTGATTTATATTATTATTAGTAATACTGCGTGCCATGCACTATGCTTGAATTCTCAAAATATCCCTATGAGGTAGATTATTGTTATTATCCCTGTTTTACCTTTGAAGACATTAAGACATAATGAGGTTAAATAGTTCTTGTGTCATGTAGTAAGTGAAATCTGTGATTTGGACCCTTTTGGAACTTGGCTACTGCTAACTACATATTCCCAGCTTCAAGGGGGTCAGAGATGGAGAAAGCCTTGGTATTGGTAAACATTAGTAATGTCCACATATACTCCTACCACAAGGGTATGAAATTGCCTGTGTCACTGTACCTTTCTAGTCCTGGGTATCACAGATGCTACAATTTTTAATTGGTGAAAAATAGTATTTCAATGTAATTTGTAATTTATTTAATAATAAGGTTATACAATGTATCTTTATTGGGCATTTGTATTTCTTTTTTTGTGAACTGTCTTCGTGGTTTTATTGGATAGTTTTATTTTTAATAATTTTTATAAGCTCTCTGTAAAATAAAGAAATTAGATTTTGAATTCTCCTATGCATTGCAAATGTCTTTCTAGTATAAGCATTTTAATGACTGTATTTTACATTTTATGGTGATATTATAGTTTATGTGAATGGTGGGACTTTTGTTGCTTACAGTTTTTCATTACAATGCTGTCAAGAGCATCCATTTATTATTTTCTCTGGAAATTTCTTAGAAGTGTAAATGGTGGATGGAAGGGAATATACATTTTTAAGGCATTGATTCGTATTTTCTGTCTCTCTAGAAGAATGATAAAAGTAGGTTGACCATCAGGGTATGTCAGGGTGCCTATTTCTCAATAACCAATGATATTACATAATATTATTTTTAAAACTCTTGGCCAATGTGTATTTTTTTTTATGAGTTAGCATTGAGACATTTTCCATATGTTTATTTGCAGTTAGTATTTCTTCCTTTGTGAATTGCCTGTTCATGCCTTAAGAAGGATTTTGACTATATGTGCAATTTTTAAAATTTTGTAAAATCAGTTATCTAACAGTGGAATGAACCTTCCCAACACTGATGGTATTAGAGCAAAAGATACTGGAACTGTTGCAGGAAAGGAATGAATGTTTATTAATTTACTATCATAAGTCAACCTTTATACTTGTTATCTCTTTTACTCTTTCTATTTTAATCTTATGGATAAAGAATGAGGGACTTGGGTAAGCCAAGTGACTTATCTCTAGTTCCATAGTTGTAAATGGCAGAAATCGGCTACAAACGCTCTTCTGCGTGACTTTTAGCATATGCCTTCCATCCCACCAATTATAGCCTTCTACTCCTGAGCCATACAGAATCACATCAGTAGTAAGTTAGCTGGCTGAAGCCTATGGTACATATTGGCAAAAAAAAAAAAAAAAAAAATTTCAGAAAATGTTTATCTAGAATTATTCTGTGCATTTCAGAAACTTGGTGTTCTTTTATTTTTATTTTTCTGCAACTATTTTATTAAGTACCCTGATATATTAGGGATGTAGAAAACGGGGGGACTAGGCAGAGACCTTTTCCTTAATAGCTCTGAGCTTTTCCTCTTCCCCACCCTTCCAACCCTTGTCCCTTTTGAAAGCTTTGCTTCCCACCTGCCACCCAGCAGGCCTCAGCACTGCAGGGAGTGAAACCTCTGCCAGCCTCTTGTCCTTTCCTCACTGTTGTGTTTCTTTTCATACTCTGGTACTTAGAATGTCGCTTTTTCTCTTTCTCCAATGCCATGGCAACAGTGCATGGTAACTGCTTCCCTTCTGGTCAAGGAAAAAGATTTTGTATTTTTTTTTCCCTTTGACCTGTTTGTAATTAGCACTGCGGTCCACCCTTTCCTCCAGTGAAAAGCAAGGAAATACCAGGCTGTAGTCAAGACTGCAGGACCTGCTGGATGTATAGCTAGCAGGTCTTCTGTGCTCCTTTGCAGCAGTTTAAACCCAAGCCCAGCCTGATCATTGATTCTGAAACAGCACTCAACCCTCCACCCCTGTTCCCCTGCCCCTTCACTGTTTTTTGTTTTTTTTTTTTGACTTGATGTGTTATATTGGAGGTTGGTTCCTTCAGTCTCCCTGCACTAGAATGTAGGGTCCAGGGGAGTGGGGTTTCCTTTTGCTTGTTGCTCTGTGTGTTCCCTGGGACTAGCGCGTAGTGGGGCTCCCTGAGTTCTTGCCGAATGGCACAGGATTTGGTAGTGGAAAGCCTGATTTCATTTCATAGAATTTGCTCTCCTTGCGTCTTTTTCTCTCTTAAAGGCAGTGTCTGCATTCTATGTGGCCCTCCCTGGGAAATGTCAGTTTCAGAGGATTTTGAAGTCTATCAGATCCCAGGGCCTGAGCCAAGTCAGAGCCTAGTTGGAGTGCATTGTAATTGACATAAAAGATTTGCATTTGAAATAACTCAGAGGTTGGTTTGAATCCTGTTCCCCACATGTTTTTAGTCACTGTCTGAGTTTGAGGAAGGCTTTTTGAGCCTTTTTCTTTATCTGTAACATGGGCATAATAATGCCTACCTTGGCTTGAAGTGAAGATTAACTCTGACAATCTATGGAGAGAACTGGTACATAGAAAAATAAATGATGGTGGTAATATGGTTATTAGTATTTTCGTTTTCTTCTGTGTGATTTTCTATTGGTAAATGGAGTTATTTTATCATTTGTATTGTAGGCTACTCAATGGTTAAAAGCTAGATTGGGTGGCTTTGGAGTGTGATGGTCTGGGATCCTGTCCTGCTACTTAACAGCAATGTGACACTGTGCAAGAGCAGGCCTCCATTTGTAAAGAACAGTAAATGGTCATAATAGCAGTATCGACCTCAGAATGGACAGAAAGATTTGATCAGCACAAAGTTTGGTTCATAGTAAGTCCTTAGTAACTCATATTCTATAGTTTAATAATAACAGCAGAATGAAAGAAGCTTAAACTTCATCTAGTCCAACTCTAATACTCCCACTTCATGTCTAATTCTGCCATCTAGAGCAATAGAGATCCAATTGGTATCCTTTTCAGATATGGCCTTTCATATACTTAGGATTGAGTCCTGTTATGAACTGACTTGTATCTCCCTAAAATTCACATGTTCAAGTTCTAACCCATAGTGTGCTGACTGTATTTGGAGGTAGGGCATTTGAGGAGGTAGTTAAGGTTAAATGGGGTCATAAGGATGGGCCCCTAATCCAGTAGGACTGGTGTTCTTCCAAGAAGAGGAAGAGACACCAGAGTGTATACACACAGGAAAGACCATCTGAGGACAAGAGCAAGAAGGTGGCTGTCTCCAAGCCAGTAAGAGGGCCGCCACCAGAATCCAACCCAGATGGCACCATGCTCTTGGACTTCCAGCCTTCAGAACTTTGAGAAAAATGTCTGTTGCTTAAGCCACTCAGTCTTCTGTCTTGTTATAGCAGCCTAAGCAGACAAATCTAGATCCCTTTTCTTTTCTTATGTCATCATCCCCATCTTGAGGGGGTTTTCAGTTGCCTCTTCATCATTGTCACCCTTGTCTCAATACTTTCACGTGTCAGTGTTCTTTTCAAAATGGGAAACCTGGAGATGAACTCAGAACCCCCAGATGGTCCAAGCATTTTGGGTGCCGGACACTGCCCTTACAGTGGAATCGCAGATTGTGTGAGGTAGTCCATCGAATAAACCCCCAAGACTCAGGTCTACATTATCCTATATTGGGTCTGTTATTTTTGTCCAAATTCGAAGTTTTGTCTTGTTAATTTCAGCTTTTATTTGTTTCAGAATCTAGAAAATCATTTTTTTAAAACCTCGTTGGACAGGACCTTTGAAGGGTGGCCCAGCCAGCCTACCTACTTGCCCAGTGATGCTTTCCATGCTGTGTGTCTTAGTTTGAGCTGCTGTAGCAAATTATCATACACAGCGTAGCTTAAACAACAAACATTTGTGTCTCACAGTCCTGGAGGCTGGAAGTTTGAGATTAGAATCCTTGGTGAGTGTCCTCTTTCTGGTTTACATGTGTCCTTACATGGTGTAAACAGAGTTACCTAGTTTTCTGGCCTATTTTTATGAAGGCACTGATCCCATTGATGAGGGCTCCACCCTTATGACCTAATTACCTTATGAAGACCCTACCTCCAGATACCATCATACTGGGATTAGGGTTTTAATGTATGAATTTGGGGGGAACACATTCAGCACATTGCTCTCTTCCTAGCAGTGGCTGCCTCCATTGGTGGAGGTACTGTTTTGTTGTGAAACTTGTTCCGGGGTTGGATTCCTTCAAATGTTCCCAGGAATTAGCTATGTTGAGTCAAAATCTGACCCTGTGATAACTGCTGCTCTTTGATCACATCTGTCTGTTTGTTATTCCTGCACCTGGCAGTCTCTTACAGACTCCCTGCTCCCCTCCTGTTACCTGTTCTGAACATTATAACAGCGTTGTATTTAGTATCATTGCAGAAAATCAATTCCATTTGCTTTTCACAAGTGGAAATTAGACAAATGGATCTGGAAGTACATAAATAAAGTAGGAGCCTAGTTGACAGAAGGACACTCTATTTGGTTTGTTTTAATGAATAGCTTTCATCAGATCATACTCTATGAAAATAGATTGAGGAAATAGGCTATTCATTCCTTATTATTTGAATTAGTAAGAGTCATACCTTTCTTTTCTGTTTAGGATGATAGGCATTAAATCTTCATCTGACTCTTTATAGTATTTTGTTTATTTTTATTTTTTTTGACAGTCTTGCTGTGTTGTCCAGGCTGGTGTGCTGTGGCGTGATCTCGGCTCACTGCAACCTCTGCCTCCCAGGCTCAAGCGATTCTCCTACCTCAGCCTCCTGAGGAGCTGGGATTATAGGCACCCGCCACCATGCCCAGCTAATTTTTATATTTTTAGTAGAGGCGGGGTTTCACTGTGTTGGCCAGGCCGATCTTGAACTCCTGACCTCAAGTGATCCACCTGCCTTGGCCTCCCAAAGTGCTGAGATTACAGGTGTGAGCCACTGCACCTGGCCTGTTTATAGTATTTTAGAACAGGAAGGGACCCTCCGAATCCTATTTTCCACATCCCTCCATGGCAGAATTATCTTTTTATGTGCCAGGTCCCCTTCCTTTTTGAGGGACTCAAAGGCAGATGTGAGGCGGGACTCAAACTCCTTGTGCTGAAGCCCGGGGGCTGCAGCCTCATTCCCCTACCTCTGGCCATCAGATTGGGCCTGTGATCTGAGCACAATCAGCCCCACCCATTCTGGTATTTTCTCAGGAGAGTGGTTCTGTTTGTGAAGACTCTTGGGGCCAGCTAGGCCAGTTGATGGGGTATTGTCCTCATGACAGTATTCAGGGTCCAGAGCCCAGGCGCATGGGAGGGGACTGTCCACTGAGGGGAGGCCGTGGTGGCTGCAGTGACTCGGTCAGCCTGTGGTGTGGCAGGACCTTGGCTGAGCTTTGCCCTGCTTGTTCCCGCCTGAGCCTGGGTGTCCGGCCCTCCCAGAGACAGGGAGCTTCCCCAAACCTTGCCAGTAAACACACACCTTTTCTACCTAAACTAACTTGAGTCCATTTTGTTTTTAATTTGTAATCTACATAGGAAGGTCCTTATTTGACTGTTTTAAACTTGTGGCCTAGGATTCTGGGGTTTTTTCATTCCTGCCTAAGCACATGTGAGGTCTGCATGGTCTCATTAAGGAATGCATTCCCTGGGGTGGATAATTGCTATTTATGTGGCAGTTAGGAATTTTTTGTCTTTTTTTTTTTTTCTTGAGACAGAGTCTCGCTCTTTTACTTAGGGTGGAGTGCAGTGGTGTGATCTCGGCTCACTGTAACCTCCGCCTCCTGGGTTCTAGTGATTCTCCTGTCTCAGCCTCCCAAGTAGTTGGGACTACAGCCTCCCAAGTAGTTGGTACTACAGGTGCACACCGCCACGCCCAGCTAATTTCTGTATTTTTAGTAGAGACAGGGTTTCACCATGTTGGTCAGGCTGGTCTCGAAGTCCTAACCTCATATGTTCCTCCCACCTTCACCTCCCAAAGTGCTGGGATTATAGGCACGAACCACCGCATCCAGACCTCTCATCTTTAACTGATTGATTTTCAGAGGACAATTCTAGGAAAGACTAAATGTTTTCACCTTTTCAAAACAGGTGCTGTTAAGAGAAGGAAGATGGACGGGGAGCATGCCAGGATGTTGGCATTTAGGACATGGGAAGTTGTATAAAGGTGAAACTATGTCTGATTGTCTGGTAGAAAAATTACAGTCTAATTAGAAATGCTGAAGTTTTTCCAGACCTTTAGGGAATTCATCGAATTGCAAATAAAAGAAAATAAGGAATGTTGGTTTGCCGGTAATTAGATATATTGGGGGAAATGAGGTTGTTTCTTTTCTTTTCTTTGTTTTTTTTTTTTTTTTTTTTTTTTGAGGCAGAGTCTTGCTCTGTCGCCCAGGCTGGAGTGCAGTGGTGCGATCTCGGCTCACTGCAAGCTCCGCCTCCCGGGTTCATGCCATTCTCCTGCCTCAGCCTCCTGAGTAGCTGGGACTACAGGTGCCCGCCACCACGCCCGGCTAATTTTTTGTATTTTTAGTAGAGATGGGGTTTCACCGTGTTAGCCAGGATGGTCTCGATCTCCTGACCTCGTGATCCGCCCAACTTGGCCTCCCAAAGTGCTGGGATTACAGGTGTGAGCCCGCACCTGGCCGAGGTTGTTTCTTGTTTTTCCTTTTACCTAGCGTTTCTTTCTTTCTTCAAAAAACTAGATAGTGTTTATTAATTTTACTGTGCAAGCAGGAATATACATAAACTTTTAAAATTCTTAAAGCTATAGGTATTTTGCGCACTGTTTTAAAAAATCCCTTGTGGGGAGATTTTTTTTTAAATATTTATATGGAGAACATGTATCTGTTGTGTCTACAGACCCATAATGATGGAACTATTATTTCCTCCTAAATATTTGCTCCTCGTGACTAGAATTTTTGGACTTTGAAAGATCCTTGGGTTTACTTTAACTTACAGGTATGTTTACAGGAATTCAGGTCTGTGGAGTAAGATAGCCAAGGCTAATAGTTATGAAACATCCCATATAGTAATTTGAATACTGAATTTACCTAAAGATGAACATTCAAAAGATCAAGGGCATTTCATTAATGTAGTCTTAAATTATTTTGCTAAACAAAGAAGGTATATGACCTCTCTTTAGAAATGGCCACTAATAAAAAGTTGTTGGTATAACATAATTTTTTTAACAAGGCCTAAAACATGCATACATTGTCTGTCATTACAGAGTCCCCTGTCACCCAGAACTTTTCTGGTTATTAACACAAATTTATGGTGTACCGTTGATTTCTATGCAATTGAACGTGAAGCTAATGTTATAGTCATTTTATTGCTGGCTGCTGTTGCATCGAAATTTAGATGTCTTATTTTCAGGTTTGAATTAAGACAATATGTGCTTTGTAGGACACTTTGTCAACGAATATTTGTGGGAGAGGGATTTTTAAGAGAATGTATGGTTATGATGTGACTGCTTCGCACTTTACAGCTGTTATTAAAGTAGATTCCAGTAAGGTAAGTCATTCTGGAAGGCATTTCTGAATATTACCTCCTTCCCCTCAAGAAATGTTTATTAAGTTAATATGTTTTATGTTGTAATTTAAAGATTTAAAAGAATATTTTCCTTTTCATAGTAGACACTTTGGAAGGCTATATACTTATTTCTGTGATGTTATAATAACTCAATACATGCTACTAAATCTTTTTTCTTTGGAATTGTCTTCATATCCCCCACTGCATTTTAAAAACGTATCCCCAGTGGTGTTGGGCCTTTATATTTTTGTGGGTGGAGTTTTTTTTTTTTTTTTTTTTTTTGGAGACATTTTTTTTTTGCTCTGTCACGCAGGCTGCAGTGCAGTGGCGCGATCTCGGCTCACTGCAACCTCCACCTCCTGGGTTCAAGCGATTCTTCTGCCTCAGCCTCCTGAGTAGCTGGGATTACAGGCACATGCCACCACACCCAGCTAATTTTTTGTATTTTTATTAGAGACGGGGTTTCACCATGTTGGTCAGGCTGGTCTCAAACTCCTGACCTCGTGATCTGCCTGCCTCGGTCTCCCAAAGTGCTGGGATTACAGGCGTGAGCCACCACACCTGGCCCAGGCCACAACATTTTAAAGTATGCTCTGCAAGCTAGGTGACAGCAAGCTGGGAAATAGTTTTTCTTTAGTCTTGAGATGTCTATAAAGAAGCGTGCATCGTGTGATGTGAAAACTGGCGTCGAAGGTTCTTTCAGAATAGGAATTCCAAATGATTTGCTCAGGATTCCTTGAAATAACGTGTGTGGTTTTCTAAGGTGACCATTTGAACGAGGACAATTGATTTAGATATACACATTCTGCTTTTAAAATAAAGTTTAAAGTCTTCTTGAAAAGTTTATGGTCTCCTGTAAACTTTGCCTCAGTGTCAGAGAATCCTGATGAGTCAGAATTGGACTTGCAGGGAGGTTTTCTGAGTTGGAGAATCTCAGATGTTGGGTAGAAACATAAGGTTTTCTTAATTGAAGCCAGTGGCTGCCCTGAAGTGGTGCACAGTTTTGTGTGCGTGTGCAGAATTTCCTTCTCTGGCAATTTCAGGAACTATAGAAATGTGGACATAAATTTCTGTTTATAAATCTGGAGCCACCGTGAGGAGCTTGAGATGAATGTCTGCTGTGGTCAGAGTGCTCAGTGAGTTCCTCAAAGCAGTTACCAGTCTGGTTTTGGTGGTTTAGGTTTGGATCTTTTGCTAGCCTTTTGTAGAACTTGGATATTGGAAGCAATTCTCCTCGCAGCTCCCAGGAATATGTGAATGGGCCCTCGATACCCAATTCTAATTCTGAGCACTTGGAAAAAGTCTGTGTTGGGAGAAGCCTGTATCTTCCGTCACCTGATTTTCCTGATAACCTGTGTGTATCTTTCACATGCCTCCATTTCTGGTTACCAACTTTATCATGTGACTCTTTTGGCAGCTAGTAGATATTTTTAGTAAATATAAAGGAATTCCTCCTACCAACATCTGAGGTCATTTGCCTTTCCTTGATTTTCTAATTTTCTGGTTGAAATAGTAAAGAGAACCCTACCCTGATGGTCAAAGGTTCTAAGATGTTTTGTGGACCAGCTCATAAAGGCCTTCAGCAGGGCAAGTCTGGTATCTGCTGGGCTTTCTGGAAATAGTTAAGTGAGTCAATAGGTAGCTTTGATGTTGTCAGGTTTAATATGGAAATAGCATTTTACTACTAGTAATCTTAAGATTTTTTAATAGAAAATCCTGGCCAGGCGCGGTGGCTCACGCCTGTAATCCCAGCACTTTGGGAGTGGATCACCTTAGATCGGGAGTTTGAGACCAGCCTGACCAGCATGGAGAAGCCCCGTCTCTACTAAAAATACAAAATTAGCCGGGCATGGTGGTGCACACCTGTAATCCCAGCTATTCGGGAGGCAGAAGCGGGAGAATCACTTGAACCTGGGAGGCAGGGGTTGCCGTGAGCCAAGATCATGCCATTGCACTCCAGCCTGGGCAACGAGAGTGAAACTCCGTCTCAAAAAAAAAAAATAAATAAAGAAAAAAGAAAATCCTAAGTGGGATTCCATGCTGATAGGTCTTACAGCCCACGTGAAAAGAAAGCCAAGTAAAAGCTTTTATGGCAGGAAATGTTCCTGTCTGCCTGGAATGGTTTGGACCAGGCAAGCAGATTGGAATTGTTTTTCCTCTTAAGTTGCTTTGTTCTGTTTTTGGACATGTTTTCCCTGAACTACACTTAATAGCAAAGTGCACCTACCATCCCTTCTCCCCCTACCCAAGCCTTGCTTGTGAGTATCTCCTAAAGCAGCATGCTTTTAGGTATCATTTATTTTAAGACTAATTTGAAAATTTTATGCCAATTTTGCATTTCATTTAAAAATATATTTAAATATCAAAATCAGATTTTAAATGACCATCTATTCAAATTGAGCCCCAAGAAGATGTGCCCGTTGGTCCGGAAACGTTGCGTCCTCCTGGGGCACACTGGTTTGTGACCCTGGGGATCTGAGGAGTCCCCTGTTTGAGAAGAACAGTTGTAGGGCATAACTGGAAGCCAGGAGGTCTAGGGAAGTATTTTTAAAAATGACTCTATTTGTGTTTTTTGGTTTTTTTTTTTTTTTTTAAGACAGTCTCTCTCTGTTGCCCAGGCCGGAGTTCAGTGGTGCAATCTCAGCTCACTGCAACCTCCACCTCCCAGGTTCAAGTAATTCTCCTACCTCAGCCTTGCGAGTAGTTGGGATTACAGGCGTGCACCACCACACCCAGCTAATTTTTGTATTTTTAGTAGAGATGGGGATTTCGCAGTGTTGGCCAGGCTGTTCTTGAACTGCTGACCTCAAGTGATTCACCTGCCTCGGCCTCCCAAAGTGCTGGAATTACAGGCCTGAGCCACCGCACCTGGCCTGAAAAATGACTCTGTTTGACAGCCTAGTATAGGTGTGGAAACTCTGTGAGAAGTGGAATGGCAGTCCACCTGGAATGTATGTGGTATACAGCTGCTTAATTAAGAAATCCATCTTAGTGAGCAGCATTTTCTTTCAAATAGCCTGGTATAGTCAACTCTTTACTGAGATTCAAGTCGACTGTTTTCTCTGACTGAGTGCTAGCTGTAATCCTGGGAAAAGTTATACAGCACATTGGTGATTTGTTTTTTCCATCTTATATGGGAGATTAAAATATTTGTTGCCTACTCCCCTCATCAGGTGTTGTGAGGATTAATGAGATCATTTTAGTAATGTGCCTTAAACTCACAAGAGGAAATGGGCACGGAAAAGCCCAAACCCCGGGTGTTATATTACCAGGAGCTTAACTCAGGCCTGGCATTTACGCTGCTGTTATGTGTCCATTTATTTTGTTCACGTGTTGCTTTTCGCATTACAATTCTGTATTAAGCTTCAGATCCATCTCATGGGTGTGAAAATATCCACGTGTCAAAATCAAGAGTGGGCCTGTTGGCTTCACATGTTTTCACTTGCCATCCATCTCCAGAATCTTGCAAGCTTGACCTACAGCTTGTTGGATTGGACACTTTTTATGTACACCACTTACTGCATTTTGCAGCTTCGAGTCTATCTGTGGGGACTCAGCTTTTTCAATAACTCTAGGCTGTAATTTTTGAGAGCATTGTTTAAACCTTGTGCTCTACTTGAGTAGTAAATGGTCACAGTGGCAACCGGGCATGGGTCCTTTCTCACTAGCGTGTGTGATGCTTGCTGTCACTGTCACCCCCGCCGAACGGGGTAATGGGATGAGAGAACAAGGCCTTACCAGCACAGCCTGTGAATGGCTCCATAGAGGGGACGCTGGTTCCTCAAGGGCGCAACCTATTCCCTTGATTTCAGCTGGAGGAACTTCTCTTGGGCCTTGGCATGATGTGCTCATACATCTTTAGGTAGCCAAAACCTGACATATAACTGAGTGTGAAAGTCAGTTGCCAGCATCTTCAGAAGGACATTATTTCTGAATGACCAGTGAATGAGGTTATTGTCATAGAAAACAGCAAAGTTTAAAATAATGTTGCTATTTGGGATGGCAGAATTGGTGGGGGAGGAAATGAGATGGGAGAAATATAATTTTAAACTATAAAAATTCCAGTGAAGTATAATGCTTAATTGTTAGCATATTCTAAGCAATGAGTTAGCCGCATTTAAAAATAGCTTTTTAACATGAATGAACCTTTTTATGAGCCGAGATTCAGTGAAGAATAAGTTGGTCATGCAAATGGTGTTTTAATAGTTTATATTAAATATTTTAGGGCTGGGATTTAAACAAATAACATTTTAGAGCTGTAAAAGCAAAAAGTCTGACCTGAAGGCCACACAAATAATTATAGTTCCTGAAATATAGCCCTGTGAACAAATCTATGCCACCTTGTTTATAATCTACTTCCTTTGAGTTTCAAAATAAGTAAAAGGGTGGCTTGGATGTAAAAAGGAGGCCACTGGCTTTGAGCGAGTTGAGAGCAGTGGTAGACGCAGGATCTTTTGTGCCTCTCTGGGGAAAATTAGGCAGTTCGGAACCACTCAGGACATTCCAGCAGCTTTGGAGATCAAGGAAGGCCTCTCCATAAAGAAGTCAAGAGTAGCTGGTTGTTCATGAGACCACACTTTAAGGAGATAATCATTGCCTCTCTTGTGAATTGGTTCTGAGGCAACACAATCTTTGAAGTAAAAAAAAAAAATGCTCCAGGTTTTAAGGAGTAAAGCATTAGTTTTGTGCAAAAAAAAGTCATTAAGGTTATTAGTTTTGTGTAACAAGAGTTATTAATGGCCAGGCAATGTAGCTCACACCTGTAATCCCAGCACTTTGGGAGGCCTAGGTGGGAGGATCACTCGAGCCCATGAGTTTGAGACCAGTTTGGGCAACATAGTGAGACTCCACCTCTACAAAAAAAAGTTAAAACAATTAGCCAGGCATGGTGGCACATGTAGTCCCAGCTACTGGGATGGCTGAGGTGGGAGGTCACATGAGTCTGGGAACTCCAGGCTGCATTGAGCCATGATCACACCATTGTGCTCTAGACTTGGTTACAGAGCAACACTCTCAAAAACAGAAACAAACAAACAAAAAAAACCCGAGTTATTCATTAGATTTAGAGAATGGTGTTTCTTGTAACTCTTACTTTAATTGAGGTATTTTGCCTATAAATATAGGCAAGTATATGTAGAAACTATGCATGTGTGCGCTGTCTTCTTACTAAGACATTATTTCTTCTCTTCGTGAAGAAAGCCTGCCTACTGGGGCTAAATTACCTGAAACAAACACCATCATTCACAGAGAGACAGTAAGTAAGCAAGATAAGCATAGAATATGTAGGGTAAATGACCCATCTGATCTGTTTGGGCAAGCATTATACCTCTCACTCTTTTCAATGACATATTTGCTTCATGTTTCGATAATGTGGTGTCTATATTTTAACTATGAACAAAGTCTTAAAATATTGCTATTTCATTAAATTTGGAGTACTGTTAATAAATTATTTATACCTGAAACATTGCTGTTGGCCATTCATTCTCTCCCCCCATTTCTTATTTTCTCCCAGCTAGCGTTGTATAGCAGAAATTCTTGTGCAAGACAAATGTAAGGAACTAATCAGTGATTCTAATTTTTAAACACTGTGGTGGTCTCTGCTTACCCCTCTGAATCGGTTTGAGAGAAGAAAATTGGATTTGTCTTGTTGATGCTTTGCAATTTAGTTGGCGAGTCGAGTATGTATAAAATAAGAAAAAAAGAGAAAATGCTAAGATTCTTGAGTGGGAATCCATAGTCCACAGAAACGTCAGAGGCTCTGGTATTTGCATGAGAAAAGTTTTGAAGGAAATTTTTAGTTTAGAAACACAAATTCAGGAAGTCAAATTCTGTGGTTTTTAGTAAATGGAAATATATATGGTGATATGGTTTGGCTCTGTGTCCCCACCCAAATCTCATCTTGAATTGTATGCCCATAATTCCCATGTGTTGTAGGAGGGACCTGGTGGGAGATCATTGAATCATGGGGGCGGTTCCCCCATACTGTTGTCATAGTAGTGAATAAGTCTCACAAGACCTGATGGTTTTATCAGGGGTTTCCACTTTTGCATCTTCCTCATTTTCTCTTGCCGCTGCCATGTAAGAAGTGCCTTTCGCCTCCCACCATGATTCTGAGACCTCCCCAGCCATGTGGAACTTTAAGTCCAATTAAACCTCTTTTTATCCCCAGTCTCAGGTATGTCTTTATCAGCAGCGTGAAAACGGACTAATACATATGTTGTGTAGGCTGAAAGAACTCTTCCAAGGACCATGGCATATCTTGGTTCCACCAATGGCCTGACGTGACCTTTAACCTTTCTGTGTCTCCTTATCTGCAAGATAGGAGTGACAAGAGAACCTAGATCTTCAGGTGGTTGTAAAGATTAGTGTGGCAAGATAAAGTTGTTAGCCCATTGCCTGGCTCATAGTATATAGTCATGCATGACTTTCTTTTTTTAAGAAAAAAGATTTAAAACAACAAAAGCTCTCTAGGCAGAGTTAATTCTTCACAGTGGGAGGAGGTATTTAAACTTCTGGGCAGGATGCTGTGGAGGGAATTAGAGCTTGATAGTGAATTGGAATAACTCTAACCCATTCTCAACCTAACACTGATCTTTTTACTTTGTAAAAAAAGGCATTTCACTGGAGCTGCATTAGCAATATAGTTTGCCATTTTTTTTCCAAAATATTATCTCCTCCTCCCACCAAAAATACCTTTTGCTGTGTGTGTGTGTTGTCATATATTCCCAACTTTAATGAAAGCCAAAGATTTCTAAGTTTTTTAATGTTGAGGAAATTTTTAAAGGCAATTCGTGGTATTTACAACAAGCTATTAAATTTATTTCATCAATTATTTTCCTTTTCTTCTCTGTTGATAACTTTAGTCTACAACAAGATTTTAAGAATTGCAATGGACCTATCTTTCTTTTTTTTTTGGAGATGGAGTCTCGCTCTTGTCACCCATGCTGTAGTGCAGTGGCACCATCTTGGCTCACTGCAACCTCCGCCTCCCAGATTCGAGAGATTCTCCTGCCTCAGCCTCCCAAGTAGCTGGGATTACAGGTGCCCGCCACCAGGCCCGGCTAATTTTTGTATTTTTAGTTGAGATGGGATTTTACCATGTTGGCCAGGCTGGTCACAAACACCTGACCTCAAGTGATCCGCATGCCTCGGTCTCCCAAAGTGCTGGGATTCATTATTTTTAAATATAAAATTTTTGCAAAGTGAAAGCCGATGTCATAGATTTTACATGGTTTTCGCAGGAAAGCAAGCCATCAATTAATGATGTCCTTTATGGGCTGGAGGGAGTGAGTGCTATGTAGTGGAGGAAGCACACATACTTTTGGCCAGGATTTAGGAATAGTTTTGTTAGGCGGTATATCTGATTTATCATGTTCTTGACTCAGGACAAATAAAATATCTTTATGGTAATCTTAAATACCTCTTTAGAGGAATATTTATATCTACAAATACCTTCTGCATTTATTTATTTGAGGCAGAGTCTCGCTCTGTCACCCAGGCTGGAGTGCAGTAGCGTGATCTCGGCTCGCTGCAACCTCCGCCTCCTGGGTTGAAGCAATTCTGCCTGCCTCAGCCTCGCGAGTAGCTGGGATTACAAGCATGTGCCACCATGCCCAGCTAATTTTTCTATTTTTTAGTAGAGATGGGGTTTCATCATGTTGGCCAGGCTGGTCTTGAACTCCTGACCTTAGATGATCCGCCCGCCTTGGCCTCCCAAAGTGCTGGGATTATAGGCGTGAGCCACCGCGCCCAGCCTGCATATATTTATTTTTATGGCTCTTCTGTTATTTTTGTCCTCCTTGTCTTAAGTAGCTTGACTAGTAACCTTCTTTGTGTACTATATTGCTGTGTCATTGTGTTAGTAACTGTGGACTCGTAAGTATTGAGTTGTCAAAGTAAAAAAGAGTGTTGTTTCCACCATCACTTTATTAACAATGATTCTATTAAGAGTTCTTCAGATTTAGGTAAAATTTCTCTGTTACTGAATGTCTCTGTTTTTCAGTAGAGTAGTAAACTGTCTAGTTGCACTTTTTCTTTCACCAGTAGTCTTTTTGTTTGTTTGTTTTTTTGGAGACAGGGTCTCACTCTGTCACCCAGGCTGGAGGGCAGTGACTCTGTTACTCACGGCTCACTGCAGCATCGACCTCCCTGGGTTCATGTAGATCCTCCCACCTCAGCCTCCTGAGTAGCTGGGAATACAGGTGCTCAGTGCCACAACAGCCTAGTTTTTGTATTTTTTTGTAGAGATGGAGTTTTACCACGTTGCCCAGGCTGATCTCAAACTCCTGTGCTCAAGTGATCTGCCCCCTTGGCCTCTTAAAGTCCTGGGATTACCGATATTAGCCACTGTGCCCAGCCTGTCTTTAAGAGTATGATTACCCCCTCAGAATTAAATAAATAAATAAATAAATTGCTGTTTTCCTCCTTCTAGAAGCCTCATTTTCAGCTCTTTAAATTGTCTTCGTTATTCTTTTCAGTTAGGATCTAATTGGGATCTGTTGGTTATACATAGAAAGTGTAAAAATGACTTACTACTTCCCATCTGTAACAGCCCTGTTGTGTGAACAATGTCACTAAGCAGCAGTTTACTGTCAGCTGGTGATCTATTGTGACCCTTAGTACATTTACGCATTTCCTAATTTCTTTTCTTGATTTGTTTTTATTCAGTTTTTTGTTGGACAGCTTTCTATTATTTTATGGTTTCTGCTTTATTACTCTGATATTGAGGACCCTTTTCTAAATCACATCTAAATAATAGTTTTCTTTATTGCCATTTCTCTTGTCTTGTGTCTGTGTCTTGTATTCTAATCAGACATGCCATCGATTACTCATCTTCAGAAGACACTTCTTTGGTCATGCGTTCTCTTTCTTAAGATTCCTTCTTACCTATTAAAGACCACACTCTGCATTCTGACATTCATAATTTTTCAAAATTCATATAGTTGAGCATCGTCTTTGTTCTGAGCATGCATCTAAATGATGAGAATTCAGAGAGCTAGACAGGGACTCGGTTTTTCTTGATAGAGAAACTGCTATCAGTATACGAGACATTATTGTAGATGTTGAATCAAAACAGTGCCCAGGCATTAGGTTCCCTAGGAATTCCAAGGAATCGATAATGGGTAATTTTTCTGGGGATGGAATGATTTTTCAGGTTGGAGTGGGACTTGTACTGTGCTTTGAAAACAAGGATTGAATATTAGTGAAGGAGGTGACATTTCCCTGGCCTCATGTTTCCAGCCTGAGGGACCACAATGGGAAAAAGAGTGGCTTATCTGATTGGTGAATTTGTAAGAAGGAGATCCTCAGCTCGGCACTGCAGGGCCTCTCTGTTCAGAGCTGGTTCTGTACTACAGCCTTTTCTGCCTTGTGTTAACAGACCTGGCCTTGCTGGCGTGGCTTGAGTTTGTCTAGCTGTGCCAGTGACTGGCTGGGGAGGTCTGGCTAATTCTTGTCACTGATCTTTAGCCATTTTCCCTAGTCAGCTTTTATCAGTAATAAAAGTAATGTCTTGATTCCCAGTTCTCTTAGTGGAATGTGAGTGTGGGCAGAAAGGCAAGGTGGGTGGAGTCATAGGCATTAAATACCGAGGACATGAACACCAAGGAGATGAGCACCGTTGCTTAGTGTCGTGAGCAATGAGAGAGAAAGTTGGAATAGGAGACTGGAGTCAGATGTGCAGAGCTAGAGTGTGAGCTTTATTTTGTAGGCTGAGGACCCGCTGAAGGTTTTAAAATGCTGTAAAGTGTACAGCGGGTTATTTTGGTAGTATGAATCCAGTAGTGCTGGAGAATGGATTCCCCAGGGCTTTTTCAGTTGGAATTCATGCATCTTCTGGCTTTGGATGTTCGGAAGGGAGATGGATATGAAACACCCTGAAATGATATGTAAGATATATTAAAGGGATCGTCTTTCAGAAAGGGATTAAGAACCTCCACTTAAGCTGGACGTGGTGGCTCACGCCCGTAATCCCAGCACTTTGGGAGGCCGAGTCGGGCGGGTCACTTGAGGTCAGGAGTTTGAGACCAGCCTGGCCAACGTGGTGAAATGCCGTCTCTACTAAAAATACAAAAATTAGCTGAGCGTGATGATGTGTGCCTGTAGTCCCAGATACTTGGGAGGCTGAGGCAGAAGAATCACTTGAACCCAAGAGGTGCAGGTTGCAGTGAGCCAAGATCACACCGTTGCACTCCACCCTGGGCAACAGAACAAGACTCCGTCTCAAAAGAAAAAAAAAAAAAACACCACTTAACTCCTCTGTATCCTGTTTGTATATAGGACTTATTGGAACAAAATTTCACCATTAAGTATGATGTTTATTCTGGATTTTTTAAAATAGTGCTTTAAGCAGATTTGTAGAAGTTCTTTGTATACCTAGTTTGCTAAGGTTATTTTTAAAATAATAAATTGACATTCACATTTATTGCATATAATTTTATGCATGTATTCTGCTAACCATATGGGTTTTTCTTTTTCATCTATCAGTGTGGTAAATTATATTGATTGAGTTCTAAAATTAAAACAGCTTGGCATTCTTAGGATAAAGCCAAGTTGGTCATGATAGATTATCTTTTTGATGTTGAATTAACTTTGCTAATATCTTAAGATTTTTGCATTTAATCTTGCTAGCTTGACCTGCATTTTTCATTGTAAATGTTTTCTGTAATTCCTTGAGTGCTCAGAAAGAATCTATGTCCTGGGAACCCAAAAGTAAATAAATAGATATTCCCCCAAAAGAAAGTAAACAAAAAAGGGAAATAGTAATACATGTGTATGATAAATAAATAAAACAAAAGGGCAGGAGCTATAAAACAAAGGCCTTTCTCTAACCTCAGAAACCCAGTTCCCCTAAGACAATCTCTGTTAACAGAGGGTAGCCTGTGTGTTTGTGTGCATACATAATTATGTAGATGATACATTATATGCATACATTATTATATATGTAACAGTATATCTTGGCGGTAGTTTCAGTGTAGCACACAAGGTTTTTCTCATTCTTTTTTAATATCTACCTTATATTTTATTATATTTTTGTATATTAGCCAGGCCCTTGATGACATTTAAGTTCTCATATTTTGCTGAAATGAACATCATTGTACCTTCCTCTTTGGTATGTGTCTGTGGAATAAATTATTAAGAGTTGAGTTGCTGGATAAAAGGGCATATGTGTTTCAAATTGTGGTAGCAATAGCTTAATTATCTTCGAAAAAGGTTATACCTCCTTACACTCTAACAGTGTATGAGCGTGCTGTGGCAAATATCTGAAGTGTTCTGGCCAAGACTCATTTCCCACAGCCCAGGTCATTTGAAGTCTCAGTCATGCTAGCTGCACCACACTTCACCCCACCCACAAGTGCATTCATTATTAACTTGGTGATCTCATGAGCTTTGGCAAGCAGTGGCTTCCTGCTAGAGAGCCTCATAAGAACCTCGGAAACTGCTGTGTTCTAGATGAGCAGGATCTGAGAGGATGTTGGCAAAATGCCCAGACATAAGGTACTGAGGCCGTTCTGCCTACCTTATTCCTGAGTCTTTTTTTACAGCCCTCCCTGTCTAGGCTGTAATGGAATAGGTGAAAGAATTGTAGCAAATGCTGGCCATCTTCTGTCAGCATTCCAATGCTAGTGACTGGAGGGAACAGAGATGGATGAGATGTGGAATTAGCTGTTGGGCCCGTGGATTCTGTCTAGGGTGTTCTTACCTTTCACTGTTTGCCTGAGTTGAAGTCATTGCTCACATTGTACAGTCACTGTTGTTTCCTGTGTGGTTGTTTATTCTTTTTTTTTTTTTTTGAGACGGAGTCTTGTTCTGTTACCAGGCTAGAGTGCAGTGACGTGATCTCCGCTCACCATAACCTCCGCCTCCCTGGTTCAAGTGATTCTCCTGCCTCAGCCTCCCGAGTAGCTGGGACTACAGGCGCGCGCCACCATGCCCAGCTAATTTTTGTATTTTTGGTAGAGATGGGGTTTCACTGTGTTGGCCAGGATGGTCTCAATCTCTTTGACCTTGTGATCCGCCCACCTTGGCCTCCCAGAGTGTTGGAATTAGAGGTGAAAGCCACCATGCCCAGCCGATTGTTTACTCTTAAATCCAGGTGTGTTGAGGTGATAGATGCCCCAAGAATTGGCAGTCACTGCTTACTGAATAAGTAGTTAAGATTTCATCTTGGGAGAGGAGAAGTGATGGGGGCATGTAACTCTTGGTTATCCCTATGTTATTTTTATAAACAGGATCCCCAACTGGAGTCCTGGTTGCCACCAGAAACAGTGAGAAAGCAACACCCAGGAGCCTTGGGGTGTGGCCTCAGCTGATGAGGTCAGAGGAGATTAGGGGTAGGGAGGCCAGGAAAAGCCAAACCATGGATCCTTTGTTAATTGTCCCTTCTGTTATTAACAATCATTTTTAAGCTAGAGAGGGATATATGTAAAGCACTGAAACTTTGCTAAAATAGCCTCAAGGTTGTGTGCTATATTTACCAAAACTGAGAAAATATTAAAGTGACAAAAACAAAACAAAATAAGTGGTCCTCTAAGCAAGACTCGGTTGGTAATGTATATAAAGATTTTTATTAATCTGATTCTTTTAAGGTGATTAGGTCTCCCTTGCTCAGAAACCTTCATCACACCCCTTTCCTTAAATTGACTACCAACTAAATATACTCTAAACTCTTGAGCCTGACATTGGAAACTTTTTAGAGAGAATCTGCCTCTCCAGTGTAATCATCTACTTTCTTATGATTTGCAGTGAAGTTCATGGACCAGCAGCATCACCATCACCTGGGATCTTGTTAGAAATGCAGACTGTCAGGCCCCACCCCAGACCTGCTGGATCAGAACCAGAGTTTTAGCGGGATACCAGTGTTGTGCATGCCCACCCCAGTTTGAGAAGCCCTGATCTCTTATACTTCATTCTCCTCAGCCTTCCTTCATGTGATACAATCTGCTGAACGGGCCTAGCTCTCATTTTCTAAGCGTGTTTTACACTTCTCCAGTGATCTGCCTTTCCTTAAATCATACAGCTTCCTCAGAAAAGTCTTTTTCTTTCAGCTTCCTTCTTCCTTCCATTCATTCAGTTGATTAGGGGTCTAAAATATAGGCCGGGCATGGTGGCTCACTTCTGTAATCCCAGCACTTTGGGAGGCTGAGGCAGGTGGATCACCTGAGGTCAGGGGTTCGAGACTAGCCTGGCCAACATGGTGAAACTCATTGTCTACTGAAAATACAAAAATTAGCCGAGGCAGTGTCATGTGCCTGTAGTCCTAGCAACTTGGGATGCTGAGGCTGGAGAATCACTTGAACCCGGGAGGCGGAGGTTGAAGTGAGCCAAGTTCGCACCACTACACTCCAGCCTGGGCAACAGAATGAGACTCCGTCTTAAAAATAAAATAAATAAATAAATAAATAAAATATGCTAAGAACGATGATTTGGCTTGAGATTCAGACATGACTGAAAACACAGTCCCTGTCCACTCCTGGGACAGCCTCTCTGGAGGACAGCTCAGCAACGTGTATCAAGAGTATTGAATATGCATTTCCTTTGATCTCAATGTTGTCTCCTCTAGGAGATTTTCATAAACGAATAATCAGAAAAGAATGTAAAGAAATGTGTAGAAGGTTGATTGTTGCAACACTATAATAGTAAAAAATTGATAAATGAATAATTGTTATGCATAAACTTTTATATAGCCAAGAAAGTAATATATATGTAACCAAAATGAAAATATATCAACATTAACAATTATATTATTAAAATAGACAAAGACAGGCCCTGTGGTGTGCCTATAGTCCCAGCTACTCAGGAGGCTGAGGAGGGAGGATCCCTTGAGTCCTGGAGTTCAAGGCTGCAGTGAACTATGATCGTGCCACTGCATTCCAGCCTGGGTGACAGAGTGAGACCCTGTCTCTAAAAACACAAAAGAGACGTCATGTATATCAGGTGTCTAGTGTGGTGCTGCCCCTTCAGATAGATTCCAGAATGAAGGAGATGCCGGGGGAATCTTCTTCAGCCTACCCACACCTGGAGCAGAGCCACAGTTGGCCCTCAAGCAGCCACAACATCTGAGCAAGAAATAAACCTTCACTTTAAGCCACTAACATTTGAAGGTGATTTGCTACTGCCACAACTAATCTAGTGAAAGCTGACTAGCACATTGTGTACTCTGCTTATTTGACTCCCTCGTTGTCTGCCTGCACCTTGATGTTATCTCTTTTTTTGGCGTCTGTCCATCCTAACGTGACGTCACTTACAAAGTTGATGCAGTTCATTGAACTTGGGATGAGGGTGGAAAGATTAATGTTGTAATTCCCTTGGATTAGAGCAGTGTTTCTCAGTGTGTGGTCCTTGAACCGTCTGTATCAGAATCCTGTGGGGTTTGGCAGGGATACAGAATCTTGAGCCCCCACTGCAGGCCTGCGAAAACAGAATATTTGGGGTGAGGTTTCAAGGAATTCTCAGATATACCCAAGTTTAGGAAACACTGGACTTGAAGCTAGACAAATACTACATCAGGATGTTACTTTGTGCATCCCCTCCACCACTGAAATTGGAATATGATAGACAGTGTCCCTTGGTATTCTTCTCCGACCAGAACTCTTTTTTGTGATGGATGGATGGATGGATGGATGGATGGTTGATTGCTTCTAGATTAGGGAACTAAACATTGGTCATCTTTATGAGAAAATTTTAGCCAGATTTGATTCAAGAACTACATAACACTTGACAAGTAAAATGAATGAGTACCTCAACTGATATACTTTTTCCATACTACTCTTTTTTTTTCTTATAAAAATTAAATTTTAGTTACATAATTAATTCATGAGTACATTCTCATAGAAATTTAAAGCATTACTGATGAGGTCAAATTCAGCATTGAACCCCTCCCCAAATCTTGGGCCCCTCATATCCACTGTGCCACAGGTATCTTGGTTTTTTATTTTTTCCAGATTTTTTTCTATGCATGTTTATGTGCCGTGTTAATATTTATGGCTAATACAGATGGTCCTTAAGATGGTTCGACTTAAGATATTTTTCAACTTATGATGGGGATGTAGCCACATCATAAGTTGAGGAGCAAGTGTATACATTAAATGGCCTGTACCAATACAGCTGGTATCCATTCTCACTGAGCAAGCATCTGCTGAAATTGCTCAGAGCCCTGTGTCACTGTTTGATATCTTGAGTATCAACCCTGCAGTTTGTACTTGTACTATGTATGTGTGTGAGGAGTGTATACATATATATGTATATATGTGTGTCTTAAGTGTCATACTACACATATTTTTTTCAGTTTGTTTTTTATATATGTTGGCATACATCCATGTCAGTATATGCGAGTTTACCTCATGTTAAAAAATTGCTCCACTGTATTCCATCCTATCGTTTATTTAGCCATTTCTTTTCTTTTCTTTTCTTTTTTGAGATGGAGTCTTGCTGTCACCCAGGCTGGAGTGCAGTGGTGCCATCTCAACTCTCTGCAGCCTCTGCCTCGTGGGTTCAAGCAATTCTCCTGCCTCAGCCTCCCGAGTAGCTGGGATTACAGATGCCTGCCACCACGCCCAGCTAATTTTTGTAATTTTAGTAGAGATGGGGTTTTAACATGTTGGCCAGGCTGGTCTTGAACTCCTGACCTCTGGTAATCCACCCACCTTGGCCTCCCAAAGTGCTGGGATTACAGGCGTGAGCCACCACACCCGGCCTATTTAGCCATTTGTATATTGATGGACAGATTGTTTCTAGCTTTTGCTATTACAAACAGTGCTGCCATTGATATATTTATATGTGTTGCCTTGAGTATCTGTTCAAATGTTTGTAAACCATATGTATGTACATACACACACACACACACAACATACACACACATATGGAGAGAGACAGATATATATGAACATGCCGCGTCACCATTAATTTATACCCCAACCAGGAGTTTATCAGTTTCCTCATAGCCTTTCAAAATTGATTGTCAGTCTTTTTGATCATTGCCACTATTGTGGGTAAAAACTGGTGACTTTGTTTTAACCTGTGTTTCACTGATCATTAGGAAGGTTGAAGATCATTTAATGTGTATTCGCCATTTGTATTTCTGTTTCTTAAATGGTCTGTTTTTATCTTCTGCCTGTTTTTCTGCTGGGTTATTGATGTGTTGGAGTTTGTTATATATTAGATATTTAAATATATGTTGCAGATGTTTACTCACAGTTGATACATGTCTTTTATCTTTGCTTATGTTGTCTTTTATCATTTGTTTTTACTGTCAGACCTGTGGTGGTCATTCTCGATTTTATGTAGTACCTGCTGGCCATCACCTCGTCTCCTCAATAAGTTGTTTGGATTCTTACAAGAATTAGAAAAATAACTAAATGTCTCCAAATTGTCCATATGTAAGAGCTTCGAAGGGCTCTCCTGAATAAAGTGTATTTAATTGCATGGACTTGTAAACATGTATGCTTTGGCCACTCTGAAAATCTGCTTTCTATATTCCAAATATGTTTGCTGGATTATTGTGCTCTAAATAATGGAACTGTTATTCTAACAGTCCTATAATTTGTATATTTAATTCATTTGTTCTTGTTCACAAGATGATTTGTTATCAGTCTCTCACAGCACAATTAGGGATTTGTAATCAGAGTCACATCAGTAGTCTTTGTAAATTGATGTAAGCTGTTAACCGCGTTGAACCAGATTTTACTATCATGTGTATCAATAAAATGTATAGGTGATCTCTGACTTTCACATGTGAATCCCAAAAGTTTACTTAAAATTTAATTATTTGGAGCTCTGTTATTTTTCCCCAGAAACAAGTCCGTTTTTAGGTCTCTGGCAAGCTCAAACAAGCATTCTTAAAGTTAACAGTTTATCACATTATTTTTATGTTCCAATTATGGATGTAAAGATAGAAAGAATAAGCCTATAATCTTCAGAAGTTCTGGAGATCATTGACCGTGGAGTAGGCATGTGGGTAGGGGAGGAGTAGGATGTAGACGTCTTTAAAACTATGAAATTGAGGACACCTCTTGGTGAATCATTTATTCTCCAGTGTTCTGTATTTAAGAACAAAGGTGACTGGCATCCACCCATTATTCTTTAGTTCATGCATTGTCTGTTGAAAATGCAGTATTTGTGAGACTGAATCAGTCTTATGTAGCAAGGAACATTTCCCAGTTTTTTGTTTGTTTGTTTGTTTGTTTTTCTTTTTTGAGACAGAGTTTTGCTCTTGTTGCCCAGGCTGGGGTGCACTGGTGTGATCTGGGCTCACTGCAACCTCCGCTTCCCAGGTTCAAATGATTCTTCTGCCTCAGGATTACAGGCACCCACCACCACACCAGCTAATTTTTTGTATTTTTAGTGGAGGAGGGGTTTCACCATGTTTGGCAGGTTGGTCTCGAACTCCTGACCTCAGGTGATCCACCTGCCTCGGCCTCCCAAAGTGCTGGGATTACAGGTGTGAGCCACTGTGCCTGGCCCATTTCCCAGTATTATATTCCTTGATTGTTTGGGTCCAAAAGCAACTTCATGGCTAATTATTTTCACTAATTGCACAAATTTGAAGCCATTGATAAAAGCAACTAACAATGTTAACATCAGTTGTAAAATACCCTCAAGAAGCCAGAAATCCTAACTTGTCAGTGCATTTTTCCAGGTACTTTGTGGTTGTGGTTTGTGTTGTAGGAATGGTGGCTGTGGCCCTAGAGGATTGGGTTTTGTTCCTTGCTTTCCACTGCCCTGCTGTTCCGTGGTCCTTTTTGGTTTGTTTTTTGTTTTCTTGAGACAGGGTCTTGCTCTGTCACCCAGGCTGAAGTGCGGTGGTGTGATCATACCTCACTGTAGCCTTTAATTCATGGACTCAAGCGATTCTCCCTGCTCAGCCCCCTGAGTAGCAGGGACTACAGGTTACAGGCATGTGCCACCACACCTGGCTATTTTTTAAATTTTTTGTGGAGATGGTGTCTCACTATGTTGCCCAGGCTGGTCTTGAACTCCTGGGCTCAAGCAACCTTCCCACCACGGCCTCCCAAAGTGCTGGGATCGTAGGTATGAGCCACCATGCCCTTTTCTTTTTGAGGGCTCTGTTGTATACTCATATAGTTCCAGAATGAATATTCCTCAAACATCAGCATGCCTAAGAATCACATGGAGGAGTCAAGTCAAAATGCA